>NC_000001.11:110765956-111068986 GCF_000001405.40 Homo sapiens | reverse complement strand
CCCCTGAACCTAAAATAAAAGTTTTTTAAAAAGATGATTGGATTAAAAAATGTGATATCGACAATGATATACTATTCAGCCATAAAAAAGAATGAAATCATGCTTTTTGCAGCAACATGGATGGAACTCAAGGCCATTATCTTTTTTTTTTTTTTTTTTTTTTTTTGTGAGATGGAGTCTCGCTCTGTCGCCCAGGCTGGAGTGCAGTGGCGGGATCTCGGCTCACTGCAAGCTCCGCCTCCCGGGTTCACGCCATTCTCCTGCCTCAGCCTCCCAAGTAGCTGGGACTACAGGCGCCCGCCACTACGCCCGGCTAATTTTTTGTATTTTTAGTAGAGACGGGGTTTCACCGTTTTAGCCGGGATGGTCTCGATCTCCTGACCTCATGATCCGCCCGCCTCGGCCTCCCAAAGTGAAGGCCATTATCTTAAGTGAAAGATTCACATGCATAAAAATAAATATCACATATCCTCACTTATGACTGGGAGCTAAATAATGAGCACACATGCAGGTAGAATGTGCAATGATAGTAAGAGAATTGGAATGGTGAGCAGATGAATGGGGTATGATTGAGAAATTACTTAATGGGTACAATGTACATTGAGTTACGGATCCCATAAAAGCCCTGACCTCACCACCATGCAATTTATACATGTAACAAAGCAACACCTGTACTGCCTTCAATTTATACAAATAAAAAAACAAATAATCAAAGGGCATAAATAGACATTTCTCAAAAGACATACAAATGGCTAACAGATATATGAAAAAATGCTCATCATCATTAATAATCAAAACTGCAAATAAAAACCATAATGAGATATTATCCTACCCCAGTTAGAATGGCTAATATTAAAAAGACAAAGTAAAACAGGTTGTGGTGAAGATACAGGCAAAAGAGAACTCTTTCTTATACACTGTTGTTTGGAATGTAAATTAGTAAATTAGTACAACCACTATAGAAAACAGTATGGAGGGCCAGGTTTGGTGGCTCACACCTGTAATCCCAGCACTCTGGGAGGCTGAGGTGAGTGGATCACCTGAGTTCAGGAGTTCAAGACCAGCCTGACCAACATGGTGAAACCCCATCTCTTTTAAAAATACAAAAAATTAGCCAGGCATGGTGGCAGGCACCTGTAATCCCAGCTACTTGGGAGGCTGGGGAAGGAGAATTGCTTGAACCAGGGAGGTGGAGGTTGCAGTGAGCCGAGATTGCGCCATTGCGCTCCAGCCTGGGCGACAAGAGCGAGACTGTCTCAGAAAGAAAGAAAGAGAAGAAAGGAAGGAAGGAAGGAAGGAAGGAAGGAAGGAAGGAAGGAAGGAAGGAAGGAAGGAAGGAAGGAAAGAGAGAGAAAGAAAGAAAGGCAGTATGGAGATTTCTCAAAAAACTAAAAATAGAATTACCATGTGACTCAACAACTCCACTACTGGGTATTTATCCAAAGAAAAAGAAATCAGCATATCAAAGGCATACCAGCACCCCTATGTTTGTTACAACACCATTCATAATAGCCAAGACATGGAACCAAACTAAGTGCTCACCAATGGACAAATGGATAAACAAAATGTCATGTATATACACAGTGCATTACTATTCATCCATAAAAAGGAATGAAATCATGTCATTTGCATCAAGATAGATGGAACTGGAAGTTATTATGTTGAGTAAAATAACTCAGGCACAGAAAGACAAATACATGTTTGCACTCATGTATGGGAGATAAAAAAGTTGATCACATGGATATAGTGAATGGAATAATTGATAGCAGGGACTGGAAAGGATGCATGGGTAAGGAGATGAAGAGAGATTGATTAATGAGTACAAATATGCAATAAAATAGAAGGAATAAGTTCTAATGTTTGATAGCAGAGAAGGGTGACTATAGTTAACAAGAGTGTATTATATATTTCAAAGTAGCTAAAAGAGATAACTTGCAGTCTTTCCAGCAAATATAAATGATAAATACTTGATGTATGGATACCCTAAATACCTTAACTTGATCATTACACATTTCAAGTATGTAACAAAATTTCACATGTACCCTATAGATATGTACCAATATAATGTATCAATAAATTTTTTTAAAAATACAGTTGAAACAGGAAAGTTCCCTGATCCCCCTCTCAGGATGTATGACAGGGGTGTGGCTCATCTGCTCAACTGCCTTGCACTCAAACCCCTTATGAGAGGGGGAGCACGCAGATGGCAGGTGCAGGAACCAGGGCGAGCACTTATGGGCTCTGTCCCCATGGCAACATCTAGGGGTGGGTACCGGCAACTCCCAAAGCCTAAGTAGGCATGTGTTAAAGCGAGCTCTTTTAGCTTTGCCACCTGCCGATGGCTTAGGTGTTAACCAGCTCAGTGCCCTCTTGGCACCTGGGCTCTTGTCTGACATCCAGGAAGAATCAGGTCACACATTGACTTGAAGGATGATGAATGTGGGGGCTTTATTGAGTGGTGGAGGTGGCTCTCAGTGGGATGGATGGGAAGCTTGAAAGGGGATGGAATGGAAAGTTGATCTTCCCCTGGAGTTTGGCCATCCTGAGGCCAATCTCCTCTCTGATTGTCCCCAGCTGAACTCCTCTCAACGTTTAGATGCTCCTTTTCTTTTCTTCTCTGCCATGTTGTTCTTCTGCTCCTCTGCTCTTCTGTTCTTCTGTTCATATCTCATGGAAATGAACAGAAAAGGGTTTGGGGTTTATCTGTGTACAGGATAGGTAGGCCAAAAGGCAACTTTTGGGCATGAAAACAGGAATGCCTCTTCCCATTTAGGGCCACGGGTTTTCAGGCTTGAGGATGGGGCCTTTGCCAGGGAACCGCCCTCTTCTACCCAGTATTTTCTTGCCTTCTGTCCATTTCACAATGAACTAGAACTAAAAACATCCAATAGAGGGTGATAAAATAAAATAATTTTAAAAATCATTAAGGAAAGATAAAGTAATACAGGTGGAACAATTTTTTTTTAAATAAACAAACAGCTAATAGACACAAACCCAGCCAAATTAATAACTACATTCAATATAAATACACTGAGTATGCCAATTACAGGACAGATATTGTCAGAATGAGTCTTAGGTGTCTATTGCTGTATATAGCAAACCACATCAAACTTAGTGGCTTCTAAAGCAATTATTTTATATGCTTACAATTCTGTGACTTAACAATTTGTACTGGGTTCAGATGGTTGGTTCTTATACTGGTCTCACTTGTGGACATTCATGTAGCTGCAGACATTTCACACCTGAGCTAGGACTATATGAGTTAATATGGACTGACTTACATATCTGGCAGTTGGTGCTGTCAATTGGGCTATATCTTTCTGAGACTCACGCTGCTTTGAAATGCAGAATTATTCAAAATAGACAAGAGCCACAAGGCCTCTTGAGAAGTAGGCTTAGGAGTCTAACCATGTCACGTATATCACTTTCTCTTGGTCAAGGCAAATCATAAGATTATTTCAGCTTTTGCCAGGTTCAGTGGCTCATGCCTGTAATCTCAGCACTTTGAGAGGATGAGGCAGGAGAATTGCTGAGCCCAGGAGTTCAAGCCTAGCCTGAACAACATGGTGAGACCCTCATCACTACCAAAAAAAAAAAAAAAAAAAAAAGCTGGGTTTAATGGTGTTCATCTGTAGTTCCATCTACTTGGGAAGCTGAGACAGAAGGATTGCTTGAGCCCTGGAGGTCAAAGCTGCAGTGGTTGTTTGTGCCACTGCACTCCAGCCTGGGTGACAGGGCAAGACCACGTCTTAAAGAAAAAAATCTCAGCTTTAAAAAGTAGAGAAATATGTTCCATCTATTGATAGGAGATGCTACAAAGAATTTGTAGCCATTTGCAAACTGTAACAGTCTGTACTCTGGCTACAAATAATTTCTATATCCCACATGCAAAATATGCATATTTGGTCCAAGTAAACACAAGGTGTCATCTGATTATGGCATCAGGCTCAAAATCCATGATCTAGTGATTCGCACTGAGTCTAGATATCATTGAGCCTTTTTGGGCATAACTCCTCAAGTGTGGCTCTTCTCAATTACAGGAATTTTGAACTAAAAAGACAACTTATGTGCCATACACACTACCAATTTACAATAGTGAGACAGGGAGATGATAACTGCAATAGACACTTGCCAATAAAATGAGAAAACTATAGCAGTTGCTGTCCCATAGCTATTCTGAAATTCCACTAGGCAAATACTGTCAGGTTTCCCTACACTGAGCCAGAGATGTTCTGTCACTGGGGTCTGGTTCTGCTTCTGGAGTGGTTCCTTATTCCATAGCTCTCTGTGGAACCTGGTTCTCTTATCTGGGTTCTGGGCTCTGTCATCTGAGACATTTTTTCTAGAAGAAATTGACTATATTTGCAGCTAAATAGTTTTCTTAGTTTGCTTTCTGTTCATACAAATGTGGGGGTCTGAGATCCCTTTTTCATTTTGAACCATCTTAGTCCCTTTTAATCTAAACTGATAATGTCTTTTCTAGTAGTGTGTCTAAAAAAAATTTTTAGTAGATTGCAATGAGTCATACTAGGTTTATTCTATACCCCAATAGCAATAACCATACTTTTTTTTCTGAGACAGACTACTCTTTAGTGTAGGTATATCAGGTTGCTGTTGAAACATGACCTTAAATTCTTAGGAACACTTTGAGTGGCCAAAAACATCTACTAAGAACTGGCTTAATCTCTCAGAGGTTCTAGCAAAGGATCACACTCTTGATTGAATATGTATCCTGAGTCTATTTCTCACTTTGAGAAGAGTTTACCAGCTGAATAGATAAAAGATAAGAAATTACTTTATTTTCCAGCACAGTAAGTCCTTGGAACTCTATATTTTCTCTGATTTCTCCTTGAAAACAAAATAATTCTTTTCTTAGTTCATCTCTCTGTTTCTGTACCTTTTGTGAAGATGTAAGAAGCCAGTTGATTCTTGCAATGGTCTTTCTATAAATCCTCCTAGATTCACAAATTATTAGGTGTATTTTCTATTTTCCAAGATTTTGTAGGCAACAGAAAAAAAACCTCTCTTCATTTCTCTACCCACTCACACAAAGAAGTAGAACTAAAAAACCCAATGGAGGGAATAAAATGAAAAGCTAAACAAACTCATTAATCCAAAAGAAAACAAGAAAGGCAGAAAAAAAGTAACAAAGTATAGATTGGATAAATTAAAAAGTTACAAGATGATAGAAACCCAGCCAAATTAGTAATTACATTAAATGTAAATGGACTAAATATGCCAATTAAAAGATAATGTCAAAATGAGTCTTAGTTTTTTATTGCTATATAACAAACCATCCCAAACTTAATGGCTTCAAAAAGCAGTTATTTTATATGATTACAATTTTGTGATGTAACAATTTGCACTTGACTCAGATGCCCAGTTTTGCCAATTGTTTCATATTACATATATGAGTCACTATTTTCCCAGTCCCAATAGCATTTTCCTCACTACATTTTGGCCTCTACCTATTGCCTAGTCCCAAAGCCCGTGAAACATTTTACTTTTTGTTGTGCAGCACCCAATTTCCAGATATCATTTTCTGATTCAGTTATCTTTGTCTGCATAGCAAATGACTCCCAAATTTAGCTTGAAACAACAAAAATTTTATATCCTCAAAAGTTCTGTGGGTCATTAGTTTGTATGAAGATTAGTTGGAATATTCTTGCACTGATCTCAACGGGTTCTTTCATGCAGCTGAAGTTATCTAGCTTCTTTTTATAGCTCTATGTATTCCAAAATGCAAGAGCATAACCTGCAAGGCATCTTGAAGCCAAGGCTTGAAAATTCAATATTTCACTTTTGACACACTATATTGAACAAAGGATAGTGGCCCAGATTCAGAAAGTGTTTTAGGGGGAGAAAAAAATGGCAGACAGGAGGCAGAACTAACTTGCAGCTCCCACTCAGATGGACAGAACAGCATGCGGAGACTCACATTGTGAACTTTTGCTCCAAGAACTACTGCAGGAACATACCAGGAAAACAAAAGAATTCATGGACCCTTTGAGATAAGTGGCTTGCCACTGCAAACTCCATGAGACAGCCAAAAAACTGTGAGTGCCCAAAGTGTGAGAGGGGGAAATTTCACCTCTGAACACACATCCTCCCTGGGGAACCTGAAAATCCAGATCACAGGGATGTAACCTCACCTAGAGCTGAAATAACTTTAGAAACCCGAGTGAAATATAAAAGTAAAAGAAACAGTGGGAAGGGCCCTGTGAGAACTAATCCCTAGGGAAGCCCAAGGAAGACATTTCTGGCTTTATCTCACTTGAGTTTCGGGGGAGGGCTGCCAGTGGAATTGGGGAAGGACCACAGAAAGAAGAAAACTCCCAGCTGAACTTTGTAATAATTTTGACTGAGCATGAATTTTTCTGGGCTGAATCTGGGGTTGGGGGGGATGAACAGGAAGTGCAGATATGAGCACAGAAGCCATGGCAGGTGGGGACGGGTGGGACCTGAAAGCCCTGCTTGCATTCTCAATAGGGAGGCTTATAGCCTGGAACAAGCTCTCAGCCCTGCTTACCAACTTCCTGGATATAGGCTTTGTGCTGCTGGTGAGGCATGGTGGGAGTGAGACTGGCCTTGCTGGCTGAGTGGGAGCAGGGTGAGTCCTGTCACTGCCAACTTTTTCCCACTTTCCTGGTGACTGTATGATGTAGCAAAGGTAGCCATAATCTCCCTGGAAACATAACTCCATTGGCCTGAGGCTCACACCCCCATTCCCCACACCAGCTGCAGCAAGCCCTGCCCAAGGAGAGTCTGAGCTCAGACATGCCTAACCCTGCCCCCACCTGATGGTCTTTCTCTACCTACCCTGCTAGCTGAAGACAAAAGACAGAATCTCTTGGGAGTTCTATGGCCCTGCCCATCATCTGGGAAACCTGAATACTTATCTAGGTGACCTTAGGGCAAGCTTATATGCCCCCATACTATGGCAGCTGATCCTCTCTTGAAAGTACATCCTCCTGGCTGGAGGCCAACCTACTCAAGCCATTACAGCAACTTATGAAAAAACAACCCAGCTCAAAGAAAGGAGAAAACAACAGCTAATTTCACTGTCTGTAACATCCTGGCTAACCAGAAGTCCTGAGTCTGTCTACATGACCACTTCTCTGCTAGCACAACCAGCATGCGAGGAAACCAGCACACTAAACAAAACTACAACCAAGGACCCTCACAGAGCCCACTCACTCCCCTGCTTCCTCCACTGAAGCAGGTGCCAGTATCCATGGCTGAGAGACCTGAAGATGGATCACATCACAGGACTCTTTGCAGACACTCCCCCATACCAGCCCAGAGCCTGGTAGCTCTGCTGGGTGGCTTGACCCAGAAAAGCAATAACAATCACTGCAGTCTTGCTCTCAGGAAGCCCCATCCCTAGAGGAAGAAAGAGAGCACCACATCAAGTGATCACCCTATGGGACAAAAGGATCTGAATAGCAGTGCTTGAACCCCAGATCTTTCCTCTGACATAGTCTAACCAAATGAGAAGAAACCAGAAAATAAATTCTGGTAATATGATAAAACAAGGTTCTTTAACATCCTGAAAAGATCACACTAGCTCACCAGCAATGGATCCAAACCAAGAAGGAATCTCTGAATTGCCAGAAAGAGAATTCAGAAGACTGATTATTAAGCTACTGAAGGAGGCACCAGAAAAACATGAAATTCAACTTTAAAACATTTTTTAAAATAATACAGAATATGGGTGAAAAATTATACAGAGAAATAGATAGCACAAATAAAAAACAATCACAACTTCTGGAAATGAAAGACACACTTAGAGAAATGCAAAATACACTGGAAAGTTTCAACAATAGAATTGAACAAGTAGAAGGAAGAATTTCAGAGCTTGAAGACAAGGCTTTTTAATTAACCCGATCCAACAAAGACAAAGAAAAAAGAATAAAAGAAATGAACAATGCCTCCAAGAAGTTTGGGATTATGTTAAATGACCAAACCTAAGAATAATTGGCGTTCCCAAGGAAGAAGACAAATCTAAAAGTTTAGAAACTTATTTGAGGGAATAATTGAGGAAAACTTCCCTGGCCTTGCTACAGATCTAGATATTGAAATAAAAGGAGCTCAAAGAACACCCACGAAATTCATCACAAAAAGATAATCACCTAGGCATGTAATCATCAGGTTATCTAAAGTCAAGACAAAGGAAAGAGTCTTAAGAGCTGTGAGGCAAAAGCATCAGGTAACCTGTAAAGGAAAACCTATCAAATTAACAGATTTCTCAGCAGAAACCCTACAAACTAGAAGGGATTTGGGGTCCTATCTTTAACTTCCCTAAGCAAAACAACTATCAGCCAAGAATTTTGTATCCAGTGAAACTAAGCCTTGTAAATGAAGGAAAGATAAAGTCTTTTTTAGAAAAGTAAATGCTGAGAGTGCACCACTACCAAGCCAGCACTACAAGAACTTCTAAAAGGAGTTCTAAATCTTGAAATAAACCTCAAAATACAACAAAATAGACCCTCATTAAAGCATAAATCTCATAGGGCCTATAAAACAATAATACAGAGAGAGAGAGAGAGAGAGAGAGAGAACCAAGGTATTAAGGCAACAACTAGCACCATGAATAGAATAGTACATCACATCTCTATACTAATGTTGAATATAAATGGCCTAATTGCTCCACTTACAAGATATGGAATGGCAGAATGAGTAAGAAATCATCAACCAAGTAAGTATCTGCTGTCTTCAAGAGAGTCATCTAACACATGAGGACTCACATAAATTTAAGGAAAAGGAGTGGGAAAAAATATTCAATGGAAATGGACATCAAAAGCAAGCAGGATATTGATTCTTCCTACCCATGAGCATGGAATGTTCTTCCATTTGTTTGTATCCTCTTTTATTTCATTGAGCAGTGGTTTGTAGTTCTCCTTGAAGAGGTCCTTCACATCCCTTGTGAGTTGGATTCCTAGGTATTTTATTCTCTTTGAAGCAATTGTGAAGGGGGGGTTCACTCATGATTTGGCTCTCTGTCTGTTATTGGTGTATAAGAATGCTTGTAATTTTTGTACATTGATTTTGTATCCTGAGACTTTGCTGAAGTTGCTCATCAGCTTAAGGAGATTTGGGGCTGAGACAATGGGGTTTTCTGATATACAATCATGTCATCTGCAAACAGGGACAATTTGACTTCCTCTTTTCCTAATTGAATACCCTTTATTTCCTTCTCCTGCCTAATTGCCCTGGCCAGAACTTCCAACACTATGTTGAATAGGAGTGGTGAGAGAGGGCATCCCTGTCTTGTGCCAGTTTTCAAAGGGAATGCTTCCAGTTTTTGCCCATTCAGTATGATATTGGCTGTGGGTTTGTCATAGATAGCTCTTATTATTTTGAGATACGTCCCATCAATACCTAATTTATTGAGAGTTTTTAGCATGAAGGGTTGTTGAATTTTGTCAAAGGCCTTTTCTGCATCTATTGAGATAGTCATGTGGTTTTTGTCTTTGGTTCTGTTTATATGCTGGATTACATTTATTGATTTGCGTATATTGAACCAGCCTTGCATCCCAGGGATGAAGCCCACTTGATCATGGTGGATAAGCTTTTTGATGTGCTGCTGGATTCGGTTTGCCAGTATTTTACTGAGGATTTTTGCATCAATGTTCATCAAGGATATCAGTCTAAAATTCTCTTTTTTGGTTGTGTCTCTGCCCAGCTTTGGTATCAGGATGATGCTGGCCGCATAAAATGAGTTAGGGAGGATTCCCTCTTTTTCTATTGATTGGAATAGTTTCAGAAGGAATGGTACCAGCTCGCCCAAGGTAATTTATAGATTCAATGCCATCCCCATAAAGCTACCAATGACTTTCTTCACAGAATTGGAAAAAACTACTTTAAAGTTCATATGGCATCAAACAAGAGCCTGCTTCGCCAAGTCAATCCTAAGCCAAAAGAACAAAGCTGGAAGCATCACGCTACCTGACTTCAAACTATACTACAAGGCTACAGTAACCAAAACAGCATGGTACTGGTACCAAAACAGAGATATAGATCAATGGAACAGAACAGAGCCCTCAGAAATAACGCCACATATCTACAACTATCTGATCTTTGACAAACCTGAGAAAAACAAGCAGTGGGGAAAGGATTCCCTATTTAATAAATGGTGCTGGGAAAACTGGCTAGCCATATGTAGAAAGCTGAAACTGGATCCCTTCCTTACACCTTATACAAAAATTAATTCAAGATGGATTAAAGACTTAAACATTAGACCTAAAACCATAAAAACCCTAGAAGAAAACCTAGGCATTACCATTCAGGACATAGGCATGGGCAAGGACTTCATGTCTAAAACACCAAAAGCAAAGCCAACAAAAGCCAAAATTGACAAATGGGATCTAATTAAACGAAAGAGCTTCTGCACAGCAAAAGAAACTACCATCAGAATGAACAGGCAACCTACAAAATGGGAGAAAATTTTCGCAACCTACTCATCTGACAAAGGGCTAATATCCAGAATCTACAATGAACTCAAACAAATTTACAAGAAAAAAACAAACAACCCCATCAAAAAGTGGGCGAAGGACATGAACAGACACTTCTCAAAAGAAGACATTTATGCAGCCAAAAAACACATGAAAAAATGCTCACCATCACTGGCTATCAGAGAAATGCAAATCAAAACCACAATGAGATACCATCTCACACCAGTTAGAATGGCAATCATTAAAAAGTCAGGAAACAACAGGTGCTGGAAAGGATGTGGAGAAATAGGAACACTTTTACACTGTTGGTGGGACTGTAAAGTAGTTCAACCATTGTGGAAGTCAGTGTGGTGATTCCTCAGGGATCTAGAACTAGAAATACCATTTGACCCAGCCATCCCATTACTGGGTATATACCCAAAGGATTATAAATCATGCTGCTATAAAGACACATGCACACATATGTTTATTGCGGCACTATTCACAATAGCAAAGACTTGGAACCAAGCCAAATGTCCAACAATGATAGACTGGATTAAGAAAATATGGCACATATACACCATGTAATACTATGCAGCCATAAAAAATGATGAGTTCATGTCCTTTGTAGGGACATGGATGAAGTTGGAAATCATCATTCTCAGTAAACTATCACAAGAACAAAAAACCAAACACTGCATCTTCTCACTCATAGGTGGGAATTGAACAATGAGAACACATGGACACAGGAAGGGGAACGTCACACTCTGGGGACTGTTGTGGGGTGGGGGGAGGGGGGAGGGATAGCTTTAGGAGATATACCTAATGCTAAATGACGAGTTATGGGTGCAGCACACCAGCATGGCACATGTATACATATGTAACTAACCTGTACATTGTGCACATGTACCCTAAAACTTAAAGTATAATAATAATAAAATAAAATAAAAAAACAAAAGCAAGCAGGAGTAGCTATTCTATCAGACAAGACAGATTTTAAAGCAAAAACAGATAATAAAAAAAGACAAACAGGGACATCATATAATGATAAAAAGAACAGTCCAACAGGAAAACATCACAGTCTTAAATATATATACACCTAACATTAGCGCTCCCAAACTTATGAAACAATTACTACTAAACCTAAGAAATGAGATAGATGGCAACACAATAATAGTGGGGGACTTCAATACTCCACTGATACCACTAGACAGGTCATCAAGACAGAACATCAACAAAGAAACAACAGACTTAAACTATACCCTAGAACAAGTGGACTTAACACATATTTACAAAACATTCTACCCAACAACTTCAGAATATACATTCTATTCATCAGCGCATGGGACATTCTTCATGATAGACCATATGATAGGCCACAAAACAAGTCTCAATACATTTAAGGAAATCAAAATTGTATCAACTACTCTTTCAAACCAGAGCAGAATAAAATTAAAAATCAGCTCCAAAAAGAACCTTCAAAACCATGGAAATACATGGAACTTAAATAATCTGCTCCTGAATGATTACTGGGTCAATAATAAAATCAATATGAAAATTAAAGAATTATTTGAACTGAGTGATAATAGTGACATAACCTATCAATACCCCTGGGATATAGCAAAAGTGGTGCTAAGAGGAAAGTTTATAACATTAAATGCCTACATCGAAAAGTCTGAAAGAGCACAGATAAACAATCTAAGGTCACACCTCAAGTAACTAGGGAAACAAAAACAAACCAAACCCAAACCCAGCAGAAGAAAAGAAATAACAAAGATTGGAGAAGAACTAAATGAAATTAAAATAAAAAAGTTACAAAAGATAAATGAAACAAAAATCTGGTTCTTTGAAAGATAAACAAAATCGATAGACGATTAGTGAGATTAACCAAGAAAACAAGAGAGAAATTCCAAATAAACTCAATTAGAAACAAAATGGGAAATATTACAGTTGATACCACAGAAACACAAAAGACTATTCAAGGCTACTATGAACAACTTTATGTACACAAACTAGAACACCTAGAGGAGATGGATAAATTCCTGGAAATATAAAACCCTCCTAGATTAAACCAGGAAGAAATAGAAATAGAAACTGAACAGACCAATAACAAGCAGCAAGATTGGAATGATAATATAAAAATTGCCAACAAAAGAAAAGTCCAGGACCATATGGATTTACAGCTGAATTTTATAAGATATTCAAAGAAGAATTGGTACTAATCCTCCTGAAACTATTCCAAAAGATAGAGAAAGATGGAATACTCCCTAAATCATTCTGTGAAGCCAGTGTCACCCTAATACCAAAACCAAGAAAGGACATAATAAAAAAAGAAATTACAGACTAATATCTTTGATGAACATAGATGTAAAAATCCTCAACAAAATACTAGCTAACTGAATCCAACAGCACACTGAAAAAAATAATACACCATGATTAAGTGGGTTTCATATCAGGGAGGCAAGGATGGTTTAACATAAGCAAGTAAATAAATAATGATACACCACATAAACAGAATTAAAAACAAAAATCACATGATCATCTCAACAGACACAGAGAAAGCATTTGACAAAATCCAGCATCACTTTATAATTAACACCCTCAGCAAAATCAGCATAAAGGGGACATAACTTAAGGTAAAAAAAAAAAAAAGCCATCTATAACAAACCCACAGCCAACATTCTACTGAATGGGAAAAAGTTGGAAGAATTCCCTCCGAGAACTGGAACAAAAGAAGGACGCCCACTTTTGCCACTTCTATTCAACATAGTACTAAAAGTTCTAGCCAGAGCAATCAGACAAGAGAAAGAAATAAAGGGCATTCAAATCAGTAAAGAGGAAGTCAAGTTGTCACTGTTGGCTGATGATAAAATTGTATACCTA
Source organism: Homo sapiens (assembly GCF_000001405.40). Classification (NCBI taxonomy): domain Eukaryota; kingdom Metazoa; phylum Chordata; class Mammalia; order Primates; family Hominidae; genus Homo; species Homo sapiens. Next base: position 111,055,670 of record NC_000001.11, on the reverse strand, counting down.
GAAAACCCTAAAGACTCATCCAAAAGCTCCTAGATCTAATAAATGAATTCAGTGAAGTTTTAGGATAGGAAATAAATGTATACAAATTAGTAGCACTGCTATACGACAGCAGTGACCAACCTGAGAATGAAATCAAGAACTCAACCCCTTTTACAATAGCTGCTAAAAAATTAAAATACTTAGGAATACACCTAACCAAGGAGGTGAAAGACCTCTACAAGGAAGACTACAAAACACTGCCTGAAGAAATCATAGATGACACAAACAAAGGGAAATACATCCCATCCTCATGGATGGGTAGAATCAATATTGTGAAAATGACCATACTGCCAAAAGCAATCTACAAATTCAATGCAATTCTCATCAAAATATCATCATCATTCTTCACAGAACTAAAAAAAAAAAAATCCTAAAATTTATATGGTACCACAAAAGAGCCTGCATAGCCAAAGCAAGACTAAGCAAAAAGAATAAATCTGGAGACATCACATTACCCGAATTCAAACTATACTATAAGTCTTTAGTCACTAAAACAGCATGGTATTGGTATAAAAATAGGCACATAGACCAGTGCAACAGAATAGAGAATGCAGAAGTAAGCCCAAATACTTACAGCCAACTGATCTTCAACAAAGCAAACAAAAACATAAAGTAGGGAAAGGACACCCTATTCAACAGATGGTGCTGGGATGGTTGGCAAGCCACATGTAGAAGAATGAAACTGGATCCTCATCTCTCAACAAAATCAACTCAAAAATCAACTCAAGATGAACCAAAGACTTAAATCTAACACCTGAAGCCATTAAAATCCTGGAAGATAACATCAGAAAAACCCTTGTAGACATTGGCTTAGGCAAGGATTTCATGACGAAGAACCCAAAAGCAAATGCAACGGAAACAAAGATGAATAGATGGGACTCAATTAAGCTAAAAAATTTCTGCACAGCAAAGTAAATATCAGCAGAGCAAACAGACAACCCATTAACTGGGAGAAAATTTTCATAAACTATGCATTCTACAGAGAACTAATATTCAGAATCTACAAGTAACTCAAATAAATCAGCAAGAAAAAAAAAATCCCATCAAAAAGTGGGCTAAGAACATGAATAGACAATACTCAAAAGAAGATATACACATGGCCAACAAACATGAAAAAATGCTCAACATCACTAATTATCAGGGAAATGCAAATCAAAACCACAATGCAATGCTGCCTTACTCCTGCAAGAATAGCCATAATTAAAAACTCAAAAAATAATAGATTTTGGCATGGAAGTGGTGAAAAGGGAACACTTTTACACTGCTGGTGGGAATATAAACTATTACAACCACTATGGAAAACAGTATGTTGATTCCTTATGAAACTAAAAGTAGATCTACCATTTGATCCATACTTCTATCATCTATTATGCTAACAAGTCATTATTTGAAAAATACTTCTACTATTCATTATGCTAATTAAACAAATGTTTTGTGTTTATCTAAGATAAAGTTAGTTAAAGCCTTGCCGAAACTGCTTGTGGAATGCAACCTTTCTGATCAAATGTTAATTGACAAAAATGGGAAAGTGAATTTCTGATCAGGGTTACTGACTACTCTTAGAATTTAGCCTAAATTACACACACACAGCCACACACACTTATAGCTCAAAAGAGATTGTAGGGCACAAGGTAATTATTTTTAATACTGGTAAGTATGTTAACTTTGGGAGGATTTAAAATTATGTATACAATTGTGCATCAGAGCAAAAGTACTTTATTGTGTGAATAAAGATGTGCATATTTGAAACTTTTTTCTTGTAATGTTTAATAAAATTTATCCTAGTAGAAAAAAGTGGGGAAATATGCATAATTTATTGATCAGAGTACCTATTAAAAATTTGTGACTTTTTTCTTGTATCAAAAATATAAGACAATTATATTGTGTTTTTAAAAAATGCACTTTAAACATAAGGACATAGATTTTCAAAAAAGGATAAAATGATGCATGATAAAAATGTTAATTATAGAAAAGCCAGTGGGACAATATTATTTTGAGGGAAAACAGATTTTAAGATATGAAGTATTATCAGAGATAAAGACTACAGTTTTTTTGTTTGTTTGTTTTTTGTTTTTTTTTTTTTTTTGAGACAGAATCTTACTGTGTTGCCCAGGCTGGAGTTCATTGGTGTGATCTTGGCTCAGTGCAACCTTTGCAGGGACATGGATGTAGCTAGAAGCCATTATCCTCAGCAAACTAACACAGGAACAAAAAACCAAACACCACATGTTCTCACTTATATGTGGGAGATGAATGATGAGAACACATGGACACAGGGAGGGGAACAACACACACCAAGGCCTGTTGGGAGTGTAGTGGGAGGGAAAGCATCAGGATAAATAGCTAATACATGTGGGGCTTAATACCTAGGTGATGGGTTGATAGGTGCAGCAAACCACCATGGCACATGTTTACCTATGTAACAAACCTGCACATCCTGCACATGTATTCCCAAACTTCAAATAAAATTGAATAATAATAAAAACATGTCAGCATGTCTTCTTACCTACAAATGATCAGATTAGTTCCCCAGCAATGATTCTTAACCAGGCTGAAATGACAAACATAGAATTCAGAATCTGGATAGAAACAAATATTATCAAGATTCAGGAGAAAGTTGAAACACAACCTAAGAATTCAATAAAATGATACAAGAGGTGAAATGAGAAAGATGGAAAGATGGAGCATTAGCAGCAGCAGCAGTGTGGAAGAGTGTGTGCACCTAGAGTATTTTTTAAGTTAATTTTTTTGTCACTGATTTCTATTAGACTGGTGCAAAATAAATTGCTGTTTTTGGCATTGAAAGTAATGGCAAATAGCTTAATTTTACTGTTGTCAAAGTGAGTATCTTTCAAAATTTTGGCCCTTTGAATGTATTCAGACTTGCTTAAAGACTTGCTTTGAATGTATTCAGACTTGCTTAAAGACTTTGAATGTATTCAGACTTGCTTTCTTCTTTAAGAAAGAACCAAGCTGAGCTATAGAGCTGAAACAGTCACTACAAGAATTTCATAATACAATCAAAAGTATTAATAACAGAATAAAACAAGCTGAGAAAAGAATCTAAAATATTGAAAACTGATTCTTTGAATCATTTTAGTCAGACAAAAATAAAGAAAAAGAGAATGAACAAAACCTCTGAGAAATATGAGATTATGTAAGGAGACCAAATCTATGACTCATTGGCATTCTTGCAAGACAGTGAGAGAAAGGAAGCAACTTGGAAAACATATTTGAGGATATATAGTTCATGAAAATTTTTCCAACCTCATTAGGGAGGCCAACATTTAAATTCAGGAAATGCAGAGAACTTTACTACACAGGAAGACTACCTCAAGACACAGACTCTTCAGATTCTCCAAGGTCAAAATGAAAGAAAAAACGTTAAAGGCAGCTAGAGAGAAGGGTAAGGTCACCTACAAAGGGACCCATATTAGGCTAATAGTGAACCTTTCAGCAGAAACCCTTCAAGCCAGATGAGACTGGAGGCCTATATTCAGTATTTTTTTTTAATTCCAACAAAGAATTTCATATGCAGCCAAACAAAACTTTATAAGCAAAGGAGAAATAAGATCCTTTTCAGACAAGCAAATGCTAAGGAAATTCATTAACACCAGACCTGCTTTCAAGAGGTTCTTAAGAGAGTGCTCAATGTGAAAACAAAAGACCATTAGTGACCACCACAAAAACACACTTAAGTACATAGACCACTGACAATAAAAAGCAACTACACAAACAAGTCTGAATACCACCATGATGACAGGATCGAATCCACACATATCATTATTACCCTTGAACATAAATGGACTAAATACCCCACTTAAAAGCCACATAGTGGCAAATGGATAAAGAAGCAAGACCCAAATCTATGTTGTCTTCAAGAGACCAATCTCACATGCAAGGACACACATAGCCTCAAAGTACAGGTATGGAGAAAAATCTACCAAGGAAATGAAAAACAAAAAAGAAAGTACAGTTGCTATTCTAATTTCAGAGAAAACAGACTTTACAACAACAATGATCAAAAAAGATAAAGAAGGGTATTATATAATAGTAAAGGGTTCAGTTCAAGAAGAAGAACTTAACTATCCTAAATATATATGCACCTAACACAGGATCACCCAGATTCATAAAGAAAGTTCTTAGAGACCTTCAATGAGACTAGATAACCACAAAACAATAGTGGGAGACTTCAACACCCCACTGACAGGATTGGACAAATCATCAAGGCAGAAAACTAAGACAGATATTCAGGCCCTGAATTTGACACTTGACTAAATGGATCTAACAGACATCTACAGAACTCTCCATCCAAAAGCAACAGAATATACATCTCATCTGTGCATGGCACATACTCTAAAATTAACTACACAATTGGCCATATAATAATTCTCAGCAAATTCAGAAAAACCAAAATCATACCAACCACACTAACAGAACACAGTGCAATAAAAATGAACACCAAGGCTAAAAAGTTTGCTCAAAACCATACAATTACATAGAAATTTAAAACCTTGCTCCAGAATGATTTTTGGGTAAATAATGAAATTAAGACAAAAATCAAGACATTCTTTGGAATTAATAAAAGCAAAGACACAACATACCAGAATCCCTGAAAAAGAGATAAAGCAGTGTTAAGAGAGAAGTTTATAGCATTAAATGCCCACATGAAAAAATTAGAAAGATCTCAAATTAATAACTGACCATGACACCTACAAGAACTAGAAAAGCAAGAGCAAACCAGCCCTGAAGCCAGCAGAAGACAATAGATAACCATATCAGAGTGGAACTGAAAGAAATTGAGTATTGAAACAGATTTTTCTCCATACCTTTACTTTGAGGCTATGTGTGTCCTTGAATGTGAGATGGGTCTCTTGAAGACATAGAGTTGGGTCTTGCTTCTTTATCCAACTTGCCACTATGTGTCTTTTAAGTATGGTATTTAGCCCATTTATGTTCAAGGTTAATAATAATATGTGTGGATTTGATCCTATCATCATACAAAAGATAAATGAAACCAGAAATTTGTTCTGTAAAATAAGATTGGTAGACCATTAGCTAGACTAATAAAGAGAAAAGGAGAGAAGATCGACATAAACACAATCAGAAATAAGAAAGGTAACATTACCACTCACCCCACAGGAGAAAAAAAAAAAGCCTCAGACACGATTACAAACACCTCTGTGCATACAAAATAAAAAACCTACAAGAAATTCATAAATTCTGGAAACATACAACTTCCCAAGACTGAACCAGGAAAAAAAGTGAAACCCTGAACAGATGAATGAGTTCCAAAATTGAATCAGTAACAAAATTCTACCATCCAGGAAAAGCCCTGTACAAGAGAGATTCACAGCCAAATTCTACCAGATTTATGAAGAGCTGGTACCAATCCTACTGAAAATATTTCAAAATATTGAGAAAAAGGGACTTCTCCTTAACTCATTTTATGAGGCCAGTGTCAGCCTGATACCAAAATCTGGCAGAGACACAACTAAAAAATAAAACTTCAGTTCAATACTCTTGATGAATATAAATGCAAAAATCCTTAGCAAAATGCTAACAAACCAAATCCAGCAGCACATCATAAAGCTAACCCACCAAGATCAAGTAGGCTTTGTCCCTGGGATGCAAGTTTGATTCAACATATGCAAATCCATATATGTGATTCATCACATAAACAGAACTAAACTAAAAAACCACATAATCAACTCCATAGATGCAGAAATACTTTTGATAAATTTCAACTACCCATCATGATAAAAACCCTCAACAAATTAGGCATTGAAGAAACATACCTCAAAATAATAAGGGCCATCTATGACAGTCCCACAGCCAATATCGTACTGAATGGGAAAAAGCTGGAAACATTCCTCTTGAAAACTGGAATTAGAAAAGGATACTTACTCTCACCACTCCTATTCAACATAGTACTGGAAGTCCTATCCAGAGTAATGAAGCAAGAGAAAGAAAGAAAAGGCATCCAAACAACCAGAGAAGAAGCAAAACTATCTCTGTTAGCAGACAATATAATTTTATACTTAGGAAACCCTATAATCTCTGCCCCAAAGCTCCTAGATCTGATAAAACAACTTCAGCAAAGTCTCAGGATACAAAGTAAATGTGCAAAAATCAGTAGCATTCCCATACACCAATAATAACCAAGCTGAGAGCCAAATCAAGAATGCAATCCCATCCACAATAGCCCCAAAATGAATAAAATACTACAAATATAGCTAACCAAGAAAGCGAAAGATCTGTATAATGAGAATTACAAAACACTGCTGGAAGAAATTAGAAATGACACTCACAAATGGAGAAATATCCCATGCTCATGAATGGAAAGAATACATTTTGTTAAAATGGCAACACTGTCCAAAGCAATTTATAGGTTACATGCTATTCCTATCAAACTACCAACATTTTTCACAGAATTAGAATGAACTATTCTAAAATTCATTTGGAACAACAACAACAACAACAACAAAAGCCCTAACAGCCAAAGTAATCGTAAGCAAAAAGAAAAAAGCTGGTGGCATCACATTACTCAACTTTAAACTATATTACAAGGCTACAGTAATGAATATAGCATGGTACTAGTACAAAAACAGACACCTAGACCAATGCAACAGAATAGAGAGCCCAGAGATCATGCTACACACCTATAACCATCTGATCTTCAACAAAATCAACAAAAACAAACAAGGAGGAAAGGTCTCCCTATTCAATAATTAATGCTGAGTTAACTGGCTAGTCATATGTAAAAGATTGAAACTGGACCCCTTCCTTACACCATATACAAAAATCAACTTAAAGGTGGATTAAATACCTAAATGTAAAACCTAAAAATATAAAAACTCTAGAAGAAAAGCTAGGAAATGCCATTCTGGATACAGGTCCTAGCAAATATTTCATGATGAGGATGCCGAAAGCAAATGCAATAAAAACAAAAATTAATTAATGGGACCTTATTAAAGTAAAGAGCTTTTGCACAGCAAAATAAACTGCCAACAGAGTAAACAGAGAATTCACAGAACGGGAGAAAATATTTGCAAACTGTGCATCTGACAAAGGTCTAATATCCACAATGTATAAGGAGCTTAAAAAAATTAACAACTGGAAAACAAACAACCCTATAAAAAAGTGGGCAAATAGTATGAACAGACACTTCTCAAAAGAAGACAAACATGTGGTCAAAAAGCATATAAAAATCCTCACCATCAGCAATACAATTTAGGACATAGGCATGGGCAAAGACTTAATGACTAAAACACCAAAAGCAATGGCAACAAAAGCAAAAATTGACAAATGGGATCTAATTAAACTAAAGAGCTTCTGCAGAGCACATGAAAATATGTTCAGTGTGAATAGGCAACCTACAGAATGGGAGAAAATTGTTGCAACCTATCCATCTGACAAAGGGCTAATATCCAGAATCTACAAAGAACTTAAACAAATTTACAAGAAAAAAACAACCCCATCAAAAAGTGGGTGAAGGATATGAGCAGACACTTCTCAAAAGAAGACATTTAAGCAGCCAACAAACATATGAAAAAAGCTCATCATCACTAGTCATTAGAGAAACGCAAATCAAAACCACAATGAGATACCATCTCACGCCAGTTAGAACAGCGATCATTAAAAAATCAGGAAACAACAGATGCTGGAGAGGATGTGGAGAAATAGGAATGCTTTTACATAGTTGGTGGGAGTATAAATTAGTTCAACCATTGTGGAAGACGGTGTGGCCACTCCTTAAGGATCTAGAACCAGAAATACCATTTGACCCAGCAATCTTATTATGGGGTATATCCCCGAAGGATTATAAATCATTCTACTATAAAAACACATGCACACGTATGTTTATTGTGGCACTGTTCACAATAGCAAAGACTTGGAACCAACCCAAATGCCCATCACTGATAGACTGGATAAAGAAAATGTGGCACATATACACCATGAAATACTATGCAGCCATAAAAAAGGATAAGTTCATGTCCTTTGCAGGGACATGGATGAAGTTGGAAACCATCATTCTCAGCAAACTAACACAAGAACAGAAAACCAAACACCACATGTTCTCACTCATAAGTGGGAGTTGAACAATGAGAACACATGGACACAGGGAAGTGAACACCACACACTGGGGCCTGTCAGGGGGTGAGGGGCTAGTGGAGGGACAACATTAAGAGAAACACCTAATGTACATGACAGGTTGACGGGTGCAGCAAACCACCATGGCACATGTATACCTATGTAATAAACCTGCACACTCTGTACATGTACCCCAGAACTTAAAGTATAATAATAAAAAAAAATCCTCAACATCATTAATCATTAGAGAAATTCAAATGAACAGTCAAAACATAACAGATACTTGTGAGTTTGCAGAGAAAAGAGACTTAATCAATGCTAGTGGCAATGTAAATTAGTTAATTCAGTTTGGAAAGCAGTTTGGCACTTTCTCAAGAAACTTAAAACAGAGTAACCTTTCAACCCTGCAGTCCCATTATTGAGTATATAACCAAAGGAATATAAATTGTTTTACCATGAAGACAAATGCACGTGTATGTTTATTGTGGTACTATTTACACTAGAAAAGACATGGAATCAACCAAAATGCTCATCAAAAGTAGGCTGAATAGACCGACATGGAATACTATATACACCATGGAATATTATATAGCATGGAATATACACCATGGAATATATACATCATGGAATACTAGATAGCCATAATACACCACAGAATACTATACAGCCATAAAAAACAAGATTATATCCTTTGCAGCAACATAAATGGTACTGGAGGTCATTATCCTAAGTGAACTAACACAGAAACAGAAAATCAAATACTGCATGTTGTCACTTATAAGTGGGAGCTTAACATTAAGTACACATGGACACAAAAAAGGGAGCAACAGACACTGTGGCCTACCTGAGGGTGGAGGGTGGAAGGAGGATGTGATTCTAAAAACTACCCAGCAGGTACCATGCTTATCATCTAGGTGACAAAATAATTTGTATACCAAACTCTTGTGACACACAATTTACCTGTATAGCAAACCTGCATCTGTACCCCCAAATTTATGATAGTTTTCTTTTTACTGAAATGTCTAGTTCTATCAAATTTTTATTACTGAGCAATGTTATGGGCTAATAAACTGCAACTTGCTTGCTTCATTCAGGCAGTTACTCATTTATTTAAAAATTTTGAGTATCTGTTTTGTGAATCAGGAGGCAAAAAGAAAAACATATAAGAAACTGTCCTCAAGAAGTTCACAGTCCAGAAGGGGAAGCAAATAAATGAATATGTTCACTACAATACCATAGCGATTTGTGGTACAATAAAAAATACATTTGGTCTTTGTCCTTTCCCCACCCCCAATAAAGCTCCTAAAAATACTTAAACATTTGGAAATTAAACAACATGCTCTAATGACCATGGGTCCAAGAAGACCTCACAGTAGAAAATAGAAAATATTTTAAATTTAATATAATAAAAAAATTTAAATTTCTGGAACACATCTAAAGAGGGAAATGTAAAGCTTTAAGTACATAGGTAATAAGAAAAGTAGGAAAGTGAATTAAACCTTAAGAAAACTAGAAAGTCAATTAGACCCCAAGAAAAATAGACTAAAGGAGGTTATAAAGACAAGAGCAGAAATTAGTGAACAGAAAAAAGAAACACAGTGGAAAAAATAAAAGCTTGTTCTTTGAAAAGTTTAAATTAATCACCTAGCAAGCCTTATTTAGGAAACAAGGAGAGAGAAAACATAAATTTTTAATATCTACAATAAAAAATGACATCTCTAAAGTGATATTTGCTCTGAAGGGCATGAAGTTTTTAAACTAGGATGGTTCCTAGATACACCTGATATGAGACTGGTTTTCTTTTTTTTCACACCTGCATGGACACCAGAGGAACCAGAGAAACTAGCTCCTATCTGGCAGTGTGAGCTACTGCAAGGACTACTGTAAGCTCTACTCACACAGAAGAGGTATACATTTGGTTGTCTCGCTGGCAGCTGTGGCTCCTGCTATATATCTTTCTGAGTAAATCCCTGGCAAGGGTAGCCCTTGCTGTGTGTTGGCAAGACATACTTATAGCAGCTTAAAGACACAGTCACAAGCAAAAAGCTTCACAAAATTTCCAGTATGTGTGGGAGTGGGTAACCATAGCCAGGCTGGAAACAACATTCCAACGAAGTCAGCCTGTGCATGTTGGCATAGCATGACCTTCTACTGGAGTCTGACCAAAGTCCTCTGCTGGCATTGGTCTGAGAGGAATGCAAACATATCTTAGACTTCAATTGACTAAGTTTTTTTTTTTTTAAATCTAAGCCAAAGGATATGTACAAACCCTTATTTTTGAGTGACTAAGAAGGTACTTTCAAAATGAATAAAATTCCTAATTTACTGATGGTATATAAAAGGAACACTTAAATGACACTGTACCATGTTTGCTCTATTAAATGTTCTGTTGTATTTTTTGAAGTAAACTTACATTTGATCTTGAGGATACAAAGATCCCTGATCACTCTGAAAACTAACTGGCCAAAGAAAAGTCCAATTGGCTAAGGGACAAGAAAGGATATCAAATAAGTCTCATTAAATGATTAAAATTCTGGTGATTATAAAATGTATTAATTTGGTTTTTACTATATTGAAGATGTTAATGAAAGGTCATGGGAAGGTAGACTGGGGATAAATTATTTTCTGAATGAGACTTTTACCTTCAGTTAGCTTACCAGCTCTGGAAATAAAGATTACATGTGTCAATCATATAATTAAGCAATATTTACTACGGTTAAAATGAACTCTGATTGGTAAATTCCATCTGGACTTAGAGAGCTAGAAATACCTCACAAGAAGTCGTATCTTTCAGATATCGTTTGTGTGGACTTCTTGTAACTCAGCAAGTCCCTTGTGAGAACCCTGGAAGGTATGCCTATGGAGTTATATTAAGCTTCTAAGGAGCATGAGGCTTTTAAGCCATTGCAGCTTTCACATTTTGTTCAATGTGAATCTTATTACTTCGAAACTGATCTGTTACTTGGAGAGTCAGAAAAAAATAACTCCTATGTGGCTGTGGGACTACTGCAGGGACTGCTGTAGGGGTCTACTTTTATAGGAGATAAACGTCAGGCAAGCTGTGATGCTTGTCCATATCCTTTTGAGTAAATCTAAGGATTAACTGTGATTGTTTTGTTTTGTTTTGTTTTTTGGTTGGTTGGTTTTATTTTTGGTCAGTGGATACATACATATGGCATAGTTAAGTACAATTGCTTTTCTTATGTTCCATTGCTTTATAAACTCACAGCCAATATACAGTCATCATTAAAATTTACTGACTGCCAGTACCAAATGTAGAAGCCTCCAACACTGTAAGAGCATGGCAAGATAGGCTTTAGGATGGGTCAGCCCTGACATTACTCACTGTGGAGTACAAGTACTGAATTCTCTCTAGTTCTGTTTGAGAGAATATTTCACCCATTGTCACTCAATCACCAAATATGGAACAAGTCTTCTTTTGGCTTTGGCTCTCACTGTTCCTGGGAAGAGTTTCTGATTGGTGGAGGCAGAGCAGACAGTGAGTGGTCCAAAGTGACTTGATGGCCCCAAATGAGCCAACAGAACACCCAGGAATCCTAGCCAGGCCAGGACCCCAGAGACAAAAGGCAAGAGCTGTTGCCAGCCACATGAGTCTTCATCAAAGCACAGTGGCACAGTTTTTAAAATGGAATAGTTGAACCTGAATAAACCACAGGTGGAAAATTTCAAGATATGTATAAAAAACAAAAGTAGAACTATAACCATAACATATTTAATGGTGAAACAAGCTTTTAAAAATCAAGAACAAGACAACAATATCTGCTATCATATTGGTACAAGTAGAATGTTGGGTCTAAGGACTAGAAAGACTCAAAACTGTCATTATTCACAAATTATGTCATCATAATAGAAAATCCAAAGGTCTTTATAGCCAAATTATTAGAACTAAAAAAATTTAGGAAGTTTTCCAAATTCAAAAATTATTTCACTTTTGTTTAATAGTGGCAAATTAAAAATACTCAGTAATAAATGAAAAAAAAATTCAATATTGGTATGGTTTGGATTTGTGTCCCCACCTAAGTATCACACCGAATTGTAATTCCCAGTGTTGAAGATGGGGCAAGATGGGTGGTGATTGGAACATGGGGGTGGATTCTTCATGAAGAGTTTAGCACCATTCATGAATATGTAGTGCTGTTCTCACAAGATGTGGTTGTTTAAAAGTGTGTAGCAATGGCAGGGCATGGTGGCTCACGCCTGTAATCCCAGCATTTTGGGAGGCCGAGGCAGGTGGATGGCTTGAGGCCAGGAGTTCGAGACCAGCCTTGCCAACATGGTGAAACACTGTCTCTTCTAAAAATACAAAAATTAGCCAGGCGTGGTCGTGCATGCTTGTAATCCCAGCTACTCGGGTGGCTGAGGCAGGAGAATGGCTTGAACCCGGGAGGCGGAAGTTGCAGTGAGCCGAGATCGCGCCACTGCACTCCAGCCTGAGTGACAGAGAGCAACTCCGTCTCAAAAAAAGTGTGTAGCACCTCCCCTCTCACTCTCTCTCTTGCTCCTGGTCTGGCCATGTAACATGCCTGCTCCCCCTTTCTGCCATGATTGGAAGTTTCCTGAGGCCTCTCTGAGGGAGAAGCCGCTATGCTTTCTGTACAGCCTGTAGAACCACGAGCCAATTAAATTTCTTTATAAATTACTCAGCCTCAGAGCCGAGATTACGCCGCTGCACTCCCGCTGGGGCGGCAGAGCGAGACTCCGTCTCAAAAAAAAAAAAAAAGAGCAGTTAGGCGGCATAAGTTCTAGAGTCCCATTGAACGGTAGGGTGAATATAGTTAACAATAATATATTTTATATTAAAAATTGCTTTATAGCACTGCAAGAATGAACTAATGCAAATATCTTCATGGAAAAAATTGTAAAACCTTACTAGATACCTAAATAAATCAAAAGAAATAGGATGTTGACGAATTGGAAGACATAGTGTTGTAAAGATGATGATCCTCTTCCAATTGATTTGTAGAGCTAATATTATCCAAATAAAAATGTCGAGAGTATGTTGTGAACTTGCCAAAAATATATGTAAAAGTACAAAGAGTTAGGAATAACCAAGATGTTTTGAAAAAGAAAAACAAGATGTATTAGTATCTGCTATTTCAGATATCAAAATTTTAAATGAAGCTATGTATTTAAGGCAGTGTTATTAAAATAGGAATAAACAAAACAGACCAAAAGAAAAAATAGAGATCTAGAATTTGACATGTGAACACATGGATTAGTGCTGTATGCTGGAGGAGGCATTGCAGAATACTGTAAAAATATTCTTTATTCAATAAATTATTTTACAGCAGATGAGTATTCACATAGATAATTTGGAAATTTACATTTCCTTCGCACTATACACAAAAATAAAATTTCAGGTTTCACCAAGTCCTGTGAAAAATAACTACAAACGTTTTAGAAGATAACATAGAAGACTATCCTCAAGACCTCAGGATAGGAAAGAATTTACTGCATAACACACAAAAAGCATTAATTATAAAGGAAAAGACTGATATATTCAACCACATTAATTTTAAGTACATACTTCATTAAAAGACATATTTAAGAAAAAGGTCAGTTGTGAAATGATAGAATATATTTGTAACACATATCTCTCGTTCAAGGATTAACCAGGCCCAACCCTGCTCAGCTTCCTAGATCAGACAAGGTCAGGTGTGTTCAGGGTGGTATGACTGTAGACTGCAACACGTATCTGACAAATGACACTGACATAGAATTTCTACAAATCAATTTTAAAAATACAGGCTACTCAATAGGAAGAAACAGAAAAATGAACATTTTATAAAATAGGAATTTAAATGGCCAAAAATGCATTAAAAGTGCTCATCCTTATTAGTAATCAGAGATTTGAAAGTTAAAACCATAATGAGATATTATTACACATCAATGGATTAAAAATTATAAGTCTGACAATATCAGGGTTGGTAATGTGGAATAACAAGAACTATTTCACTGCTGGCAGAGTAGAAATTGGTATAATAACTTTGAAAAATTGTTTGGCATTATTTAGTAAAGCTGAACATACGTATATTTTAAACCTGAGCAATTTTATTCCTAGCTATATATGCAGAGAAACTCATGTACCTGTGCAGCAGGATATATGTGTAGGAATGCTCACAATAGCACACTTCAAAACAACAAAAAATTTAAAACCATCCAGTACTACCAATAATTTGCACAATGGAATTTTTTATATAGAAATGAAAACAAATAAATTAGAGCTACATGGAACCACAAGGGTGAATCTAACAAAGTAATTTTGAGCTAAACAAGCAAGAGCTAATATAGTTGTATGTTTCAATTTATGTGAAGCTTTTTCTCTGAAGGCTAAACTAGGGAAAGAGTACCAAGGAGTTTCTATTCTAGCCACATCTTTTTAAAGTTTTATTTTATTTTTAATTGATACATAATAATTTTACATATTTATGGAATAAAGTGTGATGTTTTGATACATGCAAACATCGTGTAACGATAAAATCAGATTAACTGCATATTTCCTCACCTGAAACATTTGCCATTTCTTTGTGGTGAAATATTTAAAAATCACTGGCCAGGCGCGGTGGCTCACGCCTGTAATCCCAGCACTTTGGGAGGCCGAGGCGGGCGAATCATCTGAGGTCAGGAGTTTGAGACCAGCCTAATCAACATGGAGAAACCCCCATCTCTACTAAAAACACAAAATTAGACAGGTATGGTTGTGCATGCCTGTAATCCCAGCTACTCTGCAGACTGAGTAGGAGAATCGCTTGAACCCGGGAGGCGGAGGTTGCGGTGAGCCGAGATCGCGCCATTGCACTCCCGCCTGGGCAACAAGAGCGAAATTCCGTCTCAAAGAAAAAAAAAACACCTCTTCTAGCAATTTTTAATATACAATATATTATTGTTAACTATATTCACCCTACCGTTCAATGGGACTCTAGAACTTATGCCGCCTAACTGCAACTTTTTTTTTTTTTTTTTTGAGACGGAGTCTCGCTCTGCCGCCCCAGCGGGAGTGCAGCGGCGTAATCTCGGCTCAATGCAAGCTCCGCCTCCCGGGTTCTTGCCATTCTCCTGCCTCAGCCTCCTGAGTAGATGGGACTAAAGGCGCCCACCACCGCGCCCGGCTAATTTTTTGTATTCTTAGTAGAGACGGGGTTTCACCGTGTTAGCCAGGAGGGTCTCGATCTCCTGACCTCGTGATCCGCCCGCCTTGGCCTCCCAAAGTGCTGGGATTACAGGCATGAGCCACCGCGCCCGGCCAACTGCAACTTTCTACGCATTTACCAATTCCTTCTCATCCTCCTCTCTCACACTCCCAAGACCCGGGTAACTACTATTCTACTCTCTACTTGTTCAATGTCAACTTTTTTCAATTCCACATATGAGTGAGAACATGTGGTATTTGTCCTTCTATGCTTGGCTTATTTCATTTAATATAATGGCTTCAGGTTCATCCATGTTGTTGCAAATAACATTTTATTTTTTTATGGCCAAATAGTATTTATTTGTGTATAACTACCACGTTTTTTGTACCCATTTATCCATTGATGGACACTTAGGTTTATTACATATCTTGGCTATTGAGAATAGTGCTACAATAAACAAGGGATTACAGATTTTTTTTTTGACATACTGATTTCATTTCCTCTGGATATATACTCAGAAGGAATGACTCAGAAGTGGGATTGCTGGATCATATGGTAGTTTGATTTCTAATATTTAGGAATTTCCATACTATGGTTCATAATGGCTGTATTAATTTATGTTTCCACCAACGGTGCGTCCTTTCTCCACATCCTTGCCAGCATTTGGTGGGTTTTTTTGGTTAGCCATTCTAAGTGAGGTGAGGTGACACTCACTGTGACTTTTTATTTTGTTTTGCATTTCTCTGATGATAGTGATGTTGAACACGTAAAAAATAAGCCTATTAGCAATTTGTGTGCTTCTTTTGAGAAATATTTATTCAGATCTTTTGCCCATGTGTAATAAGATTTTTTGTTTTTTAGTTACTGACTTGCTTTGCAAATATTTTCTCTCATTCTATAGATTGTCTCTTCACTCTGTTGATTTTTTTCTTTGCTGTGCAGAAGCTTTTTAGTATATGAACCCATTTGTCTATTTTTGCTTTTGCCTGTGATTTTGAGTTCTTATCCAAAACATTATTGCCCAGACCAATGTCATGAAGCAATTCTGTTATGTTTTCTTCTAGTATTTTCATAGTTTTTGGTCTTACATTTAAGTATTTAATCCATTTGAGTTCTTTTTTCGTATGTAGTTAGAGATAGGAATCTAGTTTCATTTTTCTGCACGTAGTTTGCACTCAGTTTTCTTAGCACCATTTATTAAAGAGGCTGTCCCTTTCCCCAATGTGTCTTATTGGTGCCTTTGTCAAAAATTATTTGACTATGAATGCATGGATTTATTTCTGGGTTCTCTATTTTGTCCCAGTGGTCATGTGTCTGTTTATATGCTGGTATCATGCTGTTTTAATTACTATAATTTTGTAGAATATTTTGAGGTTTTGCCCCCAACTTTGTATTTTTTGCTTAAGATCTTTTTGACAATTTGGGGTCTTTTATAGTTCCATATATATTTTACATTTTTTAAATTTATGTGAAGAATGTAATTGGTATTTTTATACATATTGCATTAAATCTGTAGATCGCTTTGGATAGTATGGATATTTTAAAAATATTTTTCCAACCATGAACATGGTATATCTTTCCATTTATTTGTATCTTTCTCAATGCCTTTCATCAATGTTTTATCTTTTTCATTGCAGATATCTTAACCTCCTTGGTTAAATTTATTACTAGGTATTTTGGGGTAACTATTAAAAGTGGAATTGTTTTCATAATTTCTTTTTCAGATCGTACATTATTAGCATATAGAAATACTACTAATTTTTGTATGTTGATTGTGTACCCTTCAACTTTACCAAATTTGTTTGTTAGCTCGAATAGGGTTTTTTCCCCCTGTGCAATCTTTAACTTAATGCGTTCAGAGTTTTTATCATGAAAGATGTTAAATTTCATCAAGTGCTTTTTCTGAGTCTTTTGAAATAATGATATAGTTTTTGCCCTCGATTTCATTGTCCATGTGTGCACAATGCTTCGTTCCCACTTATAAGTGAGAGGATGTGGTATTTGGTTTTCTCTTTCTGCATTACTTTGCTTAGGATAATGGCCTCCAGCTGCATCCATGTTGTTGCAAAAGACATGATTTCATACTATTTATGGCTGCATAGTATTCCATGGTGTATATGTACCACATTTTCTTTGTATGTGTGTTTAACTTTTTAAGTTAATTTTTATTTATAATTTTTGTGGGTACAAATGTAGGTGTAGACATTTGTATGTTACATGAAATATTTTTATATAGGCATGGAATGCATACTAATCACATCAGGGTAAATGTAGTACCCATCACCTCAAGCATTTATCCTTTGTGTTACAAATAATCCAATTCTATATACTCTGCATTATTTTTAAATGTAGAATTAAATTATTATTATTAATTTTTTTTGAGATGGAGTCTCACTCTTGTCGCCCAGGCTGGAGTGCAGTGAGTGGCACGATCTTGGCTCACTGCAATCTCCGCCTCCCCATTTCAAGCAATTCTCCTGCCTCAGCCTCCTGAGTAGCTGGGATTGCAGGTGCCCTCCACCACGCCCGGCTAATTTTTTTGTAATTTTAGTAGAGATGGGGTTTCACCGTGTTAGCCAGGAGGGTCTCTATCTCCTGACCTCGTGATCTGCCCGCCTCGGCCTCCCAAAGTGCTAGGATTACAGGCATGAGCCACCGTGCCCAGCCTAAATTATTTTTGACAATAATCACACTGTTGCACTAGAAAATACTAGGTATTATTTATTCTTTCTAACTAATTTTATATTCATTAGTCACTCCACCTCCACCCTCACCTCCACTACTCTTCCCAGCCTCTGGTAACTATTCTTCTACTCTCTATCTCCGTGAGCTCAATTGCTTTAATTTTTAGCTTCCACACATAAGTGAGAACATGAAGTTTGTCTTTCTGTGCCTAGCTTATTTCACCTAACAAAATGATCTTCAGTTTCATCCTTTTGTTGTAAATGAGAGGATCTCATTCTTTTTTATGGCTGAATAGCACTCCATTATGCATATGTACATTTTCTTTCTTTTTTTTTCTTCAACTTTTATTTTAAGTTCAGCGGTATATGTGCAGGATGTGCAGGTTTGTTACATAGGTAAATGTGTGCCATGTTGGTTTGCTGCACAGATCATCCCATCACCTAGGTATTAAGTCCAGCATCCATTAGCTGTTCTTCCTGATGTTCTTCCTTCTCCAACCCTCCCTACCCAGACTCCAGTGTGAGTTGTTCCCCTCTATGTGTCCATGTGTTCTCATCATTCAGTTCCCACTTATAAGTGAGAACGTGCAGTGTTTCGTTTTCTATTCCTGCATTAGTTTGCTGAGGATAATGACTTTCAACTCCATCCATGTTCCTGCAAAGGACATAAACTCATTCCTTTTTATGGCTGCATAGTATTTCACAGTATATATGTACCACATTTTCTTTATCCAGTCTATTATTAATGGACATTTGGGTAGATACCATGACTTTGCTGTTGTGAATAATGCTGCCATGAACATACACATGCACGTATCTTTATGATCGAATGATTTATACTCCTTTGGGTATATGCCCAGTAATGGGATTGCAGGGTCAAATGGTATTTCTGCCTCTATTTCTTTGAGGAATCACCACACTGTCTTCCACAATGGTTAAACTAATGTACACTCCCACCAACAGCATTAAAGCATTCCTTTTTCTGCACAATGTCAGCAGCATCTGTTGCTTTTGGCTTTTCAATAATCACCATTCTGACTGGCATGAGATGGTATCTCATTGTGATTTTGATTTGCAAATAATGATCAATGATGTTGGGCTTTTCTTCATATGATTGCTGGCTGCATGTATATCTTATTTTGAGAAGTGTCTGTTCTAGTCATTTGCCCACTTTTTAATGGGTTTGTTTGTTTCTTGTATATTTGTTTAATTTCCTTTTAGGCTCTGGATATTAGACCTTGGTCAGATGAATAAATTGCAAAAATTTCCTCCCATGCTGTAGGTTGTCTGTTCACTGTGATAGTTTCTTTTGCTGTGCAGGAGCTTTTTATTTTAATTAGATCCAATTTGTCAATTTTTGCTTGTGTTACGATTGCTTTTGGCATTTTTTGTCATGAAATCTTTGCCCGTGCCTATGTCCTGAATTGTATTGCCCATATTTTCTCCTAGGGCTTTTATAATTTTGGGTTTTACATTTAAGTCTTTAATCCATCTTGTGTTAATTTTTGTATATGGTGTAAGAAGGGGGTCCAGTTTCAGTTTTCTGCATACGGCTAGCCAGTTCTCCCAGCACCGTTTATTAGATAGGGCATACTTTCCCCATTGCTTATTTTTGTCAGGTTTGTCCAGGATCAGATGGTTGTAAGTGTTTGGTCTTGTTTCTGAGTTCTCTATTCTGTTCCATTGGTCAGTGTGTCTGTTCTTGTACCAGTACCATGCTGTTCTGGTTACTGTAGCCTTGTAGTATAGTTTGAAGTTGGAAAGCATGATGCCTCCAGCTTTGCTCTTTTTGCTTAGGATTGTCTTGGCTATTGGGGCTATTTGTTTGTTCCACGTGAATTTTTAAATACTTTTCCTCTAATTCTGTGAAGAATGTAATTGGTAATTTGATAGGAATAGCATTGAATCTATAAATTACTTTAAGCATTATGGCCATTTTCACAATATTAATTCTTCCTATCCATGAGCCTGGAATGTTTTTCCATTTGTTCGTGTCCTCTCTGATTTCTTTGAGCAATGATTTGTAGTTCTCTTTGAAGAGGTCCTTCACTTCCCTTGTTAACTGTATTCCTAGGTATTTTATTCTTTTTGTAGCAATTGTGAATGGAAGTTCATTTATGATTTGGCTCCCTGCTTGCCTGTTGTTGGTGTATAGGAACGCTGGCAATTTTTATACATTGACTTTGTATTCTGAGATTGCTGAAGTTGCTTATCAGCTTAAGAAGCTTTTGGGCTGAGACTATAAGGTTTTCTAGATATAGTGTATTAGTCTGTTTTCATGCTACTGATAAAGACGTACCTAAGACTGGGCAATTTACAAAAGAAAGAGGTTTAATTGGACTTGCAATTCCACATGGCTGGCGAGGCCTCACAATCATGGCAGAAGGCAAGGAGAAGTGAGTCACGTCTTACATGGATGGCGGCAGGCAAAGAGAAAGTTTGTGCAGGGCAACTCCCATTTTTTAAAACCACCAGACCTCATGAGACCCCTTTAGTATCATGAAAACAGCATGGGAAAGACCTGCCCCCATAATTCAATCATCTCCCACCAGGTCCCTCCCACAACATGTGGGAATTATGGGAGCTACAAGATGAGATTTGGGTGGGAACACAGAGTCAAACCATATCATTCCACCTGGCACCTCCCAAATCTCATATCTTCACATTTCAAAACCAATCATGCCTTCTCAACAGTCCCCCGAAGTCATTAACTCAAAAGACCACAGTCCAAAGTCTCATCCAAGACAAGGCAAGTCCCTTCCACCTATGAGCCTGTAAAATCAAAAGCAAGTTGCTTGCTTTTTAGATACAATGGGGATACAGGTATTGGGTAGATACAGCCATTCCAAATGGGAGAAATTGGCCAAAACAAAGGGACTACAGGCCCCATGCAAGTTTGAAATCCAGCAGGGCAGTCAAATCTTAAAGCTCCAAAATGATCTCCTTTGACTCCATGTCTCACATCCAGGTCACACTGATGCAAGAGGTAGGTTTCCATAGTCTTGGGCAGCTCCAGCCCTGTGGCTTTGCAGGGTACAGCCTCCCTCCCTGCTGCCTTCATGGGCTGGTGTTGAGTGTCTGCAGCTTTTCCAGGCACACAGTGCAAGCTGTCAGTGGATCTGCCATTCTGGGGTCTGGAGGATGGTGGCCCTCTTCTCACAGCTCCACTAGGTGGTGCCCCAGTAGGGACTCTGTGTGGGATTTCCCACCCCACATTTCCCTTCTGCATTGCTCTAGCAGAGGTTCTCCATGAGGACCCCACCCCTACAGCAAACTTCTGCCTGGGCATCCAGGCATTCCCATACATCTTCTGAAATCTAGGCAGAGGTTTCCAAACCTCAATTTTTGACTTCTGTGCACTCACAGGCTCAACACCACATGGAAGGTGCCAAGGCTTGAGGCTTGCACCTGTGAAGCCATGGCCCAAGCTCTGCATCAGCCTCATTCAGCCATGGCTGGAGTGGTTGTGACACAGGGCACCAAATCCCCAGGCTGCACACAGCACAGGGACCCTGGGCTCAGCCTATGAAACCACTTTTTTCCTGTTAAACCAATGGTCCTGTGATGGAAGGGTCTGCCACAAAGGTCTCTGACATGGCCTGGAGACATTTTTCCCATTGTCTTAGTGATTAACACTTGGCTCCTTGTTACTTATGCAAATTTTTGCAGCAGACTTGAATTTCTCCTCAGAAAATAGGATTTTCTTTTCTATTGCATTGTCAGGCTGCTAATTTTTCAAACTTTAATGCTCTGTTTCCCTTTTAAAACTGAATGCCTTTAACAGCACCCAAGTCATCTCTGAAATGCTTTGCTGCTTACAAATTTCTTCTGCCAGATAACCTAAATCATCTCTCTCAAGTTCAAAGTTCCACAAATCTTTAGGGCAGGGGCAAAAATGCTGTCAATCTCTTTGCTAAAATATAACAAGAGTCACCTTTGCTCCAGTTCCCAACAAGTTTATCATCTCCACCTGAGACCACCTCAGCCTGGACCTTATTGTTCATATCACTGTCAAGATTTTTGTCAAAGCCATTCAACAAGCCTCTAGAAAGTTCCAAACTTTCCCACATTTTCGTGTCTTCTTCTGAGCCCTCCAAACTGTTCCAACCTCTGCCTGTTACCCAGTTCCAAAGTTGCTTCCACATTTTCAGGTATCTTTTCAGCAACACCCCACTCTACTGGTACTGTTTACTTATTAGTCCATTTTCACATTGCTGATAAAGACATACCTCAGACCAGGCCATTTACAAAAGAAAGCGGCTCAATTGTGATATGGCTCTGATGACTGGAGGAACACCAGGGTTCTTGGTCTTCCACTGATTTAGATAAAATGACATGGACACACGTGGAGTGGTTTTAAGAAGTGGAGAGTGTTTAACAGGCAAGATAGAATAAAGCAGCTCACCTGTATAGAGACAGAAGGAGGGGTGGAAAATTGTCGGTTATATTGGAGGCTTCGGAGGCAGTGTCTGATTTGCATAGTGCCCAGGGGATTGGTTTGACTAGGTGTGTCATTTACGTAGCCTGTGAAAAACCTGGCCCTCCCACCTTAGCCTTTTAATATGCAAACGCAGGGGGCCATGATGTTTTGAACACATAGTGTTATCTGGAGGTGGCCATGACACTTGGCACACCTGGTGACAAGAAGAAGAAGGCAGGAATGGCCATATTGGGTGAACCCAGTTTTTAATGGTCAGCATTTGCATATCAAGGCTTGCCAGCCTAGCTCTTTAAGCCACCTTTCTGTTAGAAATGAAATGGTTCGGAGGTTGCTTCTTATTACAGGAACATTTCCACCAAGAATCTTTGCCCTTTCTAGCTGCCTAAAAATTATTTCGTAATTACTCCTGTCTTATTCCCTCCCTCAAGAGAAGCAAACCTAATCGCTTTTAGGGGGTGTTGGATGATGATTCTTTCTGGCTACTTCCTGCTGAAAAGGGGTGTCATGTAGGGGAACAGCAGTCGGGCCTTCTCTTAGGTTGATTTAAGGGTTTTTGGAAGAATGGCATGTCCATGTATGGCTCTGCGTGCAGCACTGTTTGGACTTTTATTGCTTCTAGGCAAAAAGAGATAAATTTCACAAGAAGGTTTAAAGATAGGGTTAGAAGGTGAGCATTAAGATGACCACTGCTAGTGGGTGTCCCATAGGCCATAACTGACAGTAGAGTTTGACACCTGTTAGTTGCACCAATGAATTGCAATACCGGTTTTCCTCCACTAGATGTCGCTGTACATTACCAGAAACGTTAACATAAAAGTAACATTTTCCTTGAGAAAAGCATACATTTCTCCTTGGCTTGCCATTAGAGAATAACTTTAGGCTTAGCCATTTTTATAACTTGCAATATGCTTGGGAGAGATACGTCATTGGGTGGCTAAAATACCTTTAGCGTTAATCTGGACAATTCCTTTCCTTTAATTATTAAAATCTTTTATGACTTTCACAGACCCTCTAACAACACACTTAAACTTTTTGACTTGTCCTAAACATCCATCCTTTAAACAACCAGTTATTTCCTTTTAGGACAAGCGTTTACCGTAAAAAATTCTTTCCTATATAAAATCTTTTTCTTTATAACCTTCTTTCCATAATTTAGAGTGCATTATATTATTAATTTTCAATAAAAAGTCTTATTAAACTTAATGATAGTAAAACTTTTATGCTTGCTTCTTATCCATAACTATTACTCCTGCTATAGCAAAACAACCTTTACTAAATTTTTCTTGCAATTATTAATCCTACTATACCACAAAAGTGGCATAGTAAATAATTTCTGTTTAAAACTTTACTTGCCAAGATATAACATTTCCCTTTGGGGATCTACAAAGTTACAAATGAAATTCCATGTATAATTAAATCTCCCTGCAAATATGAGTTAAAAAGAAGGTTTACTATTTAGTGGCAAATTTTGAGAGGAAAGGGTAGAAATAATAAAAGGTATCTGGTGAGGTAGGAGTGGGACTGAATAAGATGAGTACATCTCACCCAGTTACTTACCTTTTATAATTTTCAGCTTAAGATCTTCTATTTCTTAACATTGATATTCAGGACGTTCCTCTGGGCTGTCAGGGGTTGTTCCCTTAGCTCTTCAGGCTTTGACTTGAGTGCGATGTATCCAGGAGTTGATTCCTGTAACTTTTACTGCCTAGGGGGTTGAAAGAAGAACAGTTCAGGGCCCTTCCCAGCTTGGCTTAGGGAAGGAGACAGAGATGAGAATTTTTCCTAATACCAAATTTCCTGGGTTAAATAAAGTTTGTTCTATTTCCTGGGGTTGGGCTTCTGCCAGTTGTGCTAATTCCTGTTGGAAGTGAGCTAGAGAGGTTACATGCTTAACCAATTTAGAGATTTCCTGCCTGAAAACAACCTTTGAACACATTGATAAGTTTTGTCCTTTCCCAAGTGTAAAGTTTGGTGAAGGATTTTAAGGACTTTTCATTGGCTGGAGCCTGGCAAATGGAGTTTGCCATCCTTTGACTAGCCATTCTGAGGGCTGGGAAGAATGCCCTCGACAAGTGGCCTATTTTATTTTTGCAGGGGAATACTAAGGTTTAATTTCTTTTATGGAGCCTTCCTAGATTAGAAGGGGCTTGAGGTGCGTTGATGACTTAAGGCTTCCTTGCCTTTAACTTAGCTGCCTGATTAGCCTAACCTATTTTCTTTGGCTACCTCATTTGTTCCCTTTCGATATTCCTTACAACGCATCCCTGCTATCTGTCATGGAACAAAAACTGAGGATAATAACCTGTTAATTTTCTGGTGATATTTTATAGGAGATCCATTGGTGGTAAGAAAATATTTTTTCTTTTAAATGGCAGCATGAGCATGGAGAACTTAGAAAGCGTACTTGGAGTTAGTATAAATGTTAGCTTTCTTTCCCTTGCTTAATTCATGTGGTCTTGTAAGAGCTATTAGCTGAGCTAATTGAGCACTGTGTTTGGAGAAAGTGACTTACTACTTATCCTGCCTTATGTACTTCTTGCTCTATTGGCTGTTTGCTAAGAGCTCCCCCTAGAGGACAGTGATCCTGCCACATCATGTGGAGTGTAAACAGTGAAATTATTTCCTAGGGTTGACTTGGAGGCTTTTCTGACTAGTAAAGCTATCATGACAATGGCTTCGAAGCATGTGTAAACAATAGGTCCTCCTAGCTGCAACTAAGGTTGAGAAAAATATTGGATTAGAGTTATTCCTGAGATGCCCCTTAGGGTCGTGCTATGGGAAGAGTGGAGGCCTGATTAGAGAGGAGAAAAGAGAGAGACTGGCTCTAGTGTTTAGCAGGAGGATTACTTTCCTTCCTTTAATTTCTAGAATAACCCAGTACTCCAGTGTTATAATGGCAGTTTGAGCCACTGGAGCTGGGGTTTGAGCCCTGGGACCCGTCAGTCCTGCTGGATCATCTGTGAGACTGGTCTTGCACCCAGTGACCTCCATCTCTGGGGATAGTTCCATCTCCAGTGGTTTCCATTACAGGCTGGACAGGGTTGAGGTGGCTTCATCTTGCTGCGT
The DNA here is from genome assembly GCF_000001405.40 of Homo sapiens. Lineage (NCBI taxonomy): Eukaryota > Metazoa > Chordata > Mammalia > Primates > Hominidae > Homo > Homo sapiens. The sequence continues at coordinate 111,030,195 of NC_000001.11, read as the reverse complement.
GGGCATTCCTTTTTAAAATGCCCTGGATTGCCACAACGATAGCAACTGGTGGATGCACCTTGGGGATCCTGGACTTTGCAGACCTGCAAAGCTGCTGCTAGAGACTTTGTCCTTCTCCTGAGCATTCTCTTTTTCTTTTGGGTCTCCTCCTGGTCCCTATTATAAAAGACTGTAATGGCCACCTTCAGGAGGTTTTCTAAGGTGCTATTTGGTCCTATAGCTTGCTTCTGTAGTTTCTTCCTAATATCAGGAGCTGCCTGTGTAATAAACTTGTCCCTCAGGATGAGCTGTCCCTCAGCTGCATCAGGAGTTGAAGAGGTGTGCTCCATTAGCGCCTCTCTCAGCCTTTCCATAAAGGCTACAGTATTCTCATCTGGATTTTGGTTTATTATAGACAATTTAGAATAATTGAGAGGTTTGGCCCTGTTTTTTGTAGGCCTTCTAAAATTCATATTAAAAAATACTTCCTTTTCCATTCATCTCCTGAGTTATTGGGGTTCCATTTAGGGTTGTTAAGGGGAACTGCTTCCTTCCCAATTGGGAATGGTGTTCCTGCTTTTTCTTTGCTTTCCCTATCTGCTTTCTTTCTTCTTGGTGTATTATAGGAGATATATTGCTACCTGAATTAAATTTTGGAGAACTTCTTATATACCTATTGGGGTCATCAGAAAATCAGCCTAAGTTTTTGCTTTATTTGCCTAAGGTTCTGTAATGAGAAGGGAACTTGAAGGGGCCCCAAATAAGGGGGATCCTCAGATGGCTCCCAAGAAAGTTGCTTCCCTAACTTTTGGGGAACTATTTTCCCCAGGTCTGCCCTATATGATTGCTAAAAGAGCTGGGTTGATCTTACAATGCTTGAAAAGGTTTAGTAAAAATACCATGCCCTTGTGCAAAAGAAAATGAGTTGCTTTTCTCTTCAAAGTCCTGATGATAAGGAAGTTACAGTGTTTCAGAGTGCACTCCAGAGGGGTGAAAGCTGAAGATAATCTGTTACCCATCTAGAAAAAGAAGCAAGAATAAAAGTGTCCTCTTAGTCTCCTTCCTTTCCATATGACCCAGGGTAGAAAAGGAGACTGTGGGAGCATCCTCCAACTGTTTTCCCTCCCTGGTTCCTGGATTCCAGCACCATGTTAAATGTGCTGCCCATGGTTGAAGGCGTGGTCCGCCAAGCCATGGAACTGGATGAACTGAGTGATGAGACTAACCACGCTTTACCCATGCAGCCTTAGTTTATCTGCCTCATGTGATTCCCCTTTGAATTCCTAAACCTGTGTGATCTGCCTGGCTCCCTGAAAAACAGATCTCCAGAGAGACTGTGTCACTTTTGGGCAAGGCTCCTTTAATGTGGCAATGTGCTAGATTGGCTGCTTATTATGGCCCATGCTAAAGCATTTACCCTTAGAAACATGGTTCCGGTTAACTTCCATACTTAAAATCTCCTTACTAATGAATTAATTTAGGCACTGTTGGCTTAGAAATACCATGTTCTTGACAGAGAAAACATAGAGAGAGAGAGAGATGTTTATTGAGTTACTGCCTGCCACAATTTGCGATCTTTCCTAACAGACCTGTTTCCCTGAACTGTAAAAATTCCATACATGTCATACAGAGAGAGTAAGAGAGCACAGATAGAAAGAGAAAGAAAGTTTGGCAACAAGATAGCAGGAAGAGAGGGTCAAGAGTAAAGGACAGATTTGAGGTTAAGATTCACTCCTAATACTCACCATTCTGATGAATAAATTCCCAGCCAATGCATCAAAATGATATGGCTCCAATGACTGGAGGAATACCAGGGTTCTTGGAGTTGCACTGATTTAGATAAAATGGCATGGACACATGTGGAGTGGTTTTAAGGAGTGGAGAGTATTTAATAGGCAAGAAAGAATGAAGAAGCTCCCCTGTACAGAGACAGAAGGAGGGGGGCTCCAAGCCAAGAAAGGGAACCCCATGTGTGGCAGAAAAATGGTAGGTTATATTGGAGGCTGGAGAAGGCGTTGTCTGATTTGCATAGGGCCCAGGGGATTGGTTTGACTAGGGGTGTCATTCGTGTAGCCCATGAAAACCCTCACCCTCCCACCTTAGCCTTTTAATATGCAAATGCAGGCCACCATGATATTCTGAACACATGGTGTTATCTGGAGGTGGCCATAACACTTGGCACACCTGGTGACAAGAAGAAGGCAGGAATTGCCATATTGGGTGAACCCAGTTTTTAATGGCTGGCATTTGCATATCAAAGCTTGTCAGCCTAGCTCTTTAAGCCACCTTTCTGTTAGAAAATAAATGATTCGGAGGTTCTTATCACAGGAAAATTTCCACCAAGAACCTTTACCCTTTCTAGCTGCCTAGAAATTATTTCTTAATAAATCCTGTATTAATTGGACTTACAGTTCCACATGGCTGGGGAGGCCTTACAATCATGGTGGAAGGCAAGGAGGAGCAACTCATGTCTTCCATGGATGGCGGCAAGCAAAGAGAAGGCTTGTGCAGGGCAGCTCCCATTTTTTAAAACCATCAGATCTCATGAGACCCATTCACTATCAGGAGAACAGCACGGGAAAGACCTGCCCCCATAATTCAGTCATCTCCTAGCAGGTCCCTCCCACAACACGTGGGAATTATGGGAGCTACAAGATGAGATTTGGGTGGAGACACAGAGCCAAACATGATCACGTAGGTCATGTCATCTGCAAACAAAGATAATTTCACTTTTTCTGTTTCTATTTGAACACTTTTATTTATTCCTCTTGCCTTATTGTCCTGGGCAGAACTTCCAATACTATGTTGAACAGGAGTGGTGAGAAAGGGCATCCTTATCTTGTGCCGGTTTTCAAGAGGAATGCTTCCAGCTTTTGCCCATTCAGTATGATATTGGGTGTGGGTTTGTCATATATGACTTTCATTATTTTGGGGTATGTTTCTTCAATACCTAGTTTATTGAGAGTTTTAACATGAAGGGATGTTGAAGGCCTTTTCTGCATCTGTTGAAACAATCATGTGTTGTTTATTTTTCTTTAGTTCTGTTAATGCGATGAATCACATTTATTAATTTGCATATACTGAACCAGCCTTGCATCCCAGGGATGAAGCCAACTTGATCATGGCGTATAACCTTTTTGATATACTGCTGGATTAAGTTTGCCAGTATTTTATTAAAGATTTTTGCATCAATGTTCATCAAGGATATTGGCCTGAAGTATTCTTTTTTTGTTCTTGTATCTTTGCCAGGTTTTGGTATCAGGATGATGCTCACTTCATAGAATGAGTTAGGGAGGAGTCCCTCCTTTTCAGTTTTTTGGAATAGTTTCAGTAGAAATAATATCAGCTCTTCTTTGTACCTCTGGTAGAATTCTGCTGTGAATCTGTCTGGTCTTGGGTGTTTTTGGTTGGCAGGTTGTTTATTACTGCCTCGACTTCAGAACTCATTATTGGTCTATACAGGGATTAAATTTCTTCCTGGTTCAGTCTTGGGAGAGTTTATGTGTTCAGGAATTCATCCATTTCTCCTAGATTTTCCAGTTGATGTTCATAGAGGTGTTTATTTTATTCTCTGATGGTTGTTTATATTTCTGTGGGGTCAGTGGTACTATCCCCTTTATCATTTCTGATTGTGTTTATTTGATCATTCTCTCTTGTCTTCTTTATTAGTCTAGCTAGAAGTCTATCTTATTAATTTTTAAAATTATTAAGCAGCTCCTCGATTTGTTGATTTTTTGAAGGGCTTTTTGTGTCTCCATCGCTTTCAGTTCAGCTCTAATCTTGGTTATTTCTTGACTTCTGCTGGCTTTGGGTTTGTTTGCTCTTTGTTCTCTAGTTCTTTTAGTTGTGATGTTAGGTTGTTAACTTAAGATCTTTTTAGCTTTGTGATGTGGCATTTAGTGCTATAAATTTTCTCCTTAATACTGCTTTAGCTGTGTCCCAGTGATTCTGATATGTTGTCTCTTTGTTCTCATTAGTATTAAAGAACTTGATTTCTACCTTAATTTCATTGTTTACCCAATAGTCATTCAGGAGCAGATTACTCAATTTCCATGTAGTTGTGTGGTTTTGAGTGAATTTCTTAATTTTGAGTTCTAATTTGATTGTGCTGTGGTCTGAGGGACTATTTGTTATGATTTCAGTTCTTTTACATTTGCTGAGGAGTGTTTTACTTATGATTATGTGATCAGTTTTAGAGTAAGTGCCATGTGGTGATGAGAGGAATGCATATTTTGTCGTTTTTGTGTGAAGAGTTCTGTAGATATCTATCAGGTCCACTTGATCCAGAGCTGAGTTCGGGCCTTGATATCTTTGTTAAGTTTCTGTCTCAGTTACCTGTCTAATATTGACAGTGGGGTGTTAAAATCTCCCACTATTATTGTGTAGGAGTGTAAGTCTCTTTGTAGGTATCTAAGAATTTGCTTTATGAATCTCAGTGCTCCTGTATTGGGTGCATATATATTTAGGATAGTTAGCTTTTTTTGCTGAATTGGACCCTTCTCTTTGGAGCCATGAGCTGTGCTGCCTGGGTTGTGGGGATGAGTGGTGAAAGCACTCCTTTAGCTGTTCTCTTTGGTGTCTCAGTAAATCATATGCCTCAGAAGTCCGCTGGCTTTGAGCTTTTCTCTGCAGTAGGACTTGCCCAGGAATTGCAAATTTTGTGCCATAGACTGCCCTTTAAGTTCATTTACAGCCCCAGAGCATTTCAGCTCATGGTAGTGAGGCATGCCAGAATTTAAGTTCTGACTACTGGGATGGGTGATATCCCCCTGGCTAGAGCTGGTTTAAGTTCTTTCTCCATGGGCAAGTATCAGCTTAGATCAGCATGGTTTTACTTTCCCCTGTGACAGGGCAGCACTGAGTTGAATGCAAAGTCTCGATTACTGCACTCTTTATCTCCCCCATGCACAGCTTTCTCCATGACCTGCGGCCTCTGCAGGAGGAGTGGGGGAGGGGTGGAATGGACAATTCAAGACTACCTTGTTTACCATCTTCAGTGCCTTTAGTGACGTGAAGTTAAAATCAGGTACTGTGAGTGCTCACCTGATTTTTTGTTCTTATGAAGGGTGCTTTTTTTGTGTAGATGGTTGTTTAATTTGGCGTTCCTGCAGGGTGATGGTCAGTGGGGCCTTCTGTTTCACCATCTTGCCCCACCCTATGTCTTTTACCACATTTTCTTTATCCAGTCTACCATTGATGAGCATCTGCGTTGATTCCATGTCTTTGCTATTATGAATGTTGCAGCAATTAACATATGGGTGCATGTATCTTTATGGTAGAACAATTTATATATACCTTTGGGTATATGCCCAATAATGTGATTGCTGCATTGAATGGTAATTCTGTTTTATGTTCTGTGAAAAATCACCGCATTGCTTTCCACAGTGGCTGAACTAATATACATTCCCAACAGCAGTGTATAAGCGTTCCCTTTTCCCTGCAACCTTAACAAGACCTGTTATTTTTTGCCTTTTAAATAATAGTTTTTCTACTGGTGAGAGATGGCATCTCTTGTGGTTTTGATTTGCATTTTTTTCTGGTGACTAGTGATGCTGAGCATTTTTTCATGTTTCTTGGCCACTTTTGAGGTGTCTGTTAATGTCCTTTGCCCACTTTCTAATGGGGTTAATTTTTTTTTAATCAGTTGTTAAGTTCCTTATAGATTCTACACATTAAACCTTATTTGGATGCATAGCTTGCAAATATTTTCTCTCATTCTGCAGATTGTCTTTTTACTCTGTTTATAGTTTCTTTCGATGTGAAAAGGCTCTTTAGTTTAATTAGGTCCCACTTGTCTTTTTTGCTTTATTTTGTTGCAGTAGCTTTTGGGGACTTAGCCAGAAATTCTTTCCCAAGGCTAATGTTGAAAAGAGTATTTCCTAGATTTTCTTCTAGGATATTTATGGTTTGAAGTCTTGCATTTACATTCTTAATCTATTTTTAATTAATTTTTGTATCTGGTGAAAGGGAAAAGATATGGATCCATTTTCAATCTTCTGCTAGCCAGTTATCCAAGCACCATTTATTGACTTGGAGTCCCTTCCCCTTTGCTTGTTTTTGTTGGCCTTGTTGAAGATCAGATAGCTGTAGGTGTGCAGCATTATTTCTCATTTTCTATTTTGTCCCATTATGTCTGTGTTTGTACTACTACCAAGCAGTTTTGGTAACTGTGGCTTTATAGTATAAAGTCAGGTAATGTTATGTCTCTGGCTTTACTCTTTTTGCTTAGGATTGCTCTATCTATTTAGGCTCTTGTGGATCCATATAAATTTTAGAATAGTTTTTCTAATTTTGTCAAGAATAATATTGGTAGTTTGTTAAGAATATCATTGAATCTGTAAATTGGGCAGAATGACCATTTTAATGATATTGATTCTTCCAATCTATGAGCATGAAATGTTATTCCATTTATTTGCATCATTATCTCTGATTTCTGTTTTGTTTTGTTTTGTTTTGTTTTTGAGATGGAGTCTCTCTCTGTCGCCCAGGCTGCAGTGCAGTGGCCTGATCTCGGCTCACTGCAAGCTCCGCTTCCCGGGTTCACGCCATTCTTCTGCCTCAGGCTCCCGAGTAGCTGGGACTACAGGCACCCGCCACCACGCCCAGCTAGTTTTTTTGTAATTTTAGTAGAGACGGGTTTTCACTGTGTTAGCCAGGATGGTCTCGATCTCCTGACCTCGTGATCTGCCCGCCTTGGCCTCCCAAAGTGCTGGGATTACAGGTGGGAGCCACTGGCCTCTCTGATTTCTTTCATGCGTGTTTTGTAGTTCTCCTTTTAGAGATCTTTCACTCCCTTTGTTAGGTGTATTTCTAGGTATTTCTTTTTTGTGTGGCTATCGCAAGTGAAATTTTGTCCTTGATTTGGCTCTCAGCCTGGGTGTTGTTGGTATATAGAAATGCTACTAATTTTTGTACATTGATTTTGTATCCTGAAACTTTTTATCAACTCTAGAAGCTTTTTGGTAGAGTCTTTAGGATTTTCTAGGTATACAATAATATCAGTGAAGAGAGATAGTTTGACTTCTTCTTTTCCTAATTGGATGCTTTTTCTTTCTTTTGTCTGATTGCTCTGACTAGGACTTTCAGTAATATGTTAAATAGGAGTGGTGAGAGTGGGCATCATTGTCTTGTTCCAGTTCTCTAGGGGAATGATTTGAGCTTTTGCTCATTCAGGATAAGGTTGGCTGTGGGTTTGTTATAGATGGCTCTTAGTATTTTGACGTATGTTCTGTCAATGTCTAGTTTATTGAGGCTTTTTATCATAAAGAGATGTTGGATATTATCAAGAGCTTTCTCTGCTTCTATTGAGATGATCATGTGGCTTTTGCTTTTGATTCTGTTTATGTGGTAACTGGCATTTATTGATTTGTGTATATTAAACTAGCTTGCATCCCAGGAATAAAGCCAATTTATTTGCTGGATTAACTTTTTAATGTGCTGCTGAATTTGACTGGCTAGTATTTTGATGAGGACTTTTGCATCTGTGTTCCTGAGGGATGTTGGTCTAGAGTTTTATTTTTTCGTTGCATCTCTGCCAGATTTTGGTATCAGGGTGATGCTGGCTTCATAGAATAAATTAGGGAGGAGGACCTCCTCCTCATTCTTTCGAAATAGTTTTAGTATAATTGGTATCAGTTCTTCTTTGTACATCTGGTGGAATTTGGTTGTGGATCCATCCAGTATGGGGCTTTTTTGTTGCTGTTGTCATGTTCTTTATTACTGATTCAATTTCAAAAGTTGACTTTGGTCTAATCAGGGTTTCAATCTCTTCCAGATTCAATCTTGGGAGATTGTGTGCCTCAAGGAATTTATTATTTTCTCTAGATTTTCTAATTTGTCTGCATAGAGTGGTTCATAGTTTCTCTGAGGATCTTTTGTATTTTTGTGGGATCAGTTATAATATCACATGTGTTACATCTGATTGTGCTTATTTGGATTTTCTTTTTCTTTGTTGATCTAGTTAGGGGTTTATCGATATTATTTATTTTTTCAAGACCCAGCTGTTGGTTTCATTGATCTTTTGTATGGATTTTTGCATCTCAATTTCATTACGTTATTATCTAATTTTAGTTATTTCTTTTCCTCTGGTTGCTTTGGGATTGGTTTGCTCTTTTTTTAAAAAAATATTTCCTTAAGGTGCAAAATTAGATTGCACCTTTCTAACTTCTTGATGAAGGCATTTAGCTCTATAAACTTTCCTGTTAACACAGCTTTGGCTGCATCCCACAGATTTTTTTGTATTTTTGTGTCCTTATTTTCATTGATTTAAAAGAATTTTTTTTTATTTCTTCCTTGATTTTCATGTTTCCCCAGGAGTTATTCATTAGTAAGTTGTTTAATTTCCATGTATTTGTGTAGTTTTGAGAAATATTCTTGGTATTGATTTCTATTTTTATTGCACTGTGGTCTGAGAGTGTGCTTTGTATGATTTGAATTTTTTTGAATGTATTGAGGCTTGCTTTATGACCAAGCATATGGTCAATCTTAGAATATATTCAATGTGCAGAAGAGAAGACTGTATATTCTGTGTTTGTTGGGTGGAGTGTTCTGTATATGTCTATTAGATCCAATTGGGCAAGTGTTGAGTTTAAGTCCAAAGTTTCTTATTTATTTGTTTATTTTATTTATTTATATATTTATTTTTGAGCTGGGGTGTCACTCTTCTGCCCAGGCAGGAGAGCAGTGGCCTGATGACAGTTCACTGAAGCCTTGACCTCCCAGGCTCAATTGATCCTCCTGCCTCAGCCTCCTCAACAGCTGGGATTACAGGTGCATGCCACCATGCCCTGCTAATTTTTGTATTTTTTGTAGAGACAGGGCTTTGTTATGTTGTCCAGGTTGGTCTCAAACCCCTGGGCTCAAATGATCCACCCACCTCAGCCTTCTGAAGGGCTGAGATTACAGGTGTGAACCACTGTGCCCAACCTCAGAGTTTCTTTTTTAGATTTTTGCTTTGATGTGATCCATATGTAATGCTGACAGTGGGGTGTTGAAGTCTCCCACTATTGTCGTGTGGTTGTGTAAGTATTTTTGTAGGTCTAAAAGAACTTGTTTTATGAATCTGGGTGCTCCAATATTGGACGTGTATATATTTAGGATAGTTAAACTTTTTGTTGGAGTGTATCCTTTATCATTATGTAAGCCCTTTACGGTCTGTAATTTTTATTAGTTTAAAGTCCATTTTATCTGATGTAAAAATAGTGACTCCTGCTTTTGTTTGTTTGTTTTCTGTTTGCATGGTAGTTCTTACTCCACCCTTTTACTTTGAGCTGGTGGGTATTGCCACATGTGACATGGATCTCTTGAAGATAACAGATGATTGGGTCTTGTCTTTTAATCCAGATTGCCACTCTCTGTCTTTTAAGTGAGACATTTAGCCCATTCACATTCAAGATTAGTATTGATATGTGTGATTTTGATCCTGTCATGGTGTTGTTAGCTGGTTGTTATATAAACTTGATTGCATAGCTGCCTTATAGGGCCTGTGGGCTATGGGCTTAGGTGTGCTTCTGTGATAGCAGGTGTCATTCTTTTGAATCCATATTTAGTATTCCCTTAAGGACCTCTTGTATGGCTGGTCTGGTTGAAATGTATTCCCTCAGCACGTGCTTGTTACAGAAAGATTTTACTTCTCTTTTACTTATGAAGCTTAGTTTGGCAGGACATGAAATTCTTGGTTGGAATTTCTTTAAGGACACTAAAAATAGGCCTCTAATCTTATCTGGTTTGTAAGATTTCTGCTGAGAAATCTGCTGCTAGCCTGATGGGTTTTTTTTCTGTAGGTGACCTGCCCCATTCTCTCTAGTTGTTTTTATAGTTTTTTGTTTTGCATTGACCTTGGTGAATCTAATGACTATGTGCCTTGGGAATGGTCATCTTGTATAGTATCTGGCTGGGGTTCTCCGTATTTCTTAGATTTGCATATTGACCTCTCTAGTGAGAACAGGGAAATTTTTATGAACTGTATCCTAAAATATATTTTCCATGTAGCTTATTCTCTCTCCTTCTCTCTCAGAAATGATGCTAAGTCATTTGGTCTCTTTATATAATCCCATATTTCTCATAGAATTTTTTCATTTTTCTTATTTATTTTTATTTTTGTCTGACTGTGCTGACTCAAAGAACTCATACTTTAGCTCAGAGATTCATTCTCAGCTTGGTCTATTATGCTGTCAATACTTCCAATTGTATTATGAAATTCTTGTAGCCAATATTTCACTCATGCTCAGTTTGGTTTAGTCTTAAAATGGGAATTTTATCTTTCAGCCTTGAATTGGTTTACTGGATTGCTTGGCTTCCTTGGATTGAGTTTCAATTTTCTCCTCAATCTCAATGAACTTCCTTGCCATCCAGATTCAGAATTCCTTGTCTGTCATTTCAGACAATTCAAACTGGTTAAGAACCATTGCTGGGGTGCCAGTGGGCTCATTTGTAGGTAAGGGATCACTCTGGCTTTTTGAATTGCCAGAGTTCTTGTGCTGATTCTTGCTCATCTGGGAGGGCTGATATTCCTTTAATTGAGGTGTAAATTGAGTTTCATCTGTTGACTTCATTTCTGGAAGTTTTCAGAGGACTAAGGCTCTGTACAGGGTCTTTCTTTGTTGTAGAATTCTTGCTCTTGGTTTCATAGGGGGTAAAATTAGTAAAGTGATTTTTGACTTTGTAGTTTGGGCTGTGTTTTAGTATATGGCAGTTGACGGTGATGAGCAGTAGATAAGCTCTTACTCAGCCACATGGCTCCTTTGTGCATCTTTGCATTTGCAGTTGTGTACTGTGGTTTAAGGATGAGAGAGATCACTCCCTCACCAGGTCTGCCGATGGGCTTTGGGGGAGCCCTCTCTGATGCTACATCCTTACTGGACCAACCTGTCCAACCTAGGTCTCACACTAGCCTGTTCACCTGTGCAATTAAACCCTCTCAATTTTTTTTGAGTATGGGCTCCTCCATCCCAGACCTGAGAAACAGCCCTGAGGGCCAACCCCAGCAGACACACATCCAGGCCTGCCAAAAAGGCATGTGGCCATGTCCCAGGCCTGCAAAATTGCCCTGTGGGCCACCCTCAGTAGATATTTCCCTAGGCCACCAAGCAGCTATGTGCCCATGGTCTGGGCCTGAGAAGCAGCCCTGAGGACCATCCCTGGCAGACATGTCCCCAGGCCAGGTGAGCAATCACACATGGTACCCCTGACTAGAATAATAGCCTCATGGTTCCAACCCCAGTGAGCCAGACATCAAGTTGGCCAGTCCGCTGTGTACATGCATGCACCCTTAATCTGAGAAACAGACCAATAAGTCCACCCCCAGCAAAGCCATACCACCACTGCCACACTCTTTTCAGCATGGGCCACTGAGACACCTGTAAATGTCACTAACATGGGTTACAGCTAAAGAAACTACACAGAGACCACACTACTACATCCACCTAGAACCAAAGCCAATGCACCTTACAGAATCAACATCCCAAGACCCACCTAAACAAATAAATATTTCTCTATAAAACCTATTTCATAAAATTGGAAGTGGTGACTGTTTCATCGGATGCATAGTTATCAACATAGGAATAGGTAAAATGTGAAAAAAGGACACATGACACTTCCAAAGTAACGTACAATTCTCCAATAACAGACCCCAATCATAAGGAAAAATACAAAATGCCAGAAAAAGAATTTGAAATAGCAATCTTCAGGAAACTCAGTGAGATACAAGGGCCCAATAAAAAAAGAAAACTGCAGGTCAATGTCCCGATGAACATAGATGCAAAAATCCTTAAGAAAGTACTAACAAACTGAATCCAACACTGCATCAAAAAAGGTAATGCACTATGATCAAGTGGGATTTATCCCATGAATGCAAAGATGGTTCAACATGTGAAAATCAATAAACAGGATACATTATATCAACAAAACGAATGACAAACCCATATGATCCCTTTCAAAATACCACAGACATTTGTCACAGAAATAGAAGAAAAAAATGTATTTGATAAAATTCAACATCCCTTCATGATAAAAACTCTCAATAAATTATGTTTAGAGGGAAAGTAACTCAACACAATAAAGGCCATGTGACAAACCCACGGCTAACATCATAGTAAATGGGGAAAAGCTGAGAGCTTTTCCTCTAAGCACTGGAATAAGACAAAGGTGCCACCTGTCACTACTCTTATTCAACATAGTCCTGGAAGTCCTAGCTAGAGCAATTAGCCAAGAGAGAGAAATAAAGGGCATCCAAATTGGAAAGGAAGATATCTATATGTCCTTGTTTTCAGAGAGCATGATTTTGTATATAGAAAAACTTACAGACTTTATCAAAAAACTCTTACAAGTAATAAATGAATTCAGTAACCTTGCAGAATACACAATAAAGATACAAAACTCAGTAGTGTTTCAATACATGAACAACAAACTACCTGAAAAAGAAATCAAGAAGGAAATCTCACATATAATAGATACAAAAGAAAAATACCTAGAAATAAATGTTACCAAGCAGATACAAGACCTCTACAAGGAAAACTACAAAACACTGATTCCATGCTCATGGACCAAAGTAATTAATCCTGTTAAAATGACCATGCTACCCAAAGCAATCTATAGATTCAATGCAATCCATATTAAAATACTAATGACATTCTTCACATAATTAGAAAATTTAAAAAAATTGTATGGAATCACAAAAGACCTCAAACAGCTAAAGGAATACTGAGCAAAAAGAACAAAGCTGTAGGTGCCACACTACCAGACTTCAAAATGTACTACAAAGCTGTAGTAACAAGAACAACAAAAAGGAGCATGGTATCAGCATATAAACAGACACATAGACTAATGGAAGAGAATGGAGAATTCAGAAAGTAATCCATGTATCTCCAGCCAATTGATTTTTGAATTTTGAATTAAAGGCACCAAGAACACTCATTGGAGAAAGGATAGTCTCTTTAATATATGGTGCTGGGAAAACTGGATACCTATGTGCAGAAGAATGAAACTAAACTCCCACCTCTCACCCTATTCAACAATAAGCTCCAAATGGGACAAATAACCAAATCTAAGACCTCAAACTGTAAGACCACTAGAAAAAACAATAGTAGAAACACTTCAGGACATTGGTCTGGGAAAAGATTTTATGAATAAGACTTCAAACACACAGGTAACAAAAGCAAAAACAAATGGGGCTATATAAAACTAAAAAAGCTCTATATAACAAAGAAAATAATCAACATAAAGAAAAGACAGCCTACAAAATGGGAGAAAATATTTTCAAACTATTCACCCAATAGGGGATTAATATCCAGAATACACAAGAAACTCAAATATCTCAACAGCAAAAGAACAAACAATTCAATAAAAAGGGGGCAAATAATATGAACGGACATTTCTCAAAAGAAGACATACAAATGGCTAATAAATCAATATACAAAAACACTCAACATCGCTACGCATCAGAGAAATGCAAGTCAAAACCACAGTGAGGGCTGGGCGCGGTGGCTCACGCCCGCAATCCCAGCACTTTGGGAGGTCGAGGCAGGTGGATCCACTGAGGTCAGGAGTTCATGACCAGCCTGGCCAGCATGATGAAACCTCATCTCTACTAAAAATAAAAAAAATTAACTGGGCATGGTGGTGCGTGCCTGTAGTCCCAGCTACTTGGGAAACTGAAACAGGACAATTGCTTGAACCCAAAACGCGGAGGCTGCAATGAGCTCAGATCGTGCCACACTGCACTCCAGCCTGGGTGACAGAGTGAGACTCCATCTCAGGAAAACAAAAACAAAAATACAGTGAGGTATCATTTCACCCCAGTTAGGATGGCTATTATCAAAAAGACAAAAAATAACAAGTGCTGGTGAAGATGCAGAAAAAATAGAACTCTTGTACACTATTGGTGTGGATGTGAACTACTACAGCTTCCATAAAGAACAGTATGGAGGGTTCTCAAACAACTACAGATAGGACTACCATATGATCTAGCAGTCTCACTACTGGGCATTTATCCAAAGGAAGGGAAATCAGAATACTGAAGAGACATTTGCACCCCCATGTTTATTGCAGCACTATTCACAATAACCAAGACATGAAATCAACCTAGATTTCCAACAAAAGATTAATGGATAAAGCAAATGTGGTATATATACACACAATGGAATATTATTCAGTCATAGAAAGAATAAAATTCCATCATTTGCCATGACATGGATGGAACTAGAAGACATTATATTAAGTGAAGTAATCCAGGAATAGAAAGTAAAACACTGCATATTCTTACTCATATAATGGAAGCTAAAAATGCTGATCTCATAGAAGTGAAAAGTAGAACAGAAGATACTAGAAGTTGGTAAAGGTAGGGGAAAGAGGAGAATAGAGAAAATTTCCTAAAGGATACAAAATTGTAGTTAGATAGGAGGAATAAATTCTAGTGTTCTATAGCCCTGTAGAATTACTATAGTTAACAATAATATATTATATAGCTTCAAACAGCTAGAATAAAAAAACTGAATGTTCAAGATGTTCAAGAACTGAATGTTCAAGAAATAATAAATGTTCAAGATGGTGAATATGCTATGCTAATTACCTTTATCTGCTCACTGTACATTATATGTATTGAAATATCACTATGTACCCCATGAATGTGTACGATTATTGTATGCCAGTTAAAAGAAAAAGATATAATTTGTGGGGAGGAAGAAGTGTCATGGTGCCAGGCGTGGAGCTTCTTCTCATTGGCTCTTACTAGGGAACAGCTGGAAAGCAGGCCAAGTAGCCACTGTGAAGTGCAGGTCGATAAAGAGGTCCCATACTGCCAGCAGGTGGCCAACCTCATCCAAGACATTGGATAGCATCTCAATGTCTCTCAGCTTACAGTAAACACTGCAATTGTTTGTATGTACTATTCTTTCACTAAATTCAGTAGGAATCCTTGATGGAGTAAAATGTCTGCAGACTGACTAGGAGGCAATGTGAATGAATTAGTGGATTTCACCAGAAACTTTGGAAGAGTGCTGGGTATCAGTGTTGCACTAAAGGAAGATGAAAATTGAGCTCTCTTTAGAGGAAACAAATACTTCTGTGAGGAGTGTGGGTAATACTGTCAACCATGTAATTCTTTGGCAGTGAAAGGGGAGGAACAGGCTCAGAAACTTGAACATGTTATTAAAGTAGCACATGCTTGTCTTCACTCCCTACAGTGCTGGATACTAAATGTGGTACTTACTTTCAACAGACTCAAGAACTGGTTTTAATTGAAACCATAACCCTACAAACACCAGATTTTGAGATCAGCATTGAACATCCACAATCAGATGTGGTAAAACATACCAAGTTAGTAAGGGCAAGCAAGGATTTGACACAGACATCTTATTTGATGGCTATAAACAGTCTGCATCTCACAACCTTCTCTCTTCAGTACAAACCAACAGTGATAGCATATGTATACATTCATTTGACTTGCAAATGATCCCATTGAGAGATTCCTGCATCAATTGATGGAAAGCCTTGGTGGTAATATGTGGATTCTACAGTTACTCTAGAATTATTAGATGAGCTAAAATATGAGTTTCTAAAGTTGAAAAGGATTAGAAGCTCAAAGACCAATCAGGCATTTAATAAACCAAAAATAGATGATATTTATCAGAGACACCATTTCTTTATCTTTGGTCCAGAATTCCATTTTAATAGATAGTAACACTGATGTACCTATAAACCCACGTTTTCAGAAATGATCTACATTGGCATTCCCTAGGCCACTTCTTTTCTTTTTTTTTTTTAAATTGAGTTTCAGAATACATGTGTAGAACGTGCAGGTTTGTTATGTAGGTATACGTGTGCCATGGTGGTTTGCTGCACCTATTGACCCATCCTCTAAGTTCCCTCCCCTCACCCTCCCCAGCCCCCCAACAGGCCCTGGTGTGCATTGTTTCCCTTTCTGTGTCCATGTGTTTTCATGGTTCAACTCCCACTTATGAGTGAGAACATGTGGTGTTTGGCTTTTTGTTCCTGTGTTAATTTGCTGAAGATGACGGCTTCCAGCTTCATCCATGTCTCTGCAAAGGACATAAACTCATTCTTTTTCACAGCTGCATAGTATTCCATGGTGTATATGTACCACATTTTCTTTTTTAAGAAAATTTAAATTCATTTTATTTTACTTTAAGTTCCGGGATACATGTGCAGAATGTGCAGGTTTGTTACTTAGGTATACATGTGCCATGGTGGTTTGCTGCACCTATTGACCCAACCTCTAAATTCCCTCCTGTCACCCCCAATCCCCCAACAGGCTCTGGTGTGTGTTGTTTCCCTCCCTGCGTCCATGTGTTCTCATTGTTCAACTCCCACTTATGAGTAAGAACATGTGGTGTTTGGTTTTCTGTTCCTGTGTCAGTTTGCTGAGGATTATGACTTCCAGCTTCATCCATGTCACTCCAAAGGACGTGATCTCATTCTTCTTTATGACTGCATAGTATTCCACAGTGTGTATGTACCACATTTTCTTTATTCAGTCTATCATTGATGGACATTTGGGTTGGTTCTGTGACTTTTCTATTGTAAATAGTGCTGCAATAAACATACATGTGCATGTATCTTTATGGTAGAATGATTTTTGTTCCTTTGGTTATATACTCAGTAATGAGATTGTTGGGTCAAATGGTACTTCTGGTTCTAGATCCTTGAGGAATCACCATACTGTCTTCCACAATGGTTGGACTAATTTACATTCCCTCCACAGCCTCACCAGCATCTATTGTTTCTTGACATTTTAATAATCACTATTCTGATTGGTGTGAGATTGTATCTCATTGTGGTTTTGATTTGTATTTCTCTAGTGATCAGTGATGTTGAGCTTCTTTTCCTGTTTTTTGGTCACATAAATGTCTTCTTTTGAGAAGTGTCTGTTCATATCCTTTGCCCACTTTTTGATAGGATTGTTTATTTTTTTCTTGTAAATTTGTTTAAGTTCCTTGTAAATTCTGGATATTAGACCTTTGTCAGATGGGTAGAGTGCAAAAATTTTCTCCCATTCTGCAGGTATGTTAGTTTCTTTGGCTGTGCAGAAGCTCTTTAGTTTAATTAGATCCCATTTGTCAATTTTTGCTTTTGTTGCAATTGTTTTTGGTGTTTTATTCATGAAGTCTTGCCCATGCCTATGTCCTGAATGGTATGGCCTAGGTTTTCTTCTAGGGTTTTTATGGTTTTGGGTTTTACATTTAAGTCTTTCATCCATCTCGAGTTAATTTTTGTATAAGGTGTAAAGAAGGGGTCCAGTTTCTCCATATGCCTAGCCAGTTTTTCCAGCACTATTTACACCATTTATTGAATAAGAGATCCTTTCCCTGTTGCTTCTTTTTTGTCAGATTTGTCAAAGATCAGATGGTTTTAGATGTGTGGTGTTACTTCTGAGGTCTCTGTTTTGTTCCGTTGGTCTATATGTCAGTTTTGATACAAGTACCTTGCTGTTTTGGTTATTGTAGCCTTCTAGTATAGTTTGAAGTCAGTAGTGTGATACCTCCAGCTTTGTTCTTTTTGCTTAGGATTGTCTTGGCTATATGGGGGTTTCTTTGATTCCATATGAAATTTAAAGTAGTTTTTTTCTAAGTCTGTGAAGAATATCAATGGTAGTTTGATGCATTCAATTCAATAGCATTGAATCTACAAATTACTTTGGGCAGTATGGCCATTTTAATGATATTGATTCTTCCTATCCATGAGGATGGAATGTTTTTCCATTTGTGCCCTCTCTTATTTCCTTGAGCAGTGGTTTGTAATTCTCTTTGAAGAGGTCCTTCACATTCCTTGTTAGCTGTATTTCTAGGTATTTTCTTCTCTTTGTAGCAATTGTGGATGGGAGTTCATTCGTGATTTGTCTCTTTGCTTGTCTATTGTTGATGTCAAGGAATGCTTGTGATTTTTGCATATTGATTTTGTATCCTGAGAATCTGCTGAAGTTGCTTATCAGCTTGAGGAGTTTTGGTCTGACATATTGGGATTTTCCAAATATAGAATCATGTCATCTGCAAACAGAGACAATTTGACTTCCTCTCTTTCTGTTTGAATACCCTTTATTTCTTTCTCTTGCCTGATTGCCCTGGCCAGAACTTCCAATAATATGTTGAATAGGAGTGGTGAGAGAGGGCATCCTTTTCTTGTAATGGTTTTCCAAGGGAATGCTTCCAGCTTTTGCCCATTCAATATGCTACTGGCTGTGGGTTTGTCATAAATGGCTCTTATTATTTTGAGACATGTTCTATCAGTACCTAGTTCATTGGGAGTTTTTAGCATAAAGGGACGTTGAATTTTATTGAAGACCTTTTCTGCATCTATTGAGACAATCATGTGGTTTTTGTATTTGGTTCTGTTTATGCGATGGGTTACATTTATTTATTTGCATATGATGAACCAGACTTGCATCACAGGGATGAAGCTGACTTGATCATGGTAGATAAGTTCTTTGATGTGCTGCTGAATTTGGTCTGCAAATATTTTATTGACGATTTTCACATTGATGCTCACCAGGGATATTGGCCTGAAGTTTTCTTTTTTTGTTGTTTTGTCTCTGGCAGGTTTTGATATCAGGATGAGGCTGGCTTCATAAAATGAGTTAGGGAGGAGTCCCTCCTTTTCACCTGTTTGGAATAGTTTCAGAAGCAATGGTATCATCACCTCTTTGTACCTCTGGTAGAATTCAGCTGGGAAACCATCTGGTCCTGGGATTTTTTTTTTTTTTTTGGTTGGTAGGGTATTAATTACTGCCTCAATTTCAGAACTTTTTGTTTATCTATTCAGGGATTGACTTCTTCCTGGTTTAGTCTTGGGAGGCTGTATGTGTCCAGGAATTTGTCAATTTTTCCTAGATTTTCTAGTTTATTTGCGTATAGATGTTTATAGTATTCTCTGATGGTAGTTTGTATTTCTGTAGGGATCAGTGGTGATATCCCCTTTATTATTTTTTATTGTGTCATTTAATTCATCTCTCTTTTCTTCTTTATTAGTCTAGCTAGTAGTCTATCCTGTTAATTTTTTCAAAAAAACAACTTCTGGACTCTGATTTTTTGGAGGGTTTTTTGTGTCTCTATCTCTTTCAGTTATGCTCTAAACTTAGTTATTTCTTGTCTTCTGCTAGCTTTTGGATTCGTTTGCTCTTGGTTCTCTAGCTCTTTTAATAGTGATGTTAGGGTGTCGATTTGAGTTATTTCTGACTTTCTGATGTAGGTATTTAGTGCTATAAATTTTTCTCTACACACTGCTTTATCTGTATCCCAATGATTCCGGTACATTGTCTCTTTGTTCTCATTGGTTTCAAAGAACTTCTTGATTTCTGCCTTAATTTCATTATTTACCCAGCAGTCATTTAGGAGCAGGTTTTTCAATTTCCATGTAATCATGTGGTTTTTTTTTTGTTTTTTTTTTTTTTTTTTGAGACGGAGTCTGGCTCTGTCACCCAGGCTGGAGTGCAGTGGTGCAATCTCAGCTCACTGCAAGCTCCGCCTCCCGGGTTCACGCCATTCTCCTGCCTCAGCCTCCGGAGTAGCTGGGACTACAGGCGCCCGCCACTACGTCGGGCTAATTTTTTGTATTTTTAGTAGAGACGGGGTTCCACCGTGTTAGCCAGGGTGGTTAATCATGTGGTTTTGAGTGAGTTCCTTAATCCCGAGTTCTAATTTGATTGCACTGTGGTCTGAGATACTGTTTGTTATGATTTAGTTCTTTTGCATTTGCTGAGGAGTGTTTTACTTCCAATTATGTGGTCGATTTTAGAATAAGTGCCATGTGGCACTGATAAGAATGTGTATTCTGTTGATTTGGGATGGAGAGTTCTGTAGATGTCTCTTAGGTCCACTTGATCCAGAGCTGAGTTCAAGTCCTGAATATTCTTGTTAATCTTCTGTCTATTGATCTGTCTAATATTGACAGTGGGGTGCTAAAGTCTCTCACTATTATCGTGTGAGAGTCTAAGTCTCTTTGTAGGTCTCTAAGAACTTGTTTTATGAATCTGGATCCTCCTGTATCGGGTGCCTGTATATTTAGGATAGTTAGCTCTTTTCATTGAATTGATCCTGTTGCCATTATGCAATGCCGTTCTTTGTCTTTTTTGAAATGTGTTGGTTTAAAGTCTGTTTTGTCAGGGACTAGGGTTGAACCCCATGGTTTGTTTTTCGTTGGTTTTTTTTTTTTTTGCTTTTTATTTGCTTGGTAAATTTTCCTTCATCCCTTTATTTTGAGCCTATGTGTGTATTTGCACGTGAGATGAATCTCCTGAATACAGCACACTGGTGGGTCTTGACTTTTTATCCAATTTCCCAGTCTGTGTCTCTTAATTGGGGTAGTTATCCCATTTGTAAGTATTGTTATGTGTGAATTTGATCATGTCATCGTGATGCTATCTGGTTATTTTGCACACTAGTTGATGCGGTTGCTTCATAGTGTCATTGATCTTCTTATTTTGGTGTATTTTTGCAGTGGCTGGTACCAGATTTTCCTTTCTATATTTAGTGCTTCCTTCAAGAGCTCTTGCAAGACAGGCCTGGTGGTAATAAAATCCCTCAGCATCTGCTTATCTGAAAAATATTTTATTTCTCCTTTGCTTATGAAGCTTAGTTTGGTGGGATATGAAATTCTGGGTTGAAAATTCTTTTCTTTAAGAATGTCGAATATTGACCCTTAATCTCTTCTGGGTTGTAGAGTTTCTGCTGAGAGGTCCACTATTAGTCTGATGGTCTTCCCTTTGTAGGTGACCTGGCCTTTCTCTCTGGCTGCCCTTAACACTTTTTCCTTCATTTTGACCTTGGAGAATCTGGTGATTATATGTCCTGGAGTTGTCCTTCTCGTGGAGTATCTTAGTGGTGTCCTCTGCATTTTGGGAATTTGCATGTTGGCCATCTTGATAGGTTGGGGAAGTTGTCTTGAGTAATATCCTGAAGTGTGTTTTCCAGCTTGTTCCCATTCTCCTCGTCTCCTTCAGGTACTCCAATCAATCATAGGTTTGGTCTTTCTACGTAGTCCCATATTTCTGGAGGCTTTGTTTGTTTGTTTTTTTGTCATTCTTTTTTCTCGAACCTTGTCTGTATGCTTTGTTTCAAACTCAAAGTGGTCTTCAAATTCTGATATCCTTTCTTCTGCTTGGTCGATTTGGCTATTGATACTTGTGTATGCTTCACAAAGTTCTCATGCTGTGTTTTTCAGCTCTATCAGGTCATTTATGTCCCCCTCTAAGCTGGTGATTCTAGTTAGCAGCTCCTCTAACCTTTTATCAAGGTTCTTAGCTTCTTTGCATTGGGTTAGAACATGCTCCTTTAGCTCACCAAAGTTTTTTTTATTACCCATCTTCTGAAGCCTATCTTTGTCAATTCATCCATCTCATCCTCTGTCCATTTCTGTGTCCTTGCTGGAGAGATGTTGTGATCATTTGGAGAAGAAGAGGCACTCTGGCCTTTTCAGTTTTCAGCATTTTTTCATCGATTGTTTCTCATCTACATGAGTTTGTCTAGTTTTGATCTTTGAGGTTGCTGACCATTGGATGGGGTTTTTGTGGAGTTTTTTTGTTGTTGATGATGCTGTTGTTGTTGCTTTCTGTTTGGTTTTCTTTCAATGGTCAGGTGCCTGTTCTGTAGGGCTGCTGCGATTTGCTGGGGTTCACTTCAGGCCCTATTCATCTGGTTCACTCCCATGCCTGGAGTTGTCACTCAAGGAGGCTGGATAACAGCAAAAATGGGTGCCTGCTCCTTCTGGGATCTCTGACCTCAAGGGGCACCAACCTGATGCCAGTAGCATTGCTCCTGTATAAAGTGTCTGACAACCCCTGTTGGAGGTCCTCAACCAGCTGGGTGGCAGGGGGAACAGGACCCATTTAATGAAGCACTTGACTGTCCCTTAGTGGAGGGGGTGTGCTTCGCTGGGGGGAAACCCGCTCATCTGGGCTGCCTGGATTCCTCAGAACTACCAGCAGGAAAGGCTAAGTCTGCTGGTCTGCAGAGACTGTGGCCACCTCTCCCCCTAGGGGCTCAGGCCCTAGGAGATCAGGGTTTTGTTCCTGAGCCTCTGGCTGGAGTTGGTGGAGTTCCTGCAGGAAGGCCCTGTCCAGTGAGGAAGGATGGGTCAGGGTCAGGCTAGGCTAGTACTTCTAAATTCAGGCAATATTTCTGTAAAAGACAGTCATATACTGATAATTTGTCAATGTTAGCAACAGGAATGTCAAATATCTCATACATTTGCCATCACACAAGGAATGGCCTCAACATCAAGAATCAGCAAGGACAGAACAGATATATTCACAGAAGCAGGAGATATTTTTGTCTAGTAGCCAGTACTACATCAATTTACAACAAGGACCTTCTATATTACTGCATTCAGGATTACATCACAGACCTGACAAAATTTCTAATCATTCTTCTATTAAGCAAGACTATACTCATAAAGCGGGCAGCAGTAAACACCATGGGCCAATTTCTGCTACACTTAGAATAATTCCTTAGAAAATATCTTCAGATAAATATAGAAAAAAAATGTAAGCTAGAAACTCTTGATCTTAATGTGCAGGACTGAAATTATGGATTTTAGTACCACATACTGATAAAAGCACCAATAAAGAAGAGCTGTCCTTGTGGAAAATTAGTTGACGTGTAAGGTTGGAATTTATATCTGCACTGTTTATTCTGCTTCATTGGGCTATGTGTCTGTTTTTGTGCCAGAACCATACTGTTTTGATTACTATTGCTTTATAATATAATTTGAAATCAAGAAGTATGATTTCTCCAACAATGTTTTTCTTTCTCTTGATTGTTTTGACTACTCTAGGTATCTTATGATTCCACAAAAATTTTAGACTTTTTTTTCTATTTTTGTAAAAAAAAATGCATTTGGAATTTTGATAAAGATTGTGTTGAATCTGTAGATCTTTTGGGGTAGTATAGACATTTTGACAATTTTAATTCTTCTAATCCATAAACACTGGATCTTTATGGATTTTTTTCAATGTGCAGGTGTTTCACTTCCTTGGTTAAATTTATTCCTAGGTATTTTATTCTTTTTGAAGCTTTCATGAATAGGTTTGTTTCTTTATTTCTTTTTCAGATAGTTTGTTATTGATGCAAGAAATGCAAGTGATATTTTAACATTAATTTTGTATTCTGAAACTTTACTTAATTCATTTATAAGTTTTGTCTACCTAAAAGAGCAACAGAGAGAGTGGTTCTTCAAAGACATACATTTATTCAGGAACAAGCAGGGAATTATAATCTGGGATATGAGTGCTAGAACAGATCATAGGCATATTCAAAGATGTTAGGACAAGGAGAAGCTATTAAGGCAAAAGGGGGAAGTTCATGCAAGCTGTCTTAAAGTTGATCAGTCACAGAAGCCCATTGCAGGGACTGGTGATTACTCATTGGTAACACTAATTGCCGTTGGGAAGATGTCTTCATAGAAGCAATTTATCTGGAATTTTTTGTGCTTTCAGAGAGTTCTTATAATAGTTCTTACCATGGGCATATGTGCCTCAGGCCTTCAGAGAGTCTTGGTAATAGTTCTTATCTCAGACATACAAGCATGAGGACCCCTCCTTCATGACCTGCCAGCTGTGCAGCCTTGGGTCTAATATAAGTGACTCAATTTTGCCATAGGCAGCTTTTATATTTTCCCCTTTTGATCAAGACCTTTCTCTGAAAGCATTGCTGCTAAATCAATCTGCAGTTAGGTTTTAATTGTCCTTCAGTGCTGGAATCGACCTGTCCTGGTTGGTCTGGTCCCACATTGGGAGGGAGGGGTGATAGCTAACAATTCCGAGTCAATGTCAAGATTCTTCTGGTCACATTTGAGCAACAAGGAGGTCTAAAGGAGTGGCTGTCAGGCTAAGTTTTCCTGGAGTTCCCTGGCAAGTTCAATTTTGTCAATTCCATAGGTGTTGAAAGTATTCTTCTGAAGCGCTTGACAACATTACTCTGTTAGGTGTTGTATGTCTGTAGAAATTTGACCAACAACAGGTACAAAGTTTTAAAAGAATAATACAACCACAGTATGATAACTCAAGTTTGTATAATGGTTCTGAACTATGGATCTAGGTTTACAGGCAACCAACTAAACAAATTGAATGGCCATGGAGAACTGGGTGAGACCTATGGTAGTGAGAAATTAGAGGGAACTAGAAGAGTTTGGGATTTGGTTCAGATTGTAAAATAACAAAAACTCAAAAACAATAAACGGGGCTACAATATGGTAATAGGTATACTATAATTTTTCTTTAGAAAAAAAATCACACAAAAAATAGAGACAAGGAAAACAAGGACTATGTCTGGGAGGCTGTTCATCAATAACCAATGGACACCCAAAATCCTATTAACAGCAGTCAAAATTTAAAAAAAATTCTACAAATGTATTTCTTTCTTCTTATTCCAAATTTAGAAAAATAAAGACAAAACTTTAAACAACTTTTTTTCTCTCAACCAGGCATTATGGATAAAGATTCAAGAATGTTGAATTCTTACTTTTTGTTTCCTTTTCTCAGGATCACATTTTTTTTTTTTTTTGTATTTTTAGAGATAGGGTTTCACTATGTTGCTCAGGCTGATCTTGAACTCCTGGCCTCAAGTGATCCTTCTGCTTCAGTCTTCTGAGTAGCTTGGAGAAAGTCTAAAAAGAGTAAGCCAAGTATGAGCCTCTGTAACTGGCTCCCGAATCTCATGTGAGGGCTCTAGAGTGAGTGAAATGTCCCAGCCTTTAGGGTCACAATTAGGTCCAAAAATTAAATTAACATAAGATATATTAACAGGAGAAAAACCCAATATAAATTTTATGTGGCGTGGGAGCCCACATAAGGAAGTAAAGGCCCCAAAGAAGCAGCTAGAGTCAGTTACCAATGTGCTGGATTGGATAAAGAATAGTAAACTCTAAAAATGTGACTAAATAATATAAGGAGGCTTAAAAGTTGTGTCATTCTAATAAGGTGTATATGTGTTCTTTTTGAAGATAAGGATTTTGCCTTTTCTTCCAGTATAGGGAGGCTGACTTTCACATGGGAAGTTTATCTTCTGCTTTTTTAAAAAAAGAGTGAAGGTCAAAGTGATCTTTATGTACCTGCTGTTTTTCAAGTCTCTCTCTCTCTCTTTTTTTTTTTTTTAATAGAGATGGGGTCTCTCCATGTTGCCCTAGCTGTTCTTGAACTCCTGGGTCCAAGTGATCCTCCCACCTTGGCCTCCCAAGTACTAGGATTACAGGCATGAGTCACCACACCTAGCCCTCAAGTGTCTTTAACTGAAATAGTCAATATGCCAGAACAGCATATTTTAACGTCTTAGAAATTTCACATATACAAATCTGAGTTGGTGGCTGTGAAGAGAATTGTGTTAGTACCTGAGAAGTTTTGAAAAAAATAAGATTTCTGCCAGAGAAGAAAAAAGAAGAGGAGGAGTTGTAGGAAGAGAAGAGGAAGTCTTTGGAGAAGAAAGAGACTCAGTCAGCTTTGAGACAGTATTTTGCAGTGAAGTAATGCTTGTGTTCTAAATGCATTTTGAAACCTCAGGATGACAATTAAAAATGTATATCTCATTTGGACTGTTTAACTTTATAGACATAATTTTCTAATATAGCTCTAAGAAAAACAATTTTGAAAAGTTTGAATGATTTTTCATATGGACGTGGAAATTCTGAGTTATTTTTGGTGTAATTTGTTCATTGCTTTAAAAATGTGCACTAAGAAGGGCCGTAATGTTTGAACATATAATCAGTTGGAGTTCCTGAAAGCATCATATGCTTTAGAATTGAAGAATCTCATTTCATTTCTTATTAATCACTCATGTGCCAAAAGAAAATCTTATCAGCTTAATATGCTTATCTTTGCTTTTGAAAGATGTTCAGAAACATGTGAGGAAAGAGAGAAGAAAAGTAAAAGGACAAAATCATTTACAGACCTGCATAAATAACCAAAACTTAAACCAAGTGTACTTACCAGAAAGATAAACCAACCTTATACTAGAAAAGATTTACCAGAAAAGACATAAAAGTCTTTTACAGTCCCAAGAGGGATTTAAGGTCCTTTACTAAAGCAGCCTTATCTAAATCAGATACCAAATAAAGAAAAAAAACCTAATCAAAAGGAGGAAGTTCAAGAATCCAAGAGGAGATTCACTAAGGTGAAAAGGCAACTCAACAGATGCACAGAGCCTAAGAAGTTCAGGTGGATACTGTACACAATTCCAGGGGGTGCCGATTCTTGCAAGGTGAGCTTGCTTGGATCTCACTTCTGACACCACATTATGTTAACCTAAAGTAACAACAGAGAGTGGCTCTCCAAAGAAAAAATTTATTTGGGAATAAGCAGGAGGTTATAATGTGGGATATGCATGCTATCATTGATCATAGGCATATGTGAGGAGGTTAGTTATGCAAGGGAGAAGTTATTAAAGGTAAAAGTTTATGCGAGCTGTCTTAATACAAAGTTTAGAAGAGGATGGAGCAAAATGGCAGAATAGAATCTTACATCATTCATCCCCCTCACAGGAAAAACACATTTATTTTAATTATTTTTCTTTATTTTACTTTAAGTTCTGGGATACATGTGCAGAACATGCAGGTCTGTTACAAAGGTATACATGTGCCATGGTGATTTGCTGCACTTATCAACCTGTCATCTAGGTTTTAAGCCCCACATGCATTAGGTATTCGCCCTAATGCTTTCCCTCCCCTTGCCCCTCCACCTCCCGACAGGTCCCGGGTTGTGATGTTCCTCTCCTTGTGTCCATGTGTTCTCATTGTTCAACTCCCACTTATGAGTGAGAATATGCGGGGTTTGGTTTTCTGTTCCTGTGTTAGTTTGCTTGAATGATGGCTTCCAGCTCCATCTATGTCCCTGCAAAGGACATGATCTCATTCCTTTTTATGGCTGCATAGTATTTCATGATGTATATGTGCCACATTTTTCAAATTCAATAATTGATGGGCATTTGGGTTGGTTCCAAGTCTTTTCTATTGTAAATAGTGCTGCAATAAACATACATGTGCATGTGTCATTATAGTAGAATGATTTATAATTCTTTGGGTATATATCCAGTAATGGCCTCACAATCATGTTGAAAGGCAAAAGAGGAGCAAAGTCACATCTTACATGGTGGCAGGCAAGAGAGCATGTACAGGGGACCTCCCCTTTATAAAACCATCAGATCTCATGAAACTTATTCACTATCATGAGAACAGCATGGGAAAACCCACCCCCATGATCCAGTTACCTCCCACTGCATCCCTCCCATGACACATGGGGATTATGGGAGTTACAATTTAAGATGTGATTTGATTGGGGACACACCTAAACCATATCAAGGTCTGACCCAGTACAGTCCCAGTGATGGGTGGCCACAGAGGGCTTGCATTACCACTCCCTTAGTTTCAGGCAGCTCAGTACACACAGAGATTCTGTTTATTTGGAAGAAAGTAAGGGAAAAGAACAAAAGTCTCTGCCTGGTAATATAGATAAGTATTCTGGATATTATCCAAGACCACTAAGGCAGTACCTCTGCAAGTCTTCATCAACAAGAGTATTACTGGACTTAGGGCCCAAGTTCCTTTGAATACCTGGAAAACTTTCTCAAACAGGATGGGCACAAACATGCCCAGACTGTGAAGACTACAATAAATGCTTAACTCTTCAATGCCCAGACACTGATGAATATTTACAAACATCAAGATATCCAGGAAAACATGACCTCACCAAACTAACTTAATAAGGCACCAAGGACCAATCCTGAAGAAACAGAGATATGTGACCCTTCAGACAGAATTCAAAATAGCTGTTTTCAGGAAACTAAAAGAAATTCAATATGGCACAGAGAAGGAATTCAGAATTTTATCAGATAAATTTAACAAAGAGATTGAAATAATTTTTAAAAATCACATTTTTTAGGAGAAATTCTGGAGCTAAAAAATGCAAATGGTGGCCAGACACGGTGGCTCACGCCTGTAAACCCAGAACTGTGGGAGGCTGAGACGGGCAGATCACCTGAGGTCAGGAGATCGAGACCATCCTGGCCAACATGGTGAAACCCCGTCTCTACCAAAATACAAAAATTAGCTGGGCGTGATGGCACGTGCCTGTAATCCCAGCTACTCAGGAGACTAAGGCAAGAGAATTGCTTGAACCAGGAGTCAGAGGTTGCAGTGAGCCAAGATTATGCCACCGCACTCCAGCCTGGCGACAGAGTAAGGCTCCGTCTAAAAAAAAAAAAAAATCACAAATGGCAGGCTGGGCACAGTGGCTTATGCCTGTAATCCCAGCACTTTGGGAGGCCAAGGCGGGTGGATCACTTGAGGTCAGGAGTTTGAGACCAGTCTGTCCAACATGGCAAAACCCCATCTCTATTAAAAATTACAAAAAATTAGCCAGGCATGATAGCAGGCACCTGTAATCCCAGCTACTTGGGAGGCTGAGGCAGGAGAATTGCTTGAACCCAGGAGGCGGAGGTTGCAGTGAGCTGAGATCATGCCATTGCACTCCAGCCTGGGTGAGAGAGTGAGACTCTGAAAAAAAAATGCAAATGGCATACTGAAGAATCCATCAGAGTCTTTTAATAGCAGAACTGATCAGGCAGAAGAAAGCATTAGTGAGCCTGAAGACAGGCTATTTGAAAATACTGTCAGAGGAGATAGATAAAAGAAAAAAGAATAACAAACAATAAAGCATGCCTACAAGATCTACAAAATAGCCTCAAAAGGGCAAATTTAAGTTGTTGGCCTTAAAGAGAAAGTAGAGAGAGAGAGAAAGGAATAGAAAGCCTATTCAAAGGGATAATAATAGAGAAATCCTAGAGAAAGATGTCGATATCAATATCCATATACAAGAAGGTTATAGAACATTGTATTAGTCTGTTTTCATGCTGCTGATAAAGACATATCCACGACTGGGAAGAAAAAGAAGTTTTATGGACTTACAGTTCCAAGTGGCTGGGGAGGCCTCACAATCATGATGGAAGGTAAGGAGGAGCAAGGAGGAGAAAGTCACGTCTTACATGGATGGTGGCAGGCAAAATAGAGAGCTTGTGCAGGGAAACTCCCATTTTTAAAATCATCAGATCTCATGAGACTCATTCACTATCAAGAGAACAGCACAGGAAAGACCCACCCCCATAATTCAATCACCTCCCACTGGGTTTCTCCAGTGACACGTGGGAATTGTGGGAGTTTCAATTTAAGATGAGATTTTGGTGGGGACACAGCCAAACCATATCAAACACCAAGTATATTCACCCCAAAGAAGACTGCCTCAAGGCATCTAATTATCAAACTTCTAAAGGTCAAAGATAAAGAAAAAAGCAGAAAGAGAAAAGAACAAATAACATACAATGGCGTATCAATATGTCTGGCAGCAGACTTTTCCATGGAAACCTTACAGGCCAAAAGAGAATCACATGACATATTCAAAGTGCTTAAGGAAAAAAAAAAAAACTTACCCTAGAATAGTATATTTACCAAAAATATTTTTCAAACGTGAAGGAGATATAAAGACTTTTCCAGACAAACAAAGCTGAGGGATTTCACCAACACCAGAGCTGTCCTACAAGAAACGCTAAGGGGAGTACTTCAGTCAGAAAGCAAACGACATTAGAAATCCTCTTAAGGTAGGCGGGGCACAGTGGCTCATGCCTGTAATCCCAGCACTTTGGGAGGCCGAGGCTGGTGGATCACGAGGTCAGGAGATCGAGATCATCATGGCTAACACGGTGAAACCCCATCTCTACTAAAAATACAAAAAAAAAAAAAAAAAAAAGCTGGGCATGGTGGTGGGTGCCTGTAGTCCCAGCTACTCAGGAGGCTGAGGCAGGAGAATGGCATGAACCCAGGAAGCGGAGCTTGCAGTGAGCCGGGATCCTGCCACTGCACTCCACCCTGGGCGACAGAGCGAGGCTCCATCAAAAAAAAAAAAAGAAATCCTCTTAAGGTACAAAACTCACTAGGAATAGTAAGCACACAGAAAAATGCAGAACAGTATAACACTAACTGCGGTTGCAAACTGCTTTTAAGTAGAAAAACTAAATCATTAACCAATGAAAAATAGCTACAACAACTTTTCAAGTCATAGACAATACAATAAGACATAAAGAGAAACAACAAAAAGTTAAAAAGTGGGAGTATTAAATTAAAGTGTAGAGTTTGTATTAGTTTTCTTTTTGCATGTTTGTTTGTTTATGCAATAAATGTTAAGTTGTCATCAGTTTAAAATAATGGGTTACCAGATAGTATTTGCAAGCCTAATGGTAACCTCAAATAAAAAAACATACAACATATACACAAAAATAAAAAGCAAAATAAAATTATACCACTAGGGAAAATATTACCTTCACTTAAAGGAAGACAGTAAAGAAGAGAATAACACAAAAAGCAGAAAACAAATAACAAAATGGCATGAGTAAATCCCTGCTTATCAACAGTAACATTGAATGTAAATGGACTAAACTCTCCAATCAAAAGACATAGACTGGCTGAATGAATGAAAAAACAAGACTCAGTAATCTGGTACCTGCAAGAAATACTCTTCACCTATAAAGAGACACATAGACTGAAAATAAAGGGATGGAAAAAGATATTCCATGCCAATGGAAACCAAAAAAGAGCAGGAGTAGCTATATTTATATCAAACAAAATAGATTTTCAGATGAAAACTGTAAGAAGAGACAAAAAATAATTATATAATGATAAAAGGATCAGCCAGCAGCAGGATATAATGACTATAATATATGCATCCAACACTGGAGTACCCAGATATATAAAGCAAATTTTTTTGGAACCAAAGAGAGAGATAGACCTCAATACTCTAATAGCTGGAGACTTCAATACCCCAATTTCAACACTGGGCAAATCTGCCATTCAGAAACTCAATAAAGAAACATTGAATGTAAGCTACACTATAGAACAAATTGACCTAATAGATATTTACAGAATATTTCACCCAGAGACTGCAGAATACACATGATTCTCCTCAGCATATGGATTATTCTCAAGGTTGGGTGATATGTTAGGTCACAAAACATGTCTGAAAACATTCAAAAATTGAAATAATATCAAGCATACTCCCTGAAAACAATGGAATAAAACTACAAATCAATAATAGGAGTTTTTGACACCATACAAACACATGGAAATTAAATAATATGATCCTAAATGACAGGTGGGTCAATGAAGAAATTAAGAAGGAAATTTAAAAATTTCTTGAAACAAATGATAATGGCAACACAACATACCAAAACCTATAGGATACAGCAAAAGCAGTACTAAGGGAAATTTATAGCTCTAAGTGCCTACATCCAAAAAGAAGAAAAATCAGAAAGAATAACTAATGGATGCTGGGCTTAATACCTAGATGATGGGTTGATCTGTGCAGCAAACCACCATGGCACAGGTTTACTCATGTAACAAACCTGCACATCCTGTACATGTACCCCAGAACTTAAAATAAAAGTTGATGAAAAGAAAAAACAATAGGTCTTAAAGAACTAGAAAAGTAAGAGCAAACTGAACCCAAAATTAGAAGAAAAGAATAAAAGATCAGAGCAGAAATAAATGAATTCAAAATGAAGAAAACAACAAGTTGGTTTTTTGAAAAGATAAACAAAATTGACAAACCTTTAGCCAGACTAATAAAGAACAAAAGGGAGAATACCCAAATAAATAAAATCACAGATGAAAAAGGAGACATTACAACTAATAATGCAGAAATTCAAATGAGCATTAGTGGTTATTATGAGCAACTATATGTCGATAAATTGGAAAAATCCAGAGGAAATGGATAAATTCCTATACACATAAAATCTGTCAAGATTAAACCATGAAGAAATCCAAAACCTGAACAAACCAATAACGAATAATAATATTGAAGCTATAATAATGTCTCCCAGCTTCGATCTTGTTACTTGTTATTGGTCTGCTCAGGTTTTGGATTTCTTCATGGCATGGTGGCACACGACTGTAATCCCAGCTACTCGGGAGGCTGAGGTAGAAGAATCGCTTGAACCTGGAAGGGGGAGATGGCAGTGAGCCGAGATTGCACCACTGCATTCCAGCCTGGAAACAGAGCGAGACTTTATCTCAAAAATACAAACACAAACACAAACAAAAACAAAAACAAAAAACCAACCAACCAAACAAGCAAACAAACAAAAGTCTCTCAGTAAAGAAAAGCCCTGGACCTGATGGCTTCACTGCTGAATTCTACCAAGCATTGAGAGAAGTACTAATGCCAATTATACTCAAACTATTCCAAAAAATAGGAGGAGGAAATACTTCCAAACTCATTCTGCAAGGCCAGTATTACCCTGATTTCAAAACCAGACAAAGAAATGTTAAAAAATACAACTACAAGCCAATATCTCTGATGAAAGTTGATGCAAAAATCTTCAACAATATACCAGGAAAAATCTTCCACAATATACCAAATTCAACATTACCTTAAAAAGATTATTCATCATGACCAAGCGGGATTTATCCCAGGAATGTACAAATGGTTCAGCATACACAAATCAATCAATGTGATACATCATACCAATAGAATGAAGGGCAACAACCATATAATCATTTCAATTGATGCTGAAAAAGGATTTGGTAAAATTCAAGATCTCTTTATGATGAAACACTCTCAGAATATTGGGTATAGAAGAAACATACCTCAACATAATAAAAGCCATATATGACAGACCCACACTAATATCAAACTGAATGGGGAATAACTGAAAGTCTTTCCTCTAAGATTTGGAACATGACAAGAATGTCCACGCTCACCACTGTTATTCAGTATAGTGATAAAAGTCATAACTATAGCAATTAGACAAGAGAAAGAAATAAAGGGCACCCAAATTGGAAAAAAAAAAGACATCAAATTATCTTTGTTTCCAGATGATATAATCTTATATTTGGAAAAAACTTAAGAACTGGATCAAAAAACTGCTAGAACTGGTAAATGCAGTAAAGTTTCAGGATACAAAATCAACATATAAAAATCAGTAACATTTCTATACACCAACAATGAACAATATGGAAAAAAGTAATCCCATTTACAATAGCCACAAATAAAATTAAATGTCTAGGAATTAACCAAAGAAGTGAAAGAACTCTACAATGAACCATAAAACACTGATGAGAGAAATTGGAGAGGACACCAGAAAATGGGAAGATATTCCATATTCATGGATTGTAAGAATCAACATTGTTAAAATGCCCATACCATGCAAGGCAATCTAGAGATTCAATGCAATTCCTATCAAAATACCAATAACATTTTTCATGGAAATAGAAAAAACAATCCAAAAATGCAACTGCAAAAGACCCAGAATAGCATCCTGAGCAAAAATAACAAAACTGGAAGAATCACATTACCTGACTTCAAATTATACTACAGAGCTATAGTAACCAAAACAGTGTGATACTGGTATAAAATAGACACATAGACCAATGAGACAGAATAAAAAACCCAGAAACAAATCCACATGCCTACAGTGAATCCATAATTTACAGAGAATTTATTTTCGACAAAGGTGTCAAGAACATACACTGGGGAAAAGGCTGTGTCTTCAGACATTTATACAATGCTGGGAAAACTGTATATGCATATGCAAAAGAATGAAACTGTATATGCATATGCAAAAGAATGAAAGAAAGATATGGTGAAATATCTCTCACCATATTCAAATATCAAATCAAAATTGATTAAAGACTTAAATCTAAGACCTCAAACTATGAAACTACTAAAAGAAAACACTGGGGGGAAACTTCAAGGCTTCAGTCTGGACAAAGATTTCTTGAATAATACCCTATAAGCAGAGACAATCAAAGCAAAAATAGACAAATGGGATCACATCACGTTAAAAAGCTTCTGCACAGAAAAGGAAATGACAAAATGAAGAGACAACCCCCAGAATAAGAGAAAATACTTGCAAACTACCCCTCTGACAAGGGATTAATAACCAGAATATACAGGGAGTTCAAACATCTCTATAGTAAAAACTCTAATAATCTAATTTAAAAATGTGCAAAAGATTTGAATAGACATTTCTCAAAAGAAGAGCTACAGATGGCAAACAGGTATATGAAAAGGTGCTCAACATCATTGATCATCAGAGAAATGTAAATCAAAACTTCAATGAAATATCATCTGGCCCCTGCTTTTATACAAAAGACATGCAAGAACAATTGTTGGTGAGGATATGAAGAAAACAGGGAACCCTCGTACACTGGTGGTGGGAATGTAAGTTAGTACAATCACTATGGAGAACAGTTTGGAGGTTCCTCAAAAAAACAAAAATAGAGCTATGATATGATCCAGCAATCTCACTTCTGACTGTATGCTCAAAAGAAATAAATCAGTATATCAAAGACTCATCTGCACTCCCATGTTTGTTGTAGCACTGTTCACAATAGGCAAGATTTGGAAGCAACCTAAGCGTCAACAGATGAGTGGATAAACAAAATGCCATACTTACACACAATGGAGTACTATTCAACCATAAATAAGAATGAGATCCTGTCATTTGCAACAATATGGATAGAACTGGAGGTCATTGTGTTAAGTGAAATAAGCCAGGCAGAGAAAGACAAACATTACATGTTCTCGCTTATTGGTGGGATCTGAAAATCAAAATAATTGAACTTATGGAGATAGAGAGTAGAAGGATGGCTAACATCCTTCTACTGGAGGCTGGGAAAGGTAGTGGAGTGTGGCAGGGAGGTGGGAGTGGTTAATGGGTACAAAGAAAATAGAAAAAAAAGAACAATACCTAGTATTTGATAGCACAAAGGGTGACTATAGTCAAAATAATTTAATTGTACACTTTAAAATAACTAAA
The DNA here is from genome assembly GCF_000001405.40 of Homo sapiens. Classification (NCBI taxonomy): domain Eukaryota; kingdom Metazoa; phylum Chordata; class Mammalia; order Primates; family Hominidae; genus Homo; species Homo sapiens. Next base: position 110,995,420 of record NC_000001.11, on the reverse strand, counting down.
AGAGTGCAATTGAATTGTTTATAACACAAAGGTAAATGCTTGAGGGAATGGATACCCCATTTTCCTTGATGTGATTATTATGCATTGCATGCCTGTATCAAAATATCTCATGTACTTCATTAATATATACACCTACCATGTAACCACAAAAATTAAAAACTAAAAAAGAGTTACATTAAAGGGAAATAAAAAGAATAAGAAGGCAGAACCAGATGGTTGAGGGCCTTGAATGCTGGCTAAAGATTTTGTTATTTTCTAAGTAATCAGAGACATGGAAGATTTTTGAGTGGAGGAGGTAAACCATCCAAATCAAGTTTTACAAATCCTCCAGCAGTGTTGTGATAAGCAAGAGGTTTCAACAATATGACCATTGCTACCAAGAGAAACAGAGAAAAAGGAAAGGATCTGGGAGATATATCCTTGCAGCTTATTACCCTTTGAAAGACATTATGTTGTCAAGATGTATGAATTTTGGTCCTGGACAGATTTTATCACCTACCAGTTCTGCAGTTCTGGGTCTTAATTTATATTCTCTCTCTCTTTCTCTGTCTCTCTCTCTCTCTGTGTGTGTGTGTGTGTTTGTGTGTGTGTGTGTGTGTGTGTATGTGTGTGTGTGTCCAGGCTAAGGGAAAAGGTTGAACCAGGTAACCTCCAAGGCACCATTCAGTTCTTCAAGTCTTATTGCATTTCTTCTCTTAACTAATTCAATTTTCCTGATTGGTGGTTTGGCCAGTCACTCAGCCAGCTAGTTAAGTATCTTGATTTTAAAGCTGCAATCATAATTGACAATTCAACTTAAGAAAGAGTTAAAGGACAAGCTAAATTTTCACATGTATAAATATATAATTGTTGGTTTAGGCTGTTGAATGTAGACTGGTGGTTCTCTCTTTATGCAGAAAATTTTAGTGGCTTCAACCTGTGATGAATAAAGCCTCACCAGCTTAACTTGATCATTTATTTGATTCTTGCTTCCATGGGCTATGGTAGTGCTCCCTTTAAGAACATCCACGAGTCAAATCTAATTCTTACAAAACTAATAAAATAAAAGAGGATGATGAAAAAAATCAAAGTTTACTAGTTACAGAGGCTCACTGCAGAAGCGAGCAGTTACTTGCTGATGACACTGTTGCTGGGGAGATGTCTTCATAGAAACAATTTATATAGAATTTTTGTGCTGTCAGATAGTTCTTGTAATACTTGTTATCATAGTCATATGTGCAGAAGGACCATCAAAGAGTCTTTGTTATAGTTGTTATCTCACATACAAGCATGAGATCCCCTCCCTTATGATCTGCTGGCTCTACTTTGATTTGGGTTTGATTTAAGTGATTGCGTCTTAGCATCAGCAGCTTTCACAGTTCTAAAGATTTTTTTTTTGAGTCCTCTTTTTGGAGTTTGTTTTCTACATGCAGGATTATGTCACCTGCAAACAGCAATAATTTTACTTCTGTCTTTACTATTTGGATGTCTTTTATTTCCTTTTCTTATCTGATTGCTTATTGTTAAACAGAAAAGGTGAGAGTTGTACACCTTAAATAGATACAATAAAAAGAACCAGAAAAAGCATGAGAGATCATAAAGAACTAAAAGCTGAAACACCTAAAATCACGAGTCTAGGAATTCAAATTATTCTCAGTTTTTTTCCAAAAGATAAAAAAGAAAGGAGCCAATTAGTTACTGAGAGTGTTTAACACAGGCATGAAGCTTTTGTCATCACCCCAGAGATGAGGCTGCTCATCAACATTACTTAAGATCCTGAGATGCATAATTCACTTAAAGATCCTTTTGCTTTCAAGCTTAGATTTTATATATTTTGGAGCCAGAGGTACCCAAAGAGGGTAAAGGGCATCCAAAACACAAGGGCAGGCTTGATAAAGAGACCAATACTTTTGAGGAGGTTATGGAAACCTCAAATAAGGAACCCAAAACTTCTACCACCACTAAGAATTCCAGAGCCCTTTCCTTACTGACTGATTTCAAGGCTTAGAGTCTGGCTCACTCTTCCATGTGGTCATTGCTGCTAAGGATGTCTAGTGGAAAACTATTGAGGAGGCCTGCATGCTCCTCCATGAAATTGGTATGGTTTAATGGGTCTATTATTTCTTCAAATATTCAGAGAAGGAAGACTAAACACATTGCTAATTTTGAAAAAGCCCCTGTTGACATAGACTCCTGAGAGCTGTTCTTGCAGGTGCCCCCATCCAACTGCAGGGTCATGTTGCTTAACCTTGTTCACAGGTCCTATACCATCCTAAGGGCCATGAATGAAATTGGTCTGCTGGCACAATGTGAGGGTTCTGTCCATCCCGACTCACAATTCTGACCTAACAAAGCTTGCCTCCTAGTGCATGGGAACCCCTAGAGTGGACTATTCAGCCCTCCCTTTCTTTTCCAACTCTCAGATTACCCCATTACCTCTGGGTGATCCAGCTCATCCTGTTTATTGGCAATTTAGAGGCCCCTGTGTGCCTCATGAAGAATTACTAGCCAGGCCACACCCAAATTGCAACAACTAAAGAAGATTACGTTAAAAAGTCCTCATCACTTGCCCACAGATCTGGGATCTCTTGAGACCACGCCTCCAAATCCAACTAATTATGCCTCTGGCTAATTCTCAGACCCCTGAAACTGGTAATCACCATGGCCTCTCAAATAGGGATTCAGGCAATCCCTGTGCCTTGTCCCACCACCCGGTGACAATTTCCTCTGTATGACTCTGGTGGTTCATTGGAATTCTACAAGTAGATAACATTTTCTAGCTTTATTAGATACAGCAGCCCACGTTACTGTCATTCTGGGCAAACCATCCAAGTTTAAAGGAGCTACCTCTTTTATACTAGAGGGTATTGCCAGTAAAATCATTTCATGACAAACAGATGCCACTAGATGTCACTATTAGAAAAATCTTTATCAAACAGCTGTTCTTACATAGACGACACAAACAAATGAAAACACATCCCATGCTCATGGATGGATAAAATCAATATTGTGAAAATGACCATACTGCCAAAAGCAATTTACAAATTCAATGCAATCCCCATCAAAATACCACCATCATTCTTCACAGAGTTAGAAAAAACAATTCTAAAATTCATATGGAACCAAAAAGGAGCCTGCATAGCCAAAGCAAGACTAAGCAAAATGAAAACTCTGGGAACATCACACTACCTGATTTCAAACTATATTATAAGGCCATAGTTACCAAAACAGCATGGTACTGGTATAAAAATATGCACATAGACCAATGGAACAGAATAGAGAACCCAGAAATAAACCCGAATATTTACAACCAACTGATCTTCAACAAAGCCACATGTAGGAGAATGAAACTGGATCCTCGTCTCTCACCTTATACAAAAATCAACTCAAGATGGATTAAGGACTTAAACCTAAGACCTGAAACTATAAAAATTCTAGACAATAACACTGGAAAAACCCTTCTCGACATTGGCTTAGGCAAGGATTTCATGACCAAGAAGCCAAAGCAAATGCAATAAAAACAAAGATAAATAGCTAGGACCTAATTAAACTAAAGAGTGTTTGCACGGCAAAAGGAACAGTCAGCAGAGTAAATAGACAACCCACAGAGTGGGAGAAAAATCTTCACAATCTATACATCTGACCAAGGACTAATATCCAGAATCTACAACGAACTCAAACAAATCAGTAAGAAAGAAACAAACAATCCCATCAAAAAGTTGGCTAAGGACATGAATAGAGAGTTCTCAAAAGAAGATATACAAATGGCCAACAAACATTTGAAAAAATGCTCAACATCACTAATGATCAGGGAAATGCAAATCAAAACCACAGTGTGATACCACCTTATTCCTGCAAGAATGACCATAATCAAAATATCAAAAAAGCAGTAGATGTTGGTGTGGACGCAGTGATCAGGGAACACCTGTACCCTGCTGGTGGGAATGTAAACTGGTATAGCCACTATGGGAAACAATGTGGAGAATCTCACAAATCACCACTAAAAAACTTACTCATGTAACCAAATACCACCTGTACCCTGATAACATGGAAAACAACAACAACAACAACAAAAACAAGATTCAGTCATTTGCAACAAGATGGATGGAAATGGAGATCATAATTTTAAGTGAAATAAGCCAGGCACAGAAAGATAAACTTCACATGTTCTCACTTACTTGTGGGAGCTAAAAGTTAAAACAATTGAACTCATGGAAATAGAAGGAGGATAATTACCTTGGAAAAGTAGTGGGGGTTAGGTGAGGGAAGTGGGGATGGTTAATGTGTACAGACAATAAAAAGAATGAATAAGGCATAGTATTTGATAGCAAAACAGAGTGACTATAGTCAGTAATAATTGTACCTTTAAAAATAACTACAATAGTATAATTGGATTGTAACATGAAGGATTAAGTGCTTGAGTCGATGGATATCCCATTTACCTTGAAGTGATTATTATGCATTGCATGTGTGTATCAAAATATGTTATGTGCCCTATAAATATATACACCTACTATATACCCACAAAAATAAAAAATTAAAATAATTATTTCAAGCAACAAATAAATAACAGCCGTCCATTGTGGTGGCTCCTCTTGCTTTGAGTTTTCCTATTATAGGCATAGAAAAGATGCCATTGCATGCTGCCTGTGACACTGGAATAAGCCCAAGTCCCTGGCCCAGTTAGAGCCACAGAGTGAAAACCTGTAGAGCTGGCCCTGTGGGTAAAGGTAGTGAACATACCACAATATCTCTTGAAACAACGTACTGCTGGCCTTTGACCTGGTATTCAAGATTTACTCGAAGAAAAGGTGATTGTTATCACAATTTCTCCTTCCAGTAGTTTTATTTGGCCAGTCTTAAAAGGATTTCACCAATGAAAGGCACTGAACTATTAATTATCGAAATCCCAGTGCTCAAGTTTCCACCATCAAGGCTTCAATACTTAACATAATGAAATTAGTTGAAGATCTCCAATGACCAACTTGTGTGTTGACTGTGTGGATCTGGCCACCATGTTCTATTCAGTACTTATCAATAATCAGTCACAGCCTCCTTTACCATTCAAAGAACCCAACATACATTTCATGGGGGTATTTCTGGATCATATGAGAGTTCTATTTTTAATTTTCTTAGGAACTTGTATACTGTTTTCTACAGTGGCTACACGAATCTACGTTCCTGCTAATGGTGTCCAAGAGTTCCCTTTTTCCCACACCCTTGCCAACAATTGTTATCTCTTGTCTTTTTGACGAAAGCCATCCTAACAGGTGAGAGATGTGATATAGTTAGAATATTTGTTCTCTTAAGATCACATGCAGAAATGTGACCCCCAGTGTTGGAGGTGGGGCCTAGTGGGAGGTGTTTGGATCATGGGGCCAGATCCTGATGAATGGTTTGGTGTCCTCCCTCACAGTAATGAGTGAGCTCTTGTTTTATTAGTTCACATAATATCTGGTTGTTAAAAAGAACTTGCCACCTTGTCCTCTCTCTCTTGCTTTCTCTTTCACCATGTGACACGCTGGCTCCCCTTGCTTTCTGCCTTCAAACTAAAAGGCTCCTGCACAGCAAAAGATACAATCAAGAAAGTGAAAAAGCAACCTATAGACTGATAAATGTTTGCAAACCATTTAACTCTGAAGGGATTAATATCTAAATTATATGAGAAACTGACCTAACACAGTAGCAAAACAATGATTAGCCCAGTTGAAAAATGAGCAAAGAGCAGTGAGTAAATCTTCCGGAGATACTTACCAGAAGCCAAGCAGATGTTGGTGCTATGCTTCTTGTACAACCTGCAGAATTATGAGCCAAATAAACCCCTTTTCTTTACAAATTACCTAGTCTCAGATATTCTGTTATAGCAATGCAAAATGGACCAATATGAAATGATATATCATTGTGGTTTTGATTTGCATTTCCCTGATTAGTGATGTTGAGCATCCTTTTATATATCTGTTGTTATATGTCTTTTTTTAAGAAATGTTTATTCAGATCCTTTGCTCATTTTTTCAGAGCCCAGAATGCTCACCATTACTTGGTGGAACTTCCCTTTGCTCATTTTTAAATTGGGTTATTCATTGTTTCGCTATTGAATTACATCAGTTTCTTATATACTTTAGATTTTAATCCCTTAAGAGTTAACTGGTTTGCAAACATTTGTCAGTCCATAGGTTGCTTTTCCCTTTCTTGATTGTATCCTTTGCTGTGCAGGAGCTTTTAAGTTTGATGCAGTCCCACTTATTTATTTCTGCTTTTGTTGCTTGTGCTTTTGGTATATTGTCCAAAAATCACTGATAAGACCAATGTCAAGAAACTTTCCCATCATGTTTTATTCTAGGAGTTTTGTGATTTTAAGTCTTACACTCAGATCTTTGGTGTATTTTTTAGTTGATTTTTTGCATATGGTGTGATAGGGATTCGATTTTATTCTTTTGCATGTATCCCCAACGCCAGTTTTCCCAACACTGTTTATGGAAGAGACTGTCTTTTCTCCGTGATGTCTTCTTGGTGTCCTTGTTGAAAATAGTTGACCACATAAGCTTGTGTTTATTTCTAGTCTCTATTCTGTTCCATTTGTCTATCTGTCTGCTTTCATGTTAGCACCATACTGCTATGATTACTACAGCTTTCTAGTAGATTTTGAGATAAGGTAGTGTGATGCCTCCAACTTTGTTATTTTTGCTCAGGAATGCGTCAGCTATTTATGGTCTTATATTGCTCCATATGAATTTTAGAATTTTGTTTCCATTTCTGTCAGAAATGTCATTGGAATTTTGATAGAGATTGCATTGAATTTGTAGATCACTTCGGGTAGTGTGGACATTTTAACAATATTCATTCTTCCAACACAAAGTTGATAACAACTTAACTTTGATTGCATTTAAAAATTCCAGTTTTACTCTCACACATTTTATGTTTTTGATGTTACCACTTATATATTTTATATTGTACATCCCTTAAAAATTATTGCAGCTATAGTTATTTTTAAGAGTTTTGTCTTTTAACATCGGCATATAGATGTAAGCGATTTATACACAACCAATACAGTATTAGAGTATTATGAATTTGACTGCATATTTGACTGTAGTTTTGAGTCCTTCATTTACTTATGTTTTATGTTATTGCTTAGCATCCTTTGTTTCAATTCCAATAACTCCCTTAAGCATTTTTTTTTGTAAGACAAATCTAGTGGTAATGAACTCTCTCTGCTTTTGTTTGTCTGTGAATGTGTTTATCTCTCCTTTATTTCTAAAAGACATCTTTTCTGGGTTTAGTACTATTGGTTGGCAGGTTGTTTTTTTTTTCCCCTTCAGCACTTTGAATATATCATCCCACTCCTTCCTGGCTTGCAAAGTTTCTGGTGGGAAATCTTCACTAGCCTTATGGATTTCCCTTCTATATAATGATTACCTTTTTCTCTTGCTGCTTTCAGAATTCTCATTGTCTTTAACTTTTGAAAATTTAATTATAATATGCTTCAGAGTATTCTTCTTTAGGTTGATCCTGCTTGGAGTCTTTTGAGATTCATAAATTTGGATGTCGATATCCCTCACCAAATTTGAAATGTTTTCATACAGTATTTCATTAAATATGCTTTCTTCCCCTTCACTTCCTCTTCTCCTTCTGGGACTTCCATAATTCAAATATCTGCATGTTTGATGGTGTCCTGTAGGTCCTTTGATATTTCTTCACTCTTTCTCATTCTTTTTTTCTTTTTGTTCCTCTAATTGTCTAATTTCAAATGACTTGTGTTTGGTTGGCCTGTTAACAGGGGCTGAAGTGGGTTTAGATCCTGTCTGGCCCCTGGATAGTCTGGGCTGCCTCCAGAGCCTTGGTCCATAGGGCTGGTGCTGAGATGAGGATCCACTTCAGGGGCCACAAACAGTGAACCTGTTACTAAGTGTGAGGATGGGTGTGGCTTTCTCTGGGTTCCTATGAATTATCCTGCTGGGTCACTATGAATTATCCTGCTGGGTCACTGGGTGGATCCCTAGGCAGGCAGTATTGCCTTAATCTGTATCTGAGAGGATCTGGAACTGAGTTTCAGGGCTATTTTAGGGTCTATAGCTGGGACCAATGTCAGCAGGCCTGCCCAGAGGACTCAGGCTGCATGTAGTCCTCTGTGTCCCTGTGCTGCTGGCAGGACTGATCACAGACCACTACTGAGAGGGGCTGAGCTGAGACTCAGAACCATTTCAGGATCTGCTGTAGGCCTGGGGTCAGCAAGCATGTCCTGGCAAATATTTCTTCCTTTGGGTCCCTGTGCTGCTGGCAGGACTCTTCTCTGACCACTGCTGGGAGGGGCTAGAGCCAAGTCTCAGGGCTGTTTCAGCATCCACAACCAGGGTTGAGGCCAGCAAACCTGCCCTAATGACTCAGGTGGACATGTCTCTTCCTGTGTCCCTATTTTTGTGGCAGGATTGAGCCCATAGGCTATCTAAATAGTTCAGCCATTGCTTACAATTTGTACTTCAGGACCCTGACACAGTTCCCCATAAGGCTTCTAATGGCACTACATAGGTGGTTTCCTGATATGAGGGCCCTCTGAGGAGGCAGTCAAAGAGGATTTGCATGCACCATCTCCAAGAACAGGGGCAAGCAATAACTCTACACAAAATCCTAGGTCTGCCAACCTCAGTGAAATTCTTGGGCATAGTCTGGTCTTCCAATGGCCAACAAATTTCTAACACAGTTAAACATTAGCTTTTACAGCTCAGCCCAACCCAGACATTTGCCAGACTCAACATCTGTTAAGTCTCTACATGTTCTGGCAACAACACATTCCACCCCTTTCCATTTTACTTCAGCCTGTTTACACAGTCACTTGCAAGTCTACCACCTTCCATTGGGGGAAGCCCCAGCAATGAGCATTAGAAGACACTCAGCAGGCTGTATAAGGCAGTTGGTTCCCCCAGAAGCCAGTTTTAGATTTGAGATATTGGCCAACCCTGACAATGCTTTCTGGAGCATATGGAATAAGCATGGTCAAAAATGGCTCCTGATGGGATTTTGGATCCAGAGGCTGCCATCAGCTGCTGCCTGATACATGCCAAATATCAAATGCTTACTGATGAGTGATAGAAACCAAGGCTCATTTTGGCCACCAGCAGGTAAAACTCTACACCCAGATCCTTACCTTGTCATGGATGGATAGATTCCTCTCGGAAACAGCTCAGCACAGCTGTGGAAGTTTCCTTGCTTAAATGGAAATGGTACTTCCAGGAGTGGGTTAAACTGGACAAACAGGTCTTTTACAAGTTCTAGGAGGTTGTAGCTTGCCCCATGCTCAGCCTCTTGCCCATGGACCTAGAGACACTGGTACTGGCATCACCACCGCCTCCTCATCTGGAAAATGAGGCGCCCCTTGGGACCAACTGTCTGACATGAAAAAGGAGTCAATATACTTTACTGATGATATTGTCACCATTGTATGCAATGCAGCTTGCTGGAGAACCATGGCCTATCACTTGGTTTTGAGTACCTCTCTAGCCAGGTTCAGTGTCATCAGGTCTGCTCAACTTAGAAGCTGTACACTTGGCCCTACAGAATGCCCTTACTAGGTAGCTTCTTCATAGATCTTCTTCTAGATCTTTACTGATTGCTAACAGCTTTGCATCTGGTAAGGCCAATGGCAGAGAGATGATTTCTTAATACAAGGCTGTCCCTTGTGGGGATCCTAAATTTGTAAGGTATTGTCAACTTGGCCTATTTCTATTTTTGTCACAAGTTTTTGCACAAACTTCACGTGATATTCCAGAGGCACATTTCAACACAGCAGGCTGATTTCTAAGATTAACACACTTTGTCTAGCCACTTCTGTTGCCTCCCTGGATCCCTCCTCATTTCCATACCTGCTGGTAACTTGGCCACATAATCCCTCTGGGCATTGGGGAATGCGTGTGTTTGTTGAATAGGCCCATAGACAAGGCATTCCCCTGCAAGCCTCTCTGACCAAGACAGAGACTGACAACTGCGACATATGCTTCAAGATCAAATATCGGTGTGAAACTCAATGGGGATCTTTTCCACAGAATTTCTATCCCTTTTCCTGGTGTTGTATTGATTACATTGATCCCTTGCCCCCGACTGCAGGTGCTCCCTAGTGTACCCTTACTATGATTGACTCCTTTATGGGGTATGCTGGCCTTCCACTGCCCCTAGCCTAACAAGAACCATTTTCATTTCCTTTGTTGTTCCAGATATCATAGATTCTGACCAAGGGACTCCTTTTCCCTCCCATGCTACCCAGAACCAGACACTAGAACAGGGCATCTTATGGAACTTTCATTTGCCATACCAACCACAACCTCAGGCTTCACTGAATGTAACAATGGCCTGTTGAAAGACATGCTACTAAAATTACTCTTTGGTAAATGGATCTTTAAGTAGGTCTCTTTTCTCCTACAATCCATCATTTATCTCAACTCTTTATCCACAGGATTCTATATCCCTTACACTAATTTTATATAGCCTTCTGCTCTGCTCCTGTTTGCTCACAAGGGCAATCTGGCTCATTTTACTGTCCAGGAGGATTGTACCTGTTACTCTGTCAATGATTTCTCCTCATATAAATTTGACTTTTCAATTGTTCCTCCAACCTCTTTGACTTGGATGCTTAATCAAGGAACAGATTACTAAATATGATCCCTTAACGACTGAAAGCCCATTGAAATGCCCTAGACATTTAATTTGCGCACAAGAGTACTTGGACAACCTGATGCCAGAGACTGAGACCCTGCCTGTGTACTCAGGATATAAAGGGTGCCTGCTTAATCCCCATTACATGCTGAGATAGGAATTGGAAATTATAGATACAGGGTTGAGTAGTGGAAATGTGTGGGTTGCTATTTGTGGAGACAGCAAGTTACATCTGGAGAATGTTAGCCACTTCTGGAAATTACAAACTCCAAAAGTGACCCACAGCCACCACCGTACTAGTTCCCAACTCTCATTACTAGGAGATTTGTACTTAGCTAGGACCTACAGATGTATTTAAGACTCCAAGATTCCCCACTGGTGTTACTACAACTGCCCCAGGTCCAGGGTACAGTCTCTGCCAAATGAATAAAATATTGGTACTCCCTTTGGCTGTGTTTGTTAGTTTGCTTGTACTTAAGTTGGGCACTGGGGATACGGGTCAACCCATAAGGTTTCAACCTGACCTGTAGAATGTGCAACAGCCCCACAGAGCCCCTTCAGTAGTGTACCACAAATTGGGGAAATTGGACCTGCCTGGAGGTTATCCTGAGCTCCATGAGAGCAGCCTATCTTTGAGCCTGGCTCATGACTGAATCCCTCCCAAGCTGGCAGACTTCCATTATGAATAGCTCAAATGATATTGGTGTTTAAACAATTTTGAGCAGTAGTATATGCTAGTGGACATTCTCTTGAGCATGGCCTCTGTAGATTGACTGAATTCATGTCTGTGGATTAAACCCTGGCTGTTAACTCTTTGCTCCATGGTACCTGAGATCTCTACGGGAAGGTATGCCCCAGAATGTAGAATCATACATAGGGTCTCTCTGAACACAGCCTATCAGTGCTCCCAGAATATACATCCTTTATGGATAGACTAGGAAGGGCAGTCCCAGACCAAAGTGGCTAGGGCATTTGCCCGTTGTGTCACTGATGACCCAGCAGACTTGAAAGAAATCTGTGTCTCCCATGCACACGTATGTTTATTGCGGCACTATTCACAATAGCAAAGACTTGGAACCAACCCAAATGTGCATCAGTGATAGACTAGATTAAGAAAATGTGGCACATATACACCATGGAATACTGTGCAGCCATAAGAAAAGTGTGACTTCATGTCCTTTGTAGGGACATGGATGAAACTGGAAGCCATCATTCTGAGCAAACTATCGCAAGGACAGAAAACCAAACACCACATGTTCTCACTCATAGGTGGGAATTGAACAATGAGAACACTTGGACACAGGGTGGGGAACATCACATACTGGGGCCTGTCGTGGGGTGGGGGGAGGGGGAGGGATAGCATTAGGAGATATACCTAATGTAAATGACGAGTTAATGGGTGCAGCACACCAACATGGCACATGTATACATATGTAACAAACCTGCACGTTGTGCGCACGTACCCTAGAACTTAAAGTATAACAATAATAATAATAATAAAAAGAAATCTGTGTCTCCAGCAGCTGCAGAGTCATCTGTGAATCTATTTTGGGCAAGGCCTTCCCATGTTACCATAATTCTTAGCCCTTAGAGGCTCCCTCTTATCCCCTATGGATTGCTACATGGTAGGGACACCCTTTTCCTGGATTGCTCCTGACATCAACCCAATCCAAGAGGTCATTGATAGATATGACATCATCTCAGACAACGTGATCCCAGCTGAAGTGTTTGCCAGTGGAATTGATTTCACCTCAGACAACTGCTTCTACTCCAGACTTGGACTGTTTTAGACACTTGCCCTTTAAACAACTCCCACACTCAGTGCTCACTCTTGATTCCCCTGCTACCCATGGCTGATCCAAATATACTGCAACCTTATATTGCCCCATATGAATATGAACCCTGGGAAGACTATTTCCTTGAGATTGTTACTTGTTTGACCCTGGATCCTGCCCTGCTGACACCTGCCTGTGAAACTATGAGTTCAAAGCCCTACTATTGCAAAGCAGCCCTAGAGTGCATTAAGCCTCTGTGGGATGCAAAGCATTTCCTCTTGAATGCCACTCAGGGTAGAATTCCTCCTAGTATGTCTTCTGTGTCATGCCTAGCCACTTACCCTCCAGATTTTCTATTCCTATGTGCACTTCTAATGATTTCCTGCGATTTCTGTTTGCCTGCAACACCAACCATGGCAGAAACACCCATGCACCCCAGCACTTTTGAGGCTGGTGCCCAGGAACCTATACCCACAGATACCACACCCATAAATACCTCTACTTCCTGTCTTCCTCACACTTATGTCACAACCGCTACACCAACCTGGTACAGACCAAGATCTCCAACACATATGTACAGGCTGCCAAAGGTTCAGCTATGGCCATAACCCTTCACAACTGTTGAGCCTACCACTAAGTCGCAGTGGGCATGGGCCTACCTTAATGACCTTCCTGCTGACACCACCTTAGGCAAAGTTCTATCATGGCTTCCAATAAAACTCTTAAATTTCCCATTTGCTTCAATATACCAGCTACCTTCATTTCTAGCTATACTCACCAGGGACAGCTGCACATTATAGTCAAGTTACCCCCTTAGGCTTACCACTTGTGCCCAGGAGCCCACTACACTTGGCCCATTCTCCACATTGGGGCCTTCAACCTCCTTATAATATCTTCATGGGTACATTATACTCTAAATAATGGCACTTTCAGGTTCTACTGTGGCCCAAACTCATAGGCATAGCACCTTATATATTTTCCTTGCTTAATCCCCCATATTTTCCCCAATAAAACCATACCCCCATGTTCAGTGGTTACACTGAGGATTCTCCTAGTTCTTTACCAACCAGCTAACTGCTCATTTCCATCAACCCCAAAACACTAGGCAAAATAGGTAATATTTATTCCCATCTTAATAGGGCTTACCATAGCCACGGGAGCTGCCAGTATTGGCACCAGAACAGCAGCTTTTGCATACAAAATAAAATCATAGCTGGCAACCAGTACCTTTCAGATCATAGGCCCTTTCAGATCATATTCAAAGGCTACACGAAACGTTGTCCTTTACACAACAAGCCTATTTGTCTCTAGCCCAAGTGATAATGGATAACACACTGCTCTTGACTACTCAGTAGCCAGGGAGGGAGGGGTTTGTGCCATGCAAGGCACCTCCTGCCATATATACATGAATAACTCCGGACAGGTACAGGCTATGAGGAATAGGTTAAGAAGTAAGGAACTTTTATAATATAACCAAAATCTACCAATGTATTTCCTTAAATCCACAGGGGTCTGACCTGTTCTCTTGGCTTTCTCACACAAGGCTACATGCCTGGTTGTGAATTGAGTTCAACCACTTGCCATATGGCTAATAGAACTTTTCCTAGTTGCCACCTGCATCAAAGTTTGCCTTCAGTGGCTAACTAGTCACCTTTAACCTCTCCACAATCCAGGTGGCAAGTATTCTTCCTCCCAATTAGTATTGTTAATGATGTTGAGGCACCACAGGGTTGAAAGTATTGTAAATTTTAAAACTTTATATTTTCTTGCTGCCTCAACATCCCCACAAACAGGCTATGAGCACCACACCCAAGTAACCAGGTGTACCAGTGTGATAAGGTTGGCTTCTGCCGTAAGTTTCCTTTCTTGCCCTCCCTGACTGTGATCTACCAACTTTCAAATGCACAAATGAAATCCTTTTGTGCCTCTTGCTTGTTTACTCCACCATGGCCCTTAATAAAGGCACTTATGCGTGGGTCTTCTCTCTTATTTGGCTCCCTCTTGCATGGTTGAGCCCACTCCCTTGGCACTCTTCCTATGTGAACCCCTCTTGACAGGCAGTTACTCTTTAGGGTCCACGATGTAATAAACTTTGTTTTCCTGAGCCTCTCCTTTTCCCCCATCTTGTGGCCATACCTGACCAATCATGACCTAAGAGTACACAGAACAGAAAACAAAAAGGCAATCTACTGAATGGGAGAAATATTTGCAAATTATATTACTGATAAGGGATTCATATCCAGAATATATAAAGAACTCCTACAACTTAACATTTTTTAAGAAACCAGTTCAAAAATGGGCAAATGAATTGAATGGACATTTCTCCAGAGAAGATATACAAATAATCAATAAGCTCATGAAAAGATGCTCAATATTATTAGTCATTAGGAAAATGCCAATCAAAACCTCTTCACCCACTAGAATGACTACAATTTTAAAAAATAGAAAAATGTCAAGTGTTGACAAACATGTGGAGGAACTTGAACACCCATACATTTTTTGCTGAGAATGTAAAATGATGCAGCCACTGCTGAAATAAGTTAGCAGTTCCTCAAAAAGTTAAACCAAAAATTACCATGTGACTCAGTAATTTCAGAGAATTAAAAACAGGTGTTCAAACAAAAAATTGTACATAAATGTTTATAGCAGCACTATTCACAACGGCCAATACGTGGAAATAATGCAAATGGCCATCAAAAGATGAATGCATGAAGGGAGTGTGGTATATCCATTCAATGGAATATTATTCAACTATAAAAATGAAGTATTGATACATGCTACAACAGATATGTGCCTAGAAAATATTATGCTAAGTAACAGGAGCCAAACACAGATGGTAACATATTAAGATTTCATTTATATGGAATACCCAGATTAGGTAAATCTGTAGAGAGCAAAAGCAGATTAGTGGTTTCCAGGAGCTTAGGAGAGGGGGAAATGGAAGCTGACTTCTAATAGACATAACATATCTTCTGAGATAATAAAAATGCTTTGCAGGCCAGGCACGGTGTTTCATGCCTGTAATCCCAGCACTTTGGGAGGCCGAGGCAGGTGGATCACTTGAGGTCAGGAGTTTGAGACCAGCCGGGCCAACATAGAGATATCCTGTCTCTACTAAAAATGCAAAAATTTAGCCGGGTGTGGTGGCGGGCACCTGTAATCCCAACTACTCAGGAGGCTGAGGCAGGAGAATCTCTTGAACCCGGGAGGCAGAGGTTGCAGTGAGCTGGCATCGTGCCATTGCACTCCAGCCCCAGCGACAGTGCAAGACTCCATCTCAAAAAAAAAAAATGTTTTGCACAACATTGTGAATAAATACATACATACAAGTATGGTATGGTGACTCATTCCTGTTATCCTAGCACTTCGGAAGGCCAAGGAAGGAATATCACTTAAGGCCAGGAGTTTGAGACTAGCCTGGGCAACATGGTGAAAACCTATCTATATAAAAAATAAAAATAATTATTCAGGCATGGTGACACACATCTGTAGTCCTAGCTACTCATAAGGCTTAGGCAGGAGGATTGCTTGAGCCCAGAAGTTGGAGGTTACAAGGTTATAGTGAGGTATAATCATATCACTGTACTCCAGCCTGGACAACAGAATGAGATCTTGTCTCATTCTCCTATTGGGTCTATTTCTTTGGAGAACCCTGATTAATACAAGCAAACTGACGTCATTGATTTGATACTTTTTTCCTTTTTCTAATATAGAAATTTACGGTCATAAGTTTTCCTTTAAATACAGCTTGAGAGGTATTCTATAATGTTTTTAATCAATAGGCTTTATTTCTTAGCAGCATTAGATAAATGGAAAAAACTGAGCTAAAAGTACAGAGTTCCCATATACCCTTTATTACTCACTTTTAATTCCCTATTAACATCTTGCATTATTGTGGTATATTTGTTAGAGTTGATGAGCCAATAATACATTATTATTAACTAAAGTCCATAGTTTACATTAGGATTCACTCATGGTGTTGTACATTCTATAGATTTTGACAAATGTATGATGACATGTATCCAGCATTATAGAATCACAGAATAATTATTTCACTGCCTTAGAAATTGGTGCCGTACTTAAATTCCCCTCTCTTCTCCCTAGCCCCAGCAACCACTGATCTTTACACTGTCTCCAGGGTTTTACCTTTCCCAGAAAGTCATTTACAGGCATACCTCATTTTATTGTGCTTCATTTTATTGCATTTTGCAGATACCTGCATTTTTATTTACAAATTGCAGGTTTGTGGCAACACTGCATCAAGCAAGTCTATCAGTGCGATTTTTCCAAAAACATGTGCTCCACCAAAAAACTGTTAGATTTGATAAATGAATTGGGTAAAGTTGCAGGATACAAAGTCAGTGTACAAAATCAGTGGTGTTTCTATGCACCAATAACTAGCTGAGAATAAAATCAGGAAATCAATCCCATTTACAATAGCTATAAAAAAATAAAATGAAATATCTAGGAATAAGTTTAACCAGGGAGGTGAAAGATTGCCATAAGAAAAGCTACAAAACACTAACAAAATAAATTGTTGATAACACAAATAAATAGAAAAACATGCTCGTGGATGAGAAGAATTAATATAATTAAAATGACCATACTGCCAAAAGCAATCTATAGATTCAATGCACTATCAAAATATCACTGTCATTTTTCAAAGAATTTGAAAAAACAATCCTAAAATTCATTTGGAACCAAAAAACAGCCTGATTATCCAAACCAATTCTAACCAAAAGGAAAAAAGCTGGAGGTATCACATTACTTGACTTCAAATTGTATTCCAAGGCTATCATAACCCAAACGGCATGGTACTGGTATAAAAATAGACACCTAGATCAATGTGTCAGATTAGAACAGAATAGAGAACTCAGAAATAATGCCACATATTTACAGCCAACTGATCTTTCACAAAGATCAGTTAGGGCTTCAGCATATGAATTTTGGCAGAATACAATTCAGCCTATAGAAGTAATTCAGGGAACAGAGAAAAGCAGATAAAATCTAGATCCTATCCAAGGTAGCAATCTAAAAGGAGGCTCCTCCCCTATATAACGCTAGGATCTCAAAGTGGTAAATACTCAGTGTAAATAACTCAGGGATCTATGTGAAGGGTTTGGCAAGAGATATTGCTTGTCTTACCTTTGTCACTAGTGAAGGGAAACTTAAAGTTACCTATGTGGTTCTAAAAAAATCAAGTGTGTCATTTAAAGTACTCTGACATGGGCATCTTCCTCCAAAGACTAGCAAAAGAAAATGCAAATAGCCAAAAGCTAGAAAGAACACAAATGTCCATCATTATTAGGAAGAATAAATAACTTATGGCCTTATATAATGGAATATTACATATCAAAGAAAAAATAAACTGCTGCTACATGTAACAACATAGACAAATATCACAGACATAATGTTGAGCAAAAGAAGCCATGATATGCTATAAATTTTTTTCTATATAAAAGCCAACTACTTTTATAGGTCCTAATCTTATCTTACTGGTGTCCTTATAAGAAAAGGCAAAGCTAACTCATGTAATAGTGGTGCGAATAGTGCTTTTCCTTACTGGTGGAGTGCTGAGTGGCAACATACAGCATGGAGCCTTTTGCAGGCTCCAAAAAATGTTCTACATGGGCCGGGCAGGCACAGTGGCTCACACCTGTAATCCCAACACTTTGGGAGGCCGAGGTGGGCAGATCTCTTAAGGTCAGGAGTTCAAGACCAGCCTGACCAACATAGCGAAACCCCATCTCTACTAAAACTACAAAAATTAGCCGGCTGTGGTGGCGCATGCCTGTAATCCCAGCTATTCAGGAGGCTGAAGCAGGAGAACCACTTGAACCCAGGAGGCAGAGGTTGTAGTGAGCCGAGATCATGTGACTGCAATCCAGCCTGGGCAACAAAGTGAAACTTCATCTCAAAAAAAAGAAAAAAAAGAAAATATTCTACATGGATGTGTTCATAAGTGAAAAATTTGCTGAGCTGTGTACCTAAGATTTCTCTAGTTTATTGTATGTAAATAATACTTTAATTTTTAAAATCTTATTTTTAAAAGAAAATGCAAATTATCTATGGAGCAATGAAAGGCTAGACTTTTAATTTTTATAAATCTATAATGAAAAACTTATAAAAAGACTAGAAAATTAACATAAATTTCCAAAAACCTCATCTTGCATTCAGAAATTATAATCAGAAATGATGCATAATAAGCTTCTTAAGGATATTAGATACTGAAATAATCAGAATCAAACTATAAAAAATATATTTACTGAATATATTGGAATATTGGAATATATAAAGTTGGAAAACAAGCATGTACCAAAAACTACAGACAATTAACAGAATCAAAAAGGAACTAAATATCCTAGAAAGGAAAATTATAAATATTGAGATTACAGAATCAATGTTTTCTTGAGAAAACTTTTAGTTCTGAATAGGATGGAATAGCTTATATTTTAGTAACCCTTTTACATATACACATACAAACATATACATATACATGTGTGTCTGTGTGTGTGTGTGCATGGGAACAGTCTGTATAATACAATGGTTTAAGGCATTGAGGAGTAATCGATAATGTTAGGAGTTGAGGAACCATGATCCTTGAGAAAAGGAAAGCATAAGAGAAAAGATTCATATTTATCCTAACCTATTTTCTGAAAAATTTTTTTAACATGAGGACTATAGTCAAAGTATACAGCATAGTCATATTGGAATGCGGAAGCAGAGATCAGAATTCAGGGATGCCAAGTGGCTGGGACTTAAGCAAATTCCCAAAGGGAAATAAATCATAGAGGAAGAAGCCGGCTACAAATTCACATCAAATCACTGGCCAAATTCTGAGCTTCACATTAAGGGGCAGGAATCCAATAAATCCAGCAGAAAACAGCAGCTAGGAGGCTAACAAACTGTACAGAAGTTTCAGCAATTATGTTGTACTGATGAGACAGAGATTGGAGTTCAAAATTTGCCAAGGTCAAGGGGTTTTGGTAAAAACTGGGTTTTCAATTGAGATCCCAGAATGATCACACTCTAGAAATATGGACCACTCTCTATAAATAATAATAAATTGAAATGGAGTAGTCATAACAAAGTCTCAAATCAACCCTCTGCAGGATTGATATGGTCATTAGTACTTAGAACTTAATTCTTTAAAGTTTTCATGGACAATGTTTAGCACCCAATACAAATTGTGAGACATCTTATACAACATAAGCAAAAAGACAAAAACAAAGAGTAAAATCGACAATAAAAACAGACTCAGAAAAGATTTGGCATTAACAGATATTTTAAATTATGATTAATTGACACAAATAAAGATTTAAAATGGAAAACTTGATCAGAGATATGAAATATAAAAAAAGAGTCAAATGAAAGTCCTAAAATGAAAAACGACTATAATTAAAATAAGAAGTTTAATAGATTAGTAAATAGTTCATTAGATATGATTTTTCAGATGATTAGTGAACTGGGAAATATAAAAGAATCAAGAACATAAAAGGAGATATAAAATATTGAATAAAACATAAGAGACACATGGGACATTGATAAAAGGTCTAACATATGGGTAATTGGAGTCAAGATAGAAGTGAGAGAGTAAGAAAAAGATACAGTATTTGAAGAAATACTGGTGAATAATTTTTGAAAATTGAAAAGAAATTGCTTAAGAAATAAGTGTAAAAACTCTTTGAGGCATTTTTACCAAAGAAGAGTAAATATTTAACTAAACTATGGAATTATATCCTAGAACTGTCATATTAATTTTTTTTTTTTTTTTTTTTTTGAGACAGTCTCACTCTGTCGCCCAGGCTGGAGTGCAGTGGCGCGATCTCGGCTCACTGCAAGCTCCGCCTCTCAGGTTCACGCCATTCTCCTGCCTCAGCCTCCCGAGTAGCTGGGACTACAGGCGCCCACAACCACCCCCGGCTAATTTTTTGTATTTTTAGTAGAGATGGGGTTTCACCGTGTTAGCCAGGATGGTCTCGATCTCCTGACCTCGTGATCCACCCGCCTCAGCCTCCCAAAGTGCTGGGATTGCAGGCATGAGCCACCGCGCCTGGCCAGTTTTTTTTAAGTTTACAAAATGCAGATTCAAAATTCCCTATAAACACCGAACAAGATAAATACAAACAGAACCACATCAGGGACTAAGCTTAAAGCTCAGTTATTATTTCTTCTGTAAGATGTAATCTTCCATTAATTTAATAAAGTGTATTTTTCTTTTTTTAACTGCTGTGCAGGAAAGTATTTTATTTAAAAATGAACTGAAAGTGGCTGTCAATATTCATATATAGGTACTGTGAACACAATCAGAAAATTAGAATCAAAACATTTTGGTGATAAAAGCTTCTTCCCAAATCAAGCATGAGGCAAAAGAAAAATGTGAGACTTCATAAAACAGTAAAAATACTTTAGAAATTCAAAGCTCATAGCAGAAGTGGACATAAAAACAAATATGGCTGGGTGCAGTGGCTCACACCTGTAATCCCAGCACTTTGGAAGCCCGAGGCAGGTGGATCACCTGAGGTCAGGAGTTCAAGACCAGCCTGGCCAACATGGTGAAACCCCATCTCTACTAAAAATAAAAAAAATTAGTTGGGTGTGGTGGCACATGCCTGTCATTACAGCTACTTGGAAGGATGAGGCAGGAGAATCCCTTGAACCCAGGAGTTGGAGGTTGCAGTGAGCAGAGATCGTGCCATTGCACTCCAGCCTGGGCAACAAGAGTGAAACTCTGTCTCAAAAACAAACAAACAAAAAACTGTAAAATAAAATAGGAGTTGGCTGAATTCAATAAAGTAAATGACATCAAAATCATCATAGAAATGAGGTAAAGTGTATTTTCCTATTTTATCACTATAGCTTTCCTCTTTGGAAATTTTATTTGAATTTTAAAAATATCTTCTATATGTTTACTTAACTTTTTGAACATATACAGTTGTAATATTTGTATTAATATCCCTATTTGCTAATTCCAATATCTGGGTCAGTTTTGATTATTTCCATTGTGGATATTGTATTGCCTCTGTATGCCTGGTAATCTTTGATTAGGCTCTAACATTGTAAATATTACCTTGTTGGATGCTGGCTATTTTTGTATTGCTATACATTCTCTTGAGTTTTGTTTTGAGATACAGTTATTTTATCTGGAAGAAGTTTGATACTTTCAGGTCTTGTTTTTGTGATTTGTTAGGTACATCTGGAGTGTAGCAGTACTCTATTCCACACACATGAAATATGAATTTTGCCAGTCCGTAGTGGAAAGATGCACTGTTTCCAGCCCTGTGTGTTAGGTACTATTCCTTCTTATCCTTTTTGATAGTTCATTCCCCAGCATTGAGTTTCATTACAGACAAATGCTTGTCAGTACTCTACTGAATATTCAACATGAACTGTGCTGGTTAATTTATGTATCAATTTCTCTTGGCTAAGGGATGCTCAGATAGCTGGGAACACATTATTACTGTGTGTGCCTGTAAGGGTGTCTCTGGAGTAGATTAGCATTTGAACCAGTAGTCTAAATAAAAAGATCTACCCTCACCAATGTGGGCAGGCACCATCCCATCAGTTGAGGGTCTGAATAGAACAAAAATGTGGAAGAAGGATGCATTCCCTCTTTTCTTGAGATAGGTTCATCCACTTCTGCCATCAGACATGAGCACTCCTGGTTTTCAAGCCCTGTGACTTTGAGACTTACACCTGCACTCTCCTTCCCACTCCCGAGTTCTTAGGCCTTGGAGTCAAACTGAGAGTTATGCCATTGGCTCCTCTGGCTCTCCAGTCCTTAGATCCAGACTTAACTACACCACTGGCTTTCCTGGTTATCCAACTTCCAAATGGCAGATGGTGGAACTTCTTGACCATTATAATCACATGAAACAATTTCCATAATAAATCTCTTCTTCCCTCTGTCTCTCTCTTCACACCACCAATTCACCACCACCACACACACACATATATCTCCTTCCATGCAGTTATCGCCTCTCTTTTATAGTCTGTCCTATCAACTTTGCCTTGGTTTCCCAGGACTCAGCTCCATTTCTCAACACAGCTAGTCTGACAGGCTCTGCCTCAGTTCCTCTTCCTTCAGCTGTAGGCTGAAAATCTCTCAAGATGGTAAGCTGAGGCAATGGTAACGCTTACCTCATTTTTTCCCATATTTCAAAATCACTGTCTTTCATTGCCTGATTCCAGTATCTTAAAAGGTACTGTTTCACACATTTTTGTTTTGTTGCTGTTGTTTTTGCTACAGATGTTGCTTCAAGTAGGAGAGTAAATCCAGCCCCTGTTGCTCATCTCACCCAAAGTGGCTTTACAAAGGTTTTTAAATTATCTTTGTAGGTAGTTCTGATATAACATGACATATACATTCCTAACATCACCACATTATGCAGAATCATACAATAAAAACCCCAGGGTTCATGGGAAACTGAAGTTAGGGAAACAATATAAAATACTGATACATTAAACAAAAATACAGCAACTGCCAAAAAAATGGAAGTACAGTTTTTAACATGTTAAGTGGTTAGTAAGTACATAAATAATATGTGGACAGGATACTTTACATTGTAAAAGACCTTGAATTTGCTTTTGGAAGTGTATGCCTATACTCTTGCCACTGCACCCAGCTCCCACACCTACCACCCAGCCTGTGTAAGGAAGAGAACAAAAGAGAGATAGAAAAGGTGAAAGAAATAAGAGATAAAATGGAAGAACATGGAGGCAAATACAAATAAGCAAAGAGGAAAGAGGGGAAAATTAAAGGGAGAGGATACAGAGGACTGAGTAGCCAAGGTGACAATTTGAAGAGCTGCAGCTTGTGAGTTATTAAGTAGTAGGAGGGGGGTTAACTGAATTAAGGTGAAAAGTTGAAACGCCTTATGTGGATGGGTGTGGCTCATTGTCCTTTTGAAATGTGTGGGAGTTTTTTTTTTTTTAATTTAAGTTTTAAGTTAAAGGGTACATGTGCAGGTTTGTTATATAGGTAAATTTGTGTCACAGGAATTTGTTGTACAGATTATTTCATCGCCCAAGTAGTAATCCCAGTCTCCATTAGTTAGTTTTCCTGATGCTGTCCCTCCTCACTCCCCCACAACCCTACAATAGGCCTCGTGTCTGTTGTTCTCTATGGGGCCATGTGTTCTCATCATAACTCCCACTTAAAAGTGGGAATATTTGGTATTTGGTTTTCCGTTCCTGTGTTAGATTGCTAAGGATAATGGCCTCCAGCCCCATCTATGTTGCTGCAAAGGACACGATTTCACTCTTTTTTATGGCTGCATAGTATTCTATGGTGTATATGTACCACATTTTCTTTAACCAGTCTACCATTGATGGGCATTTAGGTTGATTCCATGTCTTTGCTATTGTGAATAGTGTTGCAGTGAATATCCGTGTGCATGTGTCTTTATGGTGGAATGATTTATATTCCTCTGGGTACATACCCAGTAATGGGATTGCTGGGTCAAACGGTAGCTCTGGTTTTGGGTCTTTGAGGAATCACCACACTATTTTCCACACTGGTTGACTTAATTTACACTCCCACCACAGTGTGTAAGTGTTTCTTCTTCTCCACATCTTCACCAGCATCTGTTATTTTTTGACTTTTTATAGCCATTCTTACTGGTGCAAAATGGTATGTCATAGTGGTTTTGATTTGCATTTCTCTACTGCTTAGTGATGTTGAGCTTTTTTTCATATGCTTGTTTGACACATGTATGTCTTCTTTTGAAGAGTGTCTGTTCATGTCCTCTGCCAACTTTTCAATGGGCTTGTTTGTTTTTCTCTTGTAAATGTGTGTAAGTTCCCTATAATGTTGGATATTAGACCTTTGTCAGCTGCATAGTTTGGAAATATTATCTCCTATTCTGTAGATTGTCTAGTTACTCTGCTGATAGTTCTTTTGCTGTGCAGAAGCTCGAAAGTTTAGTTATATCCCATTTGTCAATGTTTGCTTTCGTTGCAATTGCTTTTTGTGTCTTTGCCCATTCCTATGTCCTGGATGGTATTGCCTAGGTTGTCTTCCAGGATTTTTATAGTTTTGAGTTTTACATTTAAGTCCTTAATCCATCTTGCATTGATTTCTGTATATGGTGTAAGGAAGGCACCTAACTTCAATCTTCTGCATATGGCTAGCCGGTTATCCCAGCACCATTTATTAATAAGGGAGTTTTTTCCCCATTGCTTGTGTTAGCTTTGTTGAAGGTCAGATAACTGTAGTGTGCAGCCTTATTTCAGGACTGTCTGTTCTGTCCCATTGATATATGTGTCTGTTTTTATACCAACACCATGCTGTTTTGGTGACTGTAGCCTTTACCATAGTTTGAAGTCTGTTAGTGTGATACCCCCAGCTTTGTTCTTTTTGCTTAGGCTTGCCTTGGCTATTCAGGCTCTTTTTTGGTGTCATATGAATTTTTAAATAGTTTTTTCTAGTTCCTTGAAGAACATCATTGGTAGTTTAATAGGAATATCCTTGAATCTATAAATTTCTTTGAGCAGTATGGCCATTTTAACTATATTGATTCTTCCTATCCATGAGTATGGAATGCTTTTCCATTTGTTTTTGTCAGCTCTGATTTCTTTGAGCAGTGTTTTGTAGTTCCTCTTGTAGAGATCTTTCACTTCTCTGGTTAGCTGTATTCCTAGATACTTTTTTCTTTTTGTGGCAATTGTGAATGGGATTGCATTCCTAATTTGGCTCTCTGCATCACTGCTGTTGGTGTATAGAAATGCTAATGATTTCTGTACATTAATTTTGTATCCTAAGACTTTGCTGAAGTTGTTTATCAGCTGAAGGAGCTTTTGGGCTGAGGCTATGGGGTTTTCTAGATATAGCATTGTGCCATTGGCTGACAGGGATAGTTTGACTTCCTCTCTTCCTATTTGGATGTACTTTCTTTCTTTCTCCTGCATGACTGCACTGGCCAGGATTTCCAATACTATGTTGAACAGGAGTGGTGAGAGAAGGTATCCTTGTTTTGTGCTGGTTTTCATAGGGAATGCTTCCAGTTTTTGCCCAAATAGTATGATGTTGACTCTGGGTTTGTCATATGTAGCTCTTATTATTTTGAGGTATGTTCCTTCAATACCTTGTTTGTTGAGGGTTTTTAATATAAAGGGGTATTGAATTTTATTGAAAGTCTTCTCTGTATCTATTGAGATAATCATGTTTTTGTCTTTAGTTGTGTTTATGTGATGAATCACATTTATTGATTTGCATATGTTGAACCAACCTTGCATCCCAGGAATAAAGCCTACTTGATCATGGTGGTTAGGCTTTTCGACATGCTGCTGGATTTGATTTGCCAGTATTTTTTTTTGAGGATTTTTGCATTGATGTTCATCAAGGATATTGGCCTAATGTCTTCTTTTTTGTTGTGTCTCTGCCACAACAAAAAAGACACTGGAAAAAACACAACACATGTTCATTTACTTTTGCATGACTCGTAATTTTATCTTTTTTCAATTGTTCCTTAATAGCTTAAAGTTTCATTGTATTCTTGCATCAAATATTCTATTATCTATTAAGATATCTAATGCCAATTTGATTTTTTAAAATGCTTACTCCTTGTGATAGGTCAAGTTTAAGACGGCTCCCAATTATTCCTACCTCCTGGTATTCACACTCTTATGTAATCATTACCTTTTAAGTGTAGGCTGGCCTAGTGACTTTCTTGTAACCAACAGAATACATCAAAGGTGATAGGATGTCACTTCCATACTTAAGCTACATTAAGATTATGACCTTCATCTTACTACTAGACTCTCTTCTTTGTGAGCTTTGATAAAGCTGCCAAATTGGAGAGGATGTGAGAACTACAACACTCTTGGCCAGAAAAACTGTGTCCAAACCTCTGCACTAAAAGGCATCCAAACTCTAGCATTGCTTTTAAGAGATAAGGCCATGTCCTTAAGTTTACTTCAGCCTCCCATTAAAATGCCTGCCTGACAAAGCTCAGTGCTGCTACAAGAATTTACTGTTTGCTCTAGCCAACACCTGATGATAAGTTCTTTCTTAGAACATTTACTAAAAAGGGCTTATAATTATGTGTCCTTTTCATTTCCCTTTGAAATGTATATGTATCTCCTACAACTCAGAAGTGTCCTTCTGAAGAAACTGAAGGACATTCCTTTGAAATGTAATCATCAGGAAGGATAAGACCCCTGTCTCTCAGTTTCTAAGCAAATAGAGTCCTAACTTCAATAACTGCCAGAGAGCAGACACAGCTGGCCTAGATGCATTTATGTAGATCAATCTTTTGTAATTTTTTACTTCTCTGACTTTTCTTGAGCCTCTGCTCATGGGTCCCTCATTTTCCCTTTAAAACACCCAATCACCTCTGCACAAATAAAAGTGGAACTCAGTTGTTTCTCTTACTATCAGTAGTTACTGAATAAAATCTGTTTCAATGTTTTAACTAATGTCCAGTTGGGTTTATCTTTGGCAACCCTCATGACAAGGAACTGAGGGCAGCAGCCTTTGGCCAACAACCAGCAAGAAACACAGGCCCTCAATCCAGCTGCTGCAAAGAACTGAATCCCTCCAACAACAAAAGAGCTTGAAATTGGCTTTTTCTCTAGTTGAGCCTTCAGATGAGACAGTAGCCCTGATCAACACCTTGATTGCAGCCCTGTAAATGACTCTATAGCAGAGGACCTGACTAAGCTGTGCCTAGACTCCTAACTGACATTTGTTATTTTTAGCTGCTAAATTTATGGTTATTTGTTATGCAGAAATATATGGTTATTTGGTATGCAGAAAATAATACATTTTTCCTCCCTGAGGGCTTTATTTTTTTTTCTTTTTGATATTCTAGTTTTAATTTCTTAAGGCATGTTTTTTTTTTCTTATTTCTCTCACTTGATACCTTAGGACATGCTTTAACTGACATCTTTCTATTTTCTTTAATTCTGGAAAAATAGTTTTTAGATTTAAAAAATATTTGTTTTAATTTCTGTCCTTCTGCAATCCTATTTTCCAGATATTGAAACTTCTACTTTTCTATTAGACAAATTTTAACTTTTATTTTTATATTTGCTCTCTTTTTATCCTTTCCTACTGCCCTCCAACATTTTCTTTACTCTCTTCTATCAGTCTCCTAATTCTTTATTCAGCTGCATGCATTCAACTATTTATCTCATCTAGTGTGTTTATTTTAGTTCATATTTGGCTTCACTCTCATCCCCCAAATATGTTCATTTTTTTCTGATTTTCACTGATATACTGTAGTATATCTGTGGGAGATATGTTTCAATACTCCCAGTGAATGCTTAAAACCATGAATAGTACCAGACTGGATACGGGCTACATTTTTTTTTCTTATACATACATACCTATAATAAAGTTTAATTTATAAGTTAAGCATAGTAAGAGATTAATCACAACTAATAATAAAAATAGAACAACATGCTAGCATCACTACTCCTGTACTTTGGGCCATTTTTAAGTAAATAAGGGTTACTTGAACATAAACATTGTGATACCATGACAGTGGATCTGAAAACCAAGATGGCGCCTAAGTGACTAACAGGTGGGGATATGCTAGAGAAAGGGATGATTCACACCCTGGTGGGGCAAAAAAGGACAGCTCAAGATTTCATCATGCTACCCAGAATGGCACACAATTTCATACTTGTGAATTGGTAATTTCTGCAATTTTCCATGTAATATTTTTGAACCATGGTTGACCATGGGTAACTGAAACTACAGAAGGTAAAACTGAATAAGCAGGGTCTACTGTAGTTTTCTATTACTTTAATTTTCCATGTAACTTGATTGTACATTTAACATTTTTGATCTGTTTTTGTAATGCTAATTTAGTAACAGTCATTTCATTTCTAAATATGTCTTTAAACTAGTCTTTATTAACTGAATTGCAAGGTGATGCGTGCCTGTAGTCCCAGCTACTCAGGAGGCTGAGGCAGGAGAATCACTTGAACCTGAAAGGCGGAGGTTGCAGTGAACCAAGATCGTGCCACTGCACTCCAGCCTGGGCAACAGAGCGAGACTCTGTCTCAACAACAACAACAACAAAAAGATATTTAAGCCTCAGTCTGCATTTCCCAATGAATTTAGAAGAAAAGTGTATGTCCTAAGGAATTCAAAGAAGCACTGCTGATCATACCAATTAGCTTCCACTCCAAAAGGCAATTTCCATGGTAAGAGTTATATTTAAATTGTAGTGCAAGACCACACTGATAAAAGTCAAGTTACCTATTTATAATATACCAGCCAGGGTGGTTTTGCGGAAAGGATGGAGTAGTGACTTCCCAACACTGGCAGGTAATCCTGCATCTGTTTTCATCAGTGCCTTACCTTAGCATGGGTTTTTCCTGCCTTGACTTTATCCTGTCCATACCAGGGGCTTGGCTATTGCTACAGGTTTATTTTCAAAGGACAATTAATGATCATATCTGTTACAAGAGAAAAATTCAAATAGTTGCCTCCACCCTCTGCTTCTCGTGGTGGCCCTTGGCTTTAGCCTGTAACACTCTATACACTCACATACCAGTTCTGAAAATGTCCTACAGATCGAAATTTTCACAGCTGCTTTTTGTGTGTGTGTGTGTGTGTGTGTGTGTGTGTGTGTGTGTGTGGTGGTTGTTGCTGTTAATTCCTAAAAATCTAAACTTCCTTTTTTTTTTTTTATTTCTCCAGGTGTCAGCCGTCTGTACTAGTTCAACATCTTGATTAGAATCAAGGATTTTGGCTGGGCACAGTAGCTCATGCCTGTAATCCCAGCACGTTTGGAGGCCAAGGCAGACAGATCATTTGCGGTCAGGAGTTAGACACCAGCCTAGCCAACATGGTGAAACCCTGTCTCTATTAAAAATACAAAAAATGAGCCAGGCGTGGTAGTGCGCACCTGTAATCCCAGCTACTCGGGAGACTGAGGCACGAGAATCGCTTGAATCCAGGAGATGGAGATTGCAGTGAGCTGAAATCACGCCACTGTACTCCAGTCTGGGGTGACAGAGTGAGACCCTGTCTAAAAAAGAAAAAGAAAAAAAGAAAAGAAAAAAGAAAAAGAAAAAAAGGAAAAGAATCAAGGATTTTGATCCTTATCATAAGAGCAATGGGGAAACTGATTTTTTTTTTTAATGCAGTGAGATGACACCATCAGATTTGTGTTTCCATATGGTATCTCTGGCTGCAGCATTTACAGGAATACAAGAGTGGATATGAGGCTCACGCCTGTAATCCCATCACTTTGGGAGGCTGAGGCGGGGAGATCAGGAGGTCAGGAGATCGAGTCCATCCTGGCTAACACAGTGAAACCCCATCTCTAATTAAAATACAAAAAATTAGCTGGGTGTGGTGGCGGGCGCCTGTAGTCCCAGCTACTCAGGAGGCTGAGGCAGGAGAATGGCGTGAACCCAGGAGGCGGAGCTTGCAGTGAGCTGAGATTGCCCACTGCACTCCAGCCTGGGTGACAGAGTGAGACTCCCTCTAAAAAAATAAATAAATAAAAAAGGAGTGGATATGAGGGTATCCGTTAAAGCTTTACTAGACCAAGTAAGCTTGCTCTACAGTAGTAGTAATAGAAATATAAAGCAGACTTGTAAGATATTTAGAAGATAAAATCTGCAAAAGTTGGTGAATTGTATATTTTGGAATAAAAAAAGGAAAGTGTTAAGGATGACACTGGGATTTAGGCAACTTTAATGGAAGGAAGTTATTTCTTTCTTTCTTTCTGAGATAGCACTGATAAAAGAAAACGTGTAGTGGGGGGAAGAGAAGCAAGTCATAAGTGTGGTTTTGAACATGTTTCATTTGAAGGGGCTTTTAAAATAGCAAAAAGGATATCTCAACAATTCACTTGAACATCCAGGTATAGATCTCAGAGAAATCAGAACTGGGAACATAAATTTATGAGTCACACGGCAGCATAATGCAGTAGTACATGGTGTGTTTAGCCAGACAACCTGGATTTGGAGCCTGGCTCCATCACTCACAAGCTCTATGACCTCTAAAAATTTGTTCACCCTCTCTGAGCATCAGTTACTTCATCTGCATATAATAATTATTTTATTAGCTGTTAGGAGTAAATTAATTTTGTAAAACACTTAAATCAGTGCCAAGGACATACATGTGTTTGGTGGTAAAATAATGGGTGGAGGTGGTAATTCAATCCAGGAGCATGAATAAAACCACGAATCGAGACAAGACAGTTTGAAAACATAAGAGAATCAGTGATCAAGCTGAAAGGAACTCCCTTGAAAAGGGAGATATCTTCAAAAGAGATTGAGAAGGTGTAGACAAAAAGGTAGGAGCAAAACCAGGAAAGTATATTGCCAATGGCGTCAAGATGAGGGACTAATTAATAGTGCTGCGAGGAAAAATTCTCAAATAGTGTGAGATAAAGAGCATCAACTGCAATGGACAGCTGAATAAATGATTTAATGAATACAATGGATGTTCTGATGCAACTCCCAGATCTCCCTTCAGAAATAAAGG
The DNA here is from genome assembly GCF_000001405.40 of Homo sapiens. Lineage (NCBI taxonomy): Eukaryota > Metazoa > Chordata > Mammalia > Primates > Hominidae > Homo > Homo sapiens. The sequence continues at coordinate 110,964,571 of NC_000001.11, read as the reverse complement.
TCTATATGACAATAAGTGATAGTTTCGATGAACGTAGGCTGGAGGAAAGAGTTAAGTAAGTCTAGAGGCAAAGCTTCAGGAAAGAGGAGTAAATGGGAAACCTTCAGAGAAGCAGCAACAATAATCGCTGGCCACAGGCAGGCGTTTTAAGTTTTCTCAGGCCAGAAGTGCATGACTCCAAAAAAGCGCGCCGATGTCTTTTAATGCACTGACGGGAGAGAAAAACGTACGCTAGCGGCGAGCACAGAAGCAGAAAATTTATGATTGACCCCGGAAACATTTTATTTTGCGTAGGTGTCGGGAGAGCTTTCTTTTGCGATTTGTTCCTTGATCCGGAAGAAAAGATAGCAAATATCACTTGCCATTGGATTGCATCATAAGGGTTGGGCTTTAGCGAGCCAGTCACCTTGGCAACCGGACGTGACGACCCCGGAAGACGCCCGACCGAGCTTTGCTCCAGCTATCGGCTTCAGTGGGCGGGGCGGCAGAGCCAGACTGACGCAGTCTTCAGCACTGACCAGGCTCTGTTGGGGGTGGTGCCACCAAGGCCACGCCCCCTGCGCCTGCTCCGGCGGAGTCTGGAGAGTTGTCGTAGGCTCTGAGGGCGGAGACTCACGCCGATTCTCTCTCAGCGTAGGGCTGTGAGGGCGCAGTCCACCGCCAGGAGCCTTCCGGTTTCTGCGCGGTGCGCGACCTCGTCCCGAAGCCTGGGGATACACCCTCTCGAGAGCCCGCTGTCGCCCTCCGTTAAGGTCGAACCCCTCACAGTTGCTGTGGGCAACTCCAGCCCAACATTCCCTCGCTCTGGTTCTCGCCCCATTGGGAAACTCGGCCCCACGCTTCCCACTTTTCTGGATGAGGTGTCCCCTTTCTCCCCACTAAAATGTCAAATAACCTACGGAGGGTCTTCCTGAAACCCGCAGAGGAAAATTCAGGCAACGCCTCGCGTTGGTAAGTACCGGTTTCGAATCCTCCCCACGGCTGCCCCTCTGTCCGTCTTAGGGATGTGGAGTCGGCCGTCGTTTCCGGACGCTGTGTAGTTGAGAGGAGTTGGAGCCCGCAGAGTGCGCCACCCAGGCGGGAAGCGCTTGTCTCCGCGGCGCTTAAAGCCCATAGAGCGCTTTCCTCTGGGAAATGTAAAACCTCTTTAGAGCCTGACACAGCGGCTCCGCGGGACCCCAGCGTCTCAAGTTTAATAGGCGGACCGAGTAGATCTCCACGGGAGATGAAAACCAAGATGGCCGACGCTCTTATGTGACTCAAACCTTCTGGAAGATTCTCACGCACACGCAGAAACGCAGCAGTCAGCACGGATTAGCAAGTGCAGCCCTGGTGGCGCTGGACCTTCAGTGAAAATAGATTTTAATAGTGAGACAGAAAGGGTGTGTGATTGAAGAAAAAGGGCTTTAGAATGAGGAGATCGAATATTTAAAATTTCAAGTAATAGTTTTATGTGAAGAGAGAGAAGTAAGACTGGAGAAATCCTCGTGTAAAGTCAGTCCTTTTGAACAGCCTTTTTGAAGTAGGGTGTAATGAAGTGCCATTTCATTGGCTATTTATATTTGGCATGAGGAGAGTCCAGTATTTCTAAGGAAGATATTCTTGTAAAGTTAGAAAATAGATGATCAGTAACTTAGTTTTTGGGTTTTTTTTTTTAAATTGTATTACAAGGAAATGAATTGGAAACAATGTTAGCTAAAGCAGAATATTTTCACTTGTACTCTCACATGGTTAGTAGATTAAGTGATGAGGAAAAAATAGGGTCTGCAGACTCTAATAAGAAAATGAAGAACTAAGATGCAAAACTCATGGAAGAGGATTTTCGTTTGAAGAAAATCAAGCTACCTGGGGTTAATCTCAACTTTGCTAGTTAGCATTTGTGAGGCCAGGTACCTGTTTCCAGTCTGTAAATAATAGCACTTAGAAATATTTTAAAGATTAGGAGAATGAAATAATGTAAAATACGTCGTGTAGGAAAATAGTAAAGCACAATTTAAATGTTAACTATTACTATTATAAGCATACAACTTTAATTCTGTACAGATTTTAGCCCAGCAGGTAGTTTTCTTTAATTGCAAGTAGAAAACTCCATTGCAATAAAGACCGTAAGTAATGGTGAGTCCTTAAAAGCAATATTATAAAAGGAAATGGTCACTAATAGTAATGAGCCAAAATTCTGTTGAACTGTCAAGATAGAACCATTGTATTTCAAATCATAAAAAGAGCCATTTTTTGGTGTACTTGTGTGTTTTTTTCTTTTTTCTTTTTTTTAATTTTGTGGTGGAAGTTTGGGGGAAGGGGCAGAGAGTGCCCTGTGTACATATGAGAAAGTAGAATTACTTTTTAAATGATTAATTTCTGCAGCCTTATTTTAGTACCTGAATACTTACTGACTTCTGACTTAGCTTAATTTATAGAAAATTTGTTTTAGGATTGCATTTTTAAATACAAAAAGTAAGATAAACAACTTTACTTTGTGTGTGTGTGTGTGTGTGTGTGTGTGTGTGTGTACCCTTAACTCTGTTATCCAGTTTCTAATCCTTTTGGGGATTTGGAGATTTTTAAATTACAAATTACATTCATAAGTCATTTTGAGTTCATTAACTCATTGATTTATGCATTGTTTTTATTATTTTTGAATGTATTTATTTAAATCATTGAGGTTTTACATCATATATTTGGGACATTTACCAGATGACTTTCTGAAGCTTCGACATTTACTTTGGTTAATGGTTGCGTATTTGATTCCATTCTGTTCTGTAAGTAATAAAACATCCAAATATAATTTTGTAAATAATATTAACGGCCCTTGTAGTTTATTGGAAACTTAGTTTTCTTATTTTTCTGGTAACATGTTTGATGGTACTAAATCATTTATTTTTATAACTTAAATGACTATGATTTTCTTATTGTTTGTAGCTTAAATATTTCCTGTTACTGCTTATTTAAAATTTTTCAGTAGCATAATACAGAATTGTATATTGTTGTATATTGTTTGAAGTATCTCTTAATTCATCAGAACATCACATGTAAAACCCAAATTTAATCTTAGAGTACAAAGGAAAAATCTGGAAGATATTTGTGATGGTATGCATTTAATTTATATTGATTTGGGTTTTATTGTCGAAGAATAAAGCAGGAGTCAGAACGCTATAGTGGAAAGAACCTTTTAAGTCATAGAGACTTGGGTTCATATCCTAGCTTACCACTTACTATCAATACAGTTTAAACATTTGATGAAAAAACATTCATTTAGTGCCTACTATCTATGTGATAGACTGTGCTAAATGGGAAGACTGATTAATAATAGGATATGGGCTGTTGCCAGGGAAAACCTTACAGTCATGGTGGAGGAGGAGGAAAGTAGAGTTGATGTAGTAAAGGAAGAGAGTAGAGAAAGGGAGTTGGAAGAAAGATTCCAAGAACAGCTGAGTTGGGAAACATAAGTATCAGCTATCCAGTTAAAGATAAAAGCAGGATATGCTTATGCAGAGAACTGGTAAATAAAGGACGTGTATGGTTTATGATTGATACTTGTTGCTTGATTCTGTACAAGTAGGATAGATAGATAGCTCTTAAGGGTTCTGTTTGCCCTGCTAAGGAGATTAGACTTCATCTATTGGAAATAGGTCAGAGTATTTTAAGAAAAAGACTGACACAGGTGTACATTTTAGATAACGTTGGCAGTCTGGATTTGAGGGTGAGTGATCTACATATAAGGATCCTATTTCAGTTGTCTTTTCAGAAATTCTGAGGGCCTGAACTAGCTGGTACAGTACAGTAGGGGTTGGATTCAAAGAAATATAGAAGGGAAAATAGACCGACTTCGTTAATGAATTGGCAGGAAGAAAGGGGGATCAATTATGATGCCAGTTTTCTGGGTGGATATTGGTAAATTAACTGAGATGAGGAACACATCAAGAAAGCAGTCAGATATTTGAATATGAAACTCAGGCTGAGTCAGAGCTGAGACTAGAGATTTGGGAAGCATCACCTTAGAGGTACTATAATGAAAGCCTGTGATTATATATCCTACAATAATAAGAATTAAGACATCATGTGATTGGCCATTGGCAGCTATCTTCCCATAACCATTTGTATTCAAATGGGGAGCTAAACTTAAGTGTTCTCAGCAGGGGGTTTGGTTTGACTGGAATGATGATGCTTCATTGTCAGTTCAGTATGCATTTTGTTGTGTACAGTGTTTTATTTTGTGATTTGAGTGTGTCTGTGTGTGTGTGAGGGAGAGACAGACACACATACTATAGAGTCTAAATGAAATCTGTCATTAATCTCTTAGTTTATACATTTGAATTTTTTGGACCCTGTTATAATGGGGTTATGCTAAAGTAAATATAGAAAGTAGATAAGCTTTCTCAAGGGGAGTGTGTAATTCTAAGTAAGTTATTAAATGTTTCCAAATCTCCATTTTCTCAAGTATAAAATGGGAATGGCAGTTCATAACTTTCTTGACTGTTTATTAGGATTAGAGTTAGTAACAACTGGTATATCTATCATGTACGCAATACATGGTACATATTATTGGATAGATAACTATGTTATGTACTTAGATATATTATGTTCTATATGTATATAATGTTATGTCATAGATAGTAAGAAAAGGATTTCCTAGCAGTTGAAAAAAATATATTTTGCAAAAATATCTATAAAATGTTCATCAGCCTTCAACATTTTTATTAGTCTATTTCTAATATATGAATGCCTCATATCAATATTAGAATAGTAAAAAATGTCAGAAGTTATATAACATTACCAATATGTTTAATGTGCCTTTTTATTAAATTTCTCATTCTTTTTTTTTTTTTTTTTTTTTTGAGATGGAGTCTCGCTCTGTCGCCAGGTGGAGTGCAGTGGCTCGCTGCAACCTCGACCTCCTGGGTTCAAGTGATTCTCCTGCCTCAGCCTCCCAAGTAGCTGGGACTACAGGCGTGTGCCACCACGCCCGGCTAATTTTTGTATTTTTAGTAGAGACGGGGTTTCACCATGTTGGCCAGGATGGTCTCGATCTCTTGACCTCATGATCCGCCCACCTCAGCCTCCCAAGGTGCTGGGATTACAAGCATGAGCCACTGCACCCGGCCATATTTCTCATTACATTTTTAAAAGACCTTATCTTACCTTATTCTCAGAGACCAATTGCATATTTTAATGGAAGATGATAACTGTTATGCTCCCAGGCAGTTATTTCATTTACTTCTCCTAGTAAGCTTTATTTTCCCCTATTTAACAAATGAAGAAACAGATTCAAAGAGGATAAGTACATTTTCTAGTCAACTTGTAATTATAAGAACCAGAATTAGTAGCCTGTAATCTTTCTAATATGTTCCTCTTTTCTCTTTTAAACTGTTAAACTGTATTATTTTTCAAATGTAGTTTCTCAGTTTGAACACCAGCTGGTTTAAAGTAATTACTTTAAAGTAATTAGGTGACCAGACTAGAAAATGGGATGCAGAATCTGGTTCTAGTTTTAGTTCTGACATTAGCCCGCAGAATATGATCTTTCAGAAAACAGAATCTTTGTAGGACTTTAATTATTTAATCTCTTCAATGGAAGGCTCCTTCTAGATATGAAAAACTGTATATTGATAGAAGGAGTACGAATTTCATCCTGAGTTATTACTTCTTAGCATTCTGCAGATTAATTTTTAGAACTCATTACATTTTGTTGCCAAGAAATCATGGATTTTTAAAAAAATTATACCTTGTAGGATTCAATTCAGCTAACATTATTGTGTGCAATTTCCAGTTTCTGAATTAGATGCGGAGTATATAGATATGAATAGGATAATCTACCCTGCAGGAATTTATGGTCTGTGGTAGATTATGTGACTCTCACTGATACACTGACATGGAAGAAGCTTAATTTTTCTTCCTTTTTTTTATTTTTTGGAGGTGAAATAGAGGAAAAGAGAGGGAAAAATTTAGTGATCAGATTGGAAAATAGCTCACACAGTATAGTTTTTTTTATAAAGCAGAAATATAGACATCATATAAAATACTATGCTTGGTATTGGAAGGATATTTGCAAAATAAATTATAAAGCCTCTCACCTTAAGGAGTTTCAGTCTTATTGAATGAAACAATACTCATTTTAAAAAATTAGCTAATAGATTAAAGTCAATAAAGAAAGCATTATATAATTTCCAACATTAATAGCACCAATGGGAGTACATTCGGGATTCCAAGTTGGAAGAAATTAAGCTGGAGTGACTGGCAGATATTTTATGGAAAAGATAGAATTGGAAACTAATTTTATATTGTTGGAGAAGAAAAATAATAATACTTTGAGTAAATAATGTAATATACATGGCATATTCCAGAATAGCAAAGAGATCTCTCTGGTAAGAGCAGAGATTTCACATTGAGAAGTTGTGGGTGGTATTGTTGTAGAGATTGGTTGGAGCTAGATTGTAGATGATTTTCGCGTCCAGCTGAATTGGCAATGATGAATACTAAAACTTTGAACAAGAGATAACAGGATGAAAACAATTTTAGTCTGCCAGAGATACATAATAGTCAATAGTGGCTGCAATCAGAAAAACAACATCAGCAAAATACTGTAGGGATGAGAATGATGAGTGCTAGACACATCTGATGAGGATCTCATGTAGATGGTGGAAGTCACAATGATGAAGAAAGAAAAGATGGATGAAATGGGTTAAAAAGAAAACCGTATAGACTTGATGATTCAGTATGCATTTATTAAATGTTTGCCTTTTGTAAGGACATATGCAAGGTTCTGTGGATGAATTTAAAGTAAATAAGAATGATGATAAAGACAAATCAGCAATGACTAGGTGATTTGAAACCTATATGATGTGGAAAATATTGGCGCTGCCATATGATTGAATGGTAGGATAGACTACTACTTTTCAATAGAGAGTAATTTTAACTTCGTAGATTTAAAGTGATGGGATTAAAATGTTTGGTAAGACATCACAAATATGGAACTGATGTCAATTCCAGTAGGGGACAGGAATAAAAGGATATAACTATGGGAGTCATTATTCCAAAGAAGATAGTTGAAAATAGTTGAAGCCGTGAGAATTGTTGCAGTCTTTTTTTTTTTTTTTTTTTTTTGAGACTGAGTCTTGCTTTGTCGCCCAGGCTGGAGTGCAGTGGCGCGATCTCAGCTCACTGCAAGCTCCGCCGCCTCCTCACTCCATTGTCCTACCTCAGCCTCCTGAGTAGCTGGGACTACAGGCGCTTGCTACCACGCCCGGCTAATTTTTTTTTTTTTTTTTTTTTTGTATTTTTAGTAGAGATGGGGTTTCACTGTGTTAGCCAGGATGGTCTCGATCTCCTGACCTCGTGATCCACCTGCCTCGGCCTCCCAAAGTGCTGGGATTACAGGCGTGAGCCACCGCACCTGGCGAATTGTTGCAGTCTTTAAGGAAGAATGTCTTGAAGGAGAAAAACAGGGTCAAGAAATGTGGGATAGTTAAAGGAGAATGCTTAGAATGCAGAAAATGAGTAAGGGAGCATTAGGAAAGTCAAGAGAAACAGAGGTTGTACACAGTGGAAACTATGATAGGTAAGAGGATCAATATGGAGGGATAATTAGTTGCAACAGAGAGGTACCTAGGGAATGAAGATAAAGACAAATTTAACTGTGAGAACATATTTGGTAATCTTTGAGAATGAAGTTTTAGTAGAATAATAGGAAAGAAAATAGACTGCAGAAGAAAGTAGGCTTCAAGATAACTTTCTGGCATATCACTTAATTGCAGCTTGTTAACACCATCTACCAACTTCCTGTCACTGAACTTGGCGCTTAGTTCACCATCTAGCTCACCATCTTCCCTCATGTGATTTCAATATCCGTATGGATAATCTCTTTGTCACCTCATCTTTATTACAGAGATCTTTTCCCCCAGTGATCTTATTCTCTGTTCTGTTGCACCTATCTACTTTTGTAGTACTTATTATTAGATGAAATTGCTGCATCTACGAAACTGTTTCACGCATCCTGTTTTCTAAATGCCAGTTCCTGTATTTCTAGCTGAGTTGTTTAACTGTTCCTACTGTAACTGTTAACTTTATCTGGCCCTACAGACCAATAATCCCTTTATTTTATCCCTATACTTTAGCCTTTTATTCTCTCATTTTCTTCCTATCCAGTTTAGACTCTGTTTCATTTTAATAACTCTTATCAATACCTTAAATTCTTTTGCTCTTCTTTGATTTTTTTGTTGCACCTTCCTGATGCCACCCCAACCCTGGATGAACTCAGTATGCTTTCTCTTTATCTGTGCTTGGTGTGACAAGAAAAATCTCGAGTACAGATTAGTACCACTATAAATTCATAACCACTACCTGTCTCCCCATGCCATCAACACATCCTGGCAACTCTAATATCTTCTGTGGTCAGTTTACTCCTTCACGAAGACTGTTCCAATCTTTGATTATCCTCAAATCTTTCCATATTTTTGCTCTTACTTTTAGCAGATGATGTCATGTGATTTTTCATAAAGAAAATAAAACCCATTAAATGAGAATTACCTCAGCCTCCTAACCCCAAAGTTGTATGCTTACCTGAAAATGCACATAATCTCTCCTCCAGTGTTGCAATGGAAGGAGATAGGTCTCCAGCTCTCTTTAAGGTTGAGTCCCTCCACCTGTCTCTCTGGTTTCCATTTCCTGCCTCCTTCTCATTGTGTATCCCTTTTGTTCCTTTATTACCAGTTTCTTCCCTGAACTGGCTCACTTGAGTATTTACATATGTTCTGGTTAATCTAACCTTAAACAAAGAAAAAGGAAAGATCCCTTCTTTGATTCCATTTATTCCTGTAGCTTCCTGCCAGTCGTTCTCTTCCCCTTGACAGTCAAAGTTTAAAAAGAGTTGTCTACTTGCTTCATACCCACTCCTCAGCAACTTCTTTCCCCTACCACACTGCTCTTATTAAAGCCATCAGTGATCTTCACAGCACTGTTTTCAGTGTACATTTTTAATCCTTATCCTATTTGGCATCTCAGAAACTTTTAGTATAATTGCCCAATTTTCTTAAAATCCTCTGTTCCTTTGGCTTAACATTGCATCAGAAGCAATGGTTTTCTTCCTACGACTCTAAGAATAATGGAAGGCCACTGCAATGTTTTAAGCAGGGAAAGATCAGTTTTAGTGTGCTGAGTAAATTGAAAGGTAGAAGATATGATTGGAGAAAAAAATCAGTCATGAAGCTATTGTAGTATTCTAAGCCAGAGATGATGTTTGCTTGGAGTAGAGTGGTAACAGTTGATTTGGAGAGAATTGAACAGATGAAAGGAAATTTAGGAGACAATATCAACAGGATTTTGTGATCACTGAATATAAGGAATAAGAAAGGAGGATTTATCTATTCTGACTTAAGGCACCTAAGGTAGATGAGATGCTATTTAGCAAAGAAAACCCTGCAGAAGATGGAACTTGGGGGGATTAGGATGGGCAGAGATCTGCTGGCCATGTTGAATTTTAGGAACGTTTGAGATTCTGAATGAAAATGTTAAAAGGGAATTTGGATGTATAAGCCTAAATTTCAAAGAAGCCACAGATAGAAATATTGAAATTGTTCATGCGTAAGTGATAATTTAATTGAAGTTATGCATTGAGAAGAAAGCATCTAACAAAAGAGTACAGAATAGGAAGAGAAGGATTCTTTCTAAGCTTTGGTAAACTCCCAACATTTGAAAGTTGATTCAAAAGTATGAGTTGGCAAAGAAGACTGAGGAGCCACTACAGAGGCTACTGTTACTCTTTTGATTTTTAAAAATCAATTAAAATATAAGAATGCACAGAAACAGAGTGGGCCAGATTAGGCCCAGAGGCTACAGCTTACTGACCCTTTTTTCCTGATGAGCCTGGTGCTTAACTTAAAACAGACACTTGGTAAATTTTTGTGTAATGACTTAATATTGAATATGTTCTTATCCAGGTCAAATGTGCTTTTCTTGTGGTGCAGGGAGGTAATAAAGGTAGATTTTTCCTCTTAAAACCCTGAAAGCAAGAATTCATCCTTTTCTTTGGGTTTATTCTCTTTAGAAGTTAACTTTTAATTTATTAAAAGTCAGTGTGTGACCAGCCTGGACAACATAGCAAAACTTTGCCTCTATAAAAAATACAAAAATTAGCCGGGTTTGGTGGCGTGCATCTGTGGTCTCAGCTACTTGAGAAGCTGAGGTAGAAGGATAGCTTGAGCCCAGGAGGTGGAGATTGCAGTGAGCCAAGATTGTACACCTACACTCCAGTCTGGATGACAGAGCCGGGCCCTGTCTCAACAGCAACAATAACAAAATGTCAATGTAATATTTTGACCCACTCTCACGTGTCCAAAAGACTTTTAAATTTTTGTAAGGATATAATAATGTTATTCGGGCTGCAGAAAGGTAAACCAAATTTCTACGGATACATAGAATTTTGGGTATTGATTTTTATTAATACCTGAGAGTTTTAAAAACATACCTTTATGCTTTTGAGAATCCTAATTATTATCGTTATTATTTGCCCTTGAACTTTTGTATTTATTTGATCTTAGTTATCTAAGACCATGCTAGGTCTATGGTATATGGATGCTGCACTCATATTGGTAGAATATAATATGAGAGACAGTCTATAGACAAACATATTAATATATGATGACAATCTATGATATATACCATGAAGGAAGCTAACAAGCATAATGTTATGGATTAATTATGAAGGAAAGACAAGGATAAAGTGGTCAGAAAATGTATCTCTTGAGAAATATCATTTATGCCAAGACTTGAGCTATGTGAAGAGTTGAGTTGGGTGAGGCGTACCTAGGTAGAGTGATAGTATGTGTGACATGAAAGCTCAATATTTCCCAGGAGCTGAAAAATGTTTTAGATATAAATAAGGTAAGGTATTTACATTCAAGTAATCTCCAAATAACTAATTATGCAAACAGAGATTAGTATATATTGATTTTTCTTAAGATTAGACAGTCTATACTAAGAAATAATTCAAGGCATGGGGGTCAGAATTGATTCAGTTAAAAAAAATTGATTTCCAGTCTGTTCCACATTGATTGAAAACCATTCAGCTGAAATTGCAGTGGTATTATATGTATGGGTTGATAGGTGATTGACAATTGACTAATATAAATAATTGCTATACCAGAGACTATGTAGCACTAAACCTCAAATGTGCTGAAACAGTAATCAGAAGAAAATGATTCCTATGTAAACAGTTCAGTGAAATCTATAGCACAAAAATGTGGCAAACTAAGGTAACACCATGAGAGATAGCTTAGGCAAAAGAAGAATGGCTGGCAGAACTTGTGAGTTATTGAAGGAAGAAGACAGAACAGATTGAGGGGGAAAAGAGAGAAATGGAATAAGAGTAAGGGGAGAGGGAATGAGAATCTTCAGTTAGAGTAGAGGAGGAGGACAAGAGGAAGGAATTCAGGGAAAGGGGGAAGGGAGGATGCTAATATTTTAAGAGGAGCTTACTTTAGTAGTATAATTTTATATAGGGCAAAACCTTAGAAATGTCTACTTTTAGTCTTAGGAATAAATGTTATTATCTCATACCCATTGCCTAATCATATAAGCAGTTGACTATATCATTATCTCTTCTACTTCAAAATATTTGTTTTGCAGTCTTTCACTTTAAAAACTCAAAATGGAAAATTATATACTTTATTTTAATATTTACAAATATTTACAAATATTTATTTTTAAATAAAATGTATATACCATGTAGTATGTTGTATTTATTTACTCAATGTTCTTTTAAGTGTTTCAGGCTGCATGTACCAAGTAGTTCAGACGATTGGCTCGGATGGAAAAAATCTTCTGCAATTACTTCCAATTCCTAAGTCTTCTGGAAATCTTATACCACTAGTTCAATCTTCAGTCATGTCTGATGCTTTGAAAGGGAATACAGGAAAACCAGTTCAAGTTACTTTTCAGACTCAGATTTCCAGCTCTTCCACAAGTGCATCAGTTCAATTGCCCATTTTTCAGCCAGCCAGTTCTTCAAACTATTTTCTTACAAGAACAGTAGATACATCAGAAAAAGGTAGAGTTACTTCTGTGGGAACTGGAAATTTTTCTTCATCAGTTTCTAAAGTTCAGAGTCATGGTGTGAAAATTGATGGACTCACCATGCAAACATTTGCTGTTCCTCCCTCAACACAAAAAGACTCATCTTTTATTGTAGTTAATACCCAGAGTCTTCCAGTGACTGTGAAGTCTCCAGTTTTGCCTTCTGGGCATCATTTACAGATTCCAGCCCATGCTGAAGTGAAATCTGTACCAGCGTCATCATTGCCTCCTTCAGTGCAGCAAAAGATACTTGCAACTGCCACCACCAGTACCTCAGGAATGGTTGAGGCCTCCCAAATGCCAACCGTTATTTATGTATCTCCTGTAAATACAGTGAAAAATGTAGTTACCAAGAACTTTCAAAACATTTACCCAAAACCTGTTACAGAAATAGCAAAGCCAGTAATACTAAATACCACACAAATTCCAAAGAATGTTGCTACAGAGACACAATTGAAAGGTGGTCAGCATTCTCAAGCTGCTCCAGTGAAATGGATTTTCCAAGATAATCTACAGCCTTTTACGCCATCTCTTGTTCCTGTTAAGTCTTCAAATAATGTGGCTTCAAAGATTTTAAAAACTTTTGTAGATAGGAAAAATTTGGGAGATAATACTATAAATATGCCACCATTGAGTACCATCGATCCTAGTGGGACGCGATCCAAAAATATGCCTATTAAAGATAATGCTTTGGTTATGTTTAATGGGAAAGTCTATCTGTTGGCTAAAAAGGGGACAGATGTTCTGCCATCACAAATTGACCAACAGAATTCTGTTTCTCCTGATACTCCAGTAAGAAAAGACACGTTACAGACAGTGAGTTCAAGTCCAGTCACAGAAATATCCAGAGAGGTTGTAAATATTGTTTTGGCTAAAAGTAAATCTTCCCAGATGGAGACAAAATCACTTTCCAATACCCAGCTTGCTTCCATGGCCAATCTAAGGGCAGAGAAGAATAAAGTGGAGAAACCATCTCCTTCTACCACAAATCCACATATGAACCAATCCAGTAACTACTTAAAACAGAGTAAGACTTTATTCACAAATCCAATCTTTCCAGTTGGATTTAGTACAGGACACAATGCCCCCAGAAAAGTAACAGCCGTCATTTATGCTAGAAAAGGAAGTGTCCTCCAGAGCATAGAGAAAATAAGTTCCTCTGTTGATGCAACAACTGTTACTTCACAACAGTGTGTTTTCAGAGACCAAGAACCAAAGGTAATTTTCCCATGTCAGGGTGCTCTTTTTATATATCTATATAGAAAAGTTTGTTTTCTTAATTCTCAAAGTTATCTATGATACCTCTTTCCCCCACTGCCAACCCCATCACACACAGACTATACACATATGAGTATTTAAGTCAAAACTTCCATCTGAGCAAATTTGAGGAGGAGTACAGTTGGGTACAATCTTGTACAAAGGAGTACAGTCTTTCTCTTGAATCACTTGGCATGCCAAATCTTTAAAACAAAAAATTCACAGAGCAAAAAGGTTTAGAAGAGTTGGGGAAGGATAATGTGAATTCAAAGCTTAGTAAAAATATGTGAGTATATGTATATACATACATGTATATATGTATGTTCATATATAATAGCCTTTTTAGTATATGAGGAGATCAATATGCATGTAAAAGAGTTGGTTTTGGGGTTTTGTGGGGTTTTTTTGTGGTGGTGGTGGTGGTATACCATGGAAAAGGTGAGACAGGGCTAATCAATACCTTTCAGTAATTTGTGGAAATAAGATTTTATCAGCATCTTTGATGGGTTGATTTTTTTTTTGGTAGACAAATTTCATTTTCCTTTTTATTAGCTCTTTGTGACTCCTCAGCCAGTTACCCAACATGCCCACATAGTTACCTTTATGTTCGACTTAAGGTTTGTCTGTCTGTGTGCTTACTAGATATTTGTACCCATCTTTTCCTTGCTTACTTAGAGGTCTACTCAATAATGTCAGCATTTCTCCCCTTCAGTACAGAATTCATTGAACTCCAGAGATGTAAGGAGGTAAATTCTGATTGTTCAATACAAGATCGATTAAAGGCATGTGTGACTTTTCCAGAAGACTACAATTTCTAAATAATGTCATATATGTTATTTTAACGTTGTCATTAGTCTGTATTCTCATTTTAGTTGTTTTAGAATTGACTACTTATTACCTTTCTAGTGCAACAAATTAATTGAGAAATTGTAGGGGGGAATATTTTAAGTTTGTACTTCCTTATATTCAGTTTTTTGAGTGTGGGTGGTAAGGCAAGGATAATACAAACCAATCATAAAGCATGATATGTTCTTTTATGTAAGATGAAATAATCACTTAGTTGCTTAATAAAGTAACTTGAATAATTAGCAGTATTGTTTGTGTGTTTTCTTTTCCTAATTCCAGATCCATAATGAGATGGCATCAACATCAGATAAAGGTGCCCAAGGAAGAAATGACAAGAAAGATTCTCAAGGAAGAAGTAATAAGGCATTACATCTGAAGAGTGATGCTGAATTTAAAAAGATATTTGGCCTTACTAAGGATTTGAGAGTGTGCCTTACTCGAATTCCTGACCATTTGACCTCTGGAGAAGGTTTCGATTCCTTTAGCAGTTTGGTAAAGAGTGGTACTTACAAAGAGACAGAGTTTATGGTGAAGGAAGGAGAGAGAAAACAGGTAGGTAATACATTTTAATGTGCTCTTCATAGGTACTACAAATGATACATGAATATTACTTTTCTTGATTTGGTTTTAACCCTTGTGCATTAGTATAAATGATGGTTGTTACTGGTTTTGCAAATACATAATACCAAAATGATATTTAAAACAACCAGGCCCCAGCACTTTGGAAGGCTGAGGCGGGTGGATCACCTGAGGTCAGGAATACAAGACCAGCCTGACCAACATGATGAAACCCCGTCTCTACTAAAAATACAAAAATTAGCTGGGCCTGGTGGTGGTTGCCTGTAATCCCAGCTACTCAGGAGGCTGAGGCAGGAGAATCACTTGAACCCGGGAGGCGGAGTTTGTAGTGAACCGAGATCGCACCATTGCACTCCAGCCCAGGCGACAGGGCAGGACTCCATCTCAAAAAAAAAAAAAAGAACCAGGCCAGGTGCAGTGGCTCACGCCTGTAATCCCAGCACTTTGGGAGGCTGAGGCGGGCGGATCACGAGGTCAAGAGATCGAGACCATCTTGGCCAACATGGTGAAACCCCGTCTCTACTAAAAATACAAAAAATTAGCTGGGTGAGGTAGCACGCACCTGTAGTCCCAACTACTTGGGAAGCTGAGGGCAGGAGAATCGCTTGAACCCGGAAGGCAGAGGTTGCAGTGAGCTGAGATCGCACCACTGCACTCCAGTCTGGCAACAGAACGAAACTCTGTCTCAAAAAAAAAATTATATATATATAAACACCGCCCACCCCACACACACACACGCACAGGTAAAAATGCATCCCAGTTAAAGATATGTTTTAATTTTTTTTATTCACCTACTACATTTTTTTCCCATTATGTTACAAGAAAATGGCCATAGCTTTTTAACTAGTCATCCTACTTTGAGGACTCTATCTAAAGGAAATAATTCAAATGTAGTAGAAGATATAAGCATGCATATGTTCTTAATAATAACCTTTTAAGCAACTTATATAGCTAATAATGATAAAAAGAAATGTCTATAACTTTGCCTACTGTTATACTTTGACTTATGAGTATGTCATTATCATGTAATATTCTGAACTTTAGATCAGAGACTAGTAAACCTTTTCGAATGAAAATCCTCCATATGTGCCTGCTGTGCAAAGGAAAAGAAAAAAACAATCAATTTTATATCTCAGGCACTTTACAAGTGCTATTATATTTCTGTGGTGAGTCAGTATGCCTTCTAATACTTGACTTGAGCAAGAAAATGTGAATTAGGCAATTTCTTCTTACTGAATATGATTAAGACATTTTGGTACCATACAGTGGGAAATATTTCCCTCTTGCTGTAGTTGTCTTCCATAAATTTTGTTAATTGTAATAGCTAGATATTTGTTTCTGCAGACGTTGTTAAGTTTGGTAGTACCCGGTGCATTTAGCAGTAACATTTCGTTTTTGTTTTGGAATGTTATTCAATATTGCAGCAGAATTTTGATAAGAAAAGAAAAGCAAAAACTAATAAGAAGATGGATCACATAAAGAAGAGAAAAACAGAGAATGCTTATAACGCAATCATAAATGGGGAAGCTAATGTCACCGGTTCCCAACTCCTAAGCAGTATTTTACCAACTTCAGATGTGTCACAACATAACATTCTCACGAGTCACAGCAAAACCAGACAAGAAAAGAGAACTGAGATGGAATACTATACCCATGAGAAGCAAGAGAAAGGCACTTTGAATTCAAATGCAGCTTATGAACAAAGTCATTTCTTCAATAAAAATTATACCGAAGATATTTTCCCAGTGACACCACCGGAGTTAGAAGAAACCATTCGAGATGAAAAAATAAGAAGACTTAAGCAGGTGCTGAGAGAGAAAGAAGCAGCTCTTGAAGAAATGCGTAAGAAGATGCACCAAAAATAAAATCTCCTGTAAAGACTTCAGTGAAATAGCTGTTTTTTAAAATATACTTCAGCATTAATAAGTTAATTGTAGGTGTGTTCTGAAAGTGTCTTTGAATATGAAGCTTGTTTTTTCATCAGTCGATTGTACAACTTTAAGGAATACAGAAAAGGTTGATTCACATATGACTTGTGAATAATTTACATGGGGTATCTATACCTTTGTCTTAGATACCTTTTTTTGGAAGGATAAATTTTATATTTTTCTATTATTTTAACTAGAATTCTCCAAGTTTGAATATTTGGGCAGGGTTTTTGTTATTGTTTGTATCTTTACCTAAATTGCTCAGGCATTATTCCAGCAGTAGATAGTGACTGTGTATTACTGAAATTTTACAATTCAAGAGAGGAAATCAGCTCCAAACTTAGCTTTTCCAGTGGATTTGTATATGTACTTGCTTTATCTCTTTACCCTTAAAATGATGATACCTTGTATTCACCATTGTTTTTTTTAATGTCGTGAAATAATATGTATTATGGCAACATTATTTAAACATTCAAACATTTCTCAAGAATGAGCAACATTTGTAACTTTACAATGTAATTTTATATAATCCAAAGGTATTTTAGAATTCAGGCCATTTGATGTTTTGTTTGCTTATAGTGATGTGTTCCCAGGCAAATGCTGCTTTTTTTTTTTTTGGGACTATGTACATACGTTACTGAGATTGTGTAAAAAGTAGATCCTGAACAGTTATCACATTTAATATTTCTTAAACTGTAAAAGTGTATTTTCTCTGTCTGGTTAATCTTTGATTTGGGAAAGTTTGGGAATGGTGTAGGGATAGGGATTAAGAGATGGGGAGTTAGCTGAGCGTGGTGGTGTGTTTGTAGTCCCAGCTACTCAGGAGTCTGAGTGGGGAGGACTGCTTGAGCCCAGGAGTTTGAGGCCAGCCTGGGCAGCACAGTGAGACCCTGTCTCTTAAAGGAGGAGGAGGAGAACAATGTTATTAAAAAATGATCAGGCCGGGTGCAGTGGCTCACATCTGTAATCCCAGCACTTTGGGAGGCCGAGGCGGGCGGATCACCTGAGGTCAGGAGTTTGAGACAAGCCTGGCCAACATGGCGAAACCCTGTCTCTACTAAAAATACAAAAATTAGTCGGGCACAGTGGCGGGCACCTGTAATCCTAACTAAGGAGGCTGAGGCAGGAGAATCGCTTGAACCTGGGAGGCAGAAGTTGCAGTGAGCCAAGATTGTGCCACTACTGCACTACAGCCTGGGCGACAGAGCCAGACTCCGTCTCAAAAAAAAAAAAAAAAAAAAAAAGGATCAAATCTCTGGAAGTAAGAGAGGTTAAAGAAAAAAAAAATCTGTGCAATGGCAACAAAAGAGTAAATCAGAAAATACTGTAAAGAAGTGAAATACACAGATCAGCTAGATTTTGCTGCTTTCTATTAACAGCTGTTTTGCAATATAATTCATGTACTGTAAAATCCAGCTTTTTAAAGTACACAGTTCTCTGGTTTTTAATATGTTTACAGAGTTGTACAACCATCAACACTATAATTTTAGAACATTTTCAAAATGTTCAAAACATCCCCCAAACAAACCTTATACCCATTAGCAGTCATTCCCCATCACCTCTCCTTATGCCATAGGCAAGCACTAAAAAGCTTTCTGTCTTTATGGAATTGCCTGTTGTGAACATTTCATATATATGGAATCATACAATATGTTTTTCTTTGTGATTGGTGTTTTTTTACTTAGTCTAATGTTTTCAAGGTTTATCCATGTTGTAGCATTTATCAGCACTTCATTATTTATTGCTGAATAATATTCCATCATGGATATACCACATTTTATCCATTCGTTATGAATATTTGGATTGTTTCCACTTTTGGCAGCTACAAGTAATGTTGCTGTGTATATTTGTGTACAAGGTTTTTTAATGGGTATATATTTTCAGTTCTCTTGGGTATATACCTAGGACTGTAATTGCTGGGTCATACAATAACTGTGTTTAACTATGTTTTGAGGAACTGCCAAACTATTTCAGTCAGGTTTTGCTCTCCCCACACCACATAAACATACTGTCAAGGTCACCAGTGACTTCCATATTACTAGATTCAGTAGTCAATTGTCAGTCTTCTTGATTTATCAGCAGAATGTAATTTCATGAATCATCACTTCCTTTGAAAAATGTTGAAACATTCTGTCATAGAAACAGTGCAAATGTATTGTAGAAAATATAGGCCAGGCGCAGTGGCTCACACCTGTAATCCCAGCACTTTGGGAAGCCGAGGTGGGCAGATCACCTGAGGTAAGGAGTTTGAGACCAGTCTGACCAACACTGGTGAAACCCCGTCTCTACTAAAAGTAGAAAAATTAGCTGGGCATGGTTGTGCATGCCTGTAATCTCGGCTACTGGGAATGCTGGGGCAGGAGAATTGCTTGAACCCGGGAGGTGGAGGTTGCAGTGAGTGGAGATGGTGCCACTGCACTCCAGCCTGGGCAACAGAATGAGACTCCGTCTCAAAGGAAGGAGAGAGGGAGGGAGGGAGGGGAAAGAGGAACGGAAGAAGGAAGAGGGGGAGGGAAGGGCAAGTGAAATATTAAAAATTGAAAATATAGCAAGCAAAATATTAAAAACTAGAACTTCATATTCCCATCCAAAGTTTACCACTAATACCTTATATATCCTTTCTGATCATTCTGTGTGCGTCATACATACATATATTTTTGATCAAAATGAGGTCCTTATTTACACTATTCTGAATCCTGCTTTTAAAGTCAAGAATTGGCCTGGCATACTCATACCTGTAATCCTTACACTTTGGAAGTCTGAGGCAGGAGGATCACTTGAGGCCAGGAGTTCGGCTGGGCAATGGCAATAGACCCCATCTTTGCCAAAAATTTAGCCAGGTGTGGTGGCATGTGCCTGTAGTCCCAGCTACTTGGGAGGCTGAGGTGGAAAGATCACTTGAGCCTAGTGGGTCAAGGTCGTAGTGAACTGTGAACATGCCACTGCATTCCAGTCTGGTTGACAGAGTGAGAACATACCTTTAAAAAAAAAAAAAAAAACAGCAACCTTGAGCTTTCCCTTTCAGTGTTTTCATCTCTAATACTAAAGCTAAATTTACCAATTTGGCCTCAAAACGTTTTTTACCACTGGTTTTTCTAAAGCAGTATTAAATCTAGGTCTATGTGTCTTATCTAGCTGTTATACCCTGTAGAGCTTTTAAGTGAGTGGTTTTGTTTTTAAAATTTTTAATGACATTGATTTAGAGACCAGCTATTTGTCCTGACTCCTTTTCTCCTTGATATACTTTCATTTCACTTCTGAAAGACCACACTTCTGCCTCATTGACTAGTCATTCTCAGTCTCCTTGCTGATCCCTTCCTTCTCCCTAATCTCTTTACATTAAAACACCTGAGGACTCAGTCCACGGTTTGCCTCTTTGCTTATACTCACTCTCTTGGTGATCTCATCCAGTTTCATGGCTTTAAGTACTATCAATGTACTGCCAACTTGCAGTTTTTATCTTTTATTTCCAGGCTTTCTTGAATTCCAGCTGCCTATTTAATATCTCTATTGGATGTCTAAATAGACATCTCAAACCTATGTTCAAGACAGAAATCTTGCTCTTCCCTCAAACTAGCTGCACCCACAGGTTTTCTCATTTCAGCTGATGACAACCGCATCCTACCAGTTGCTCAGGCAAAATCTTGAAGTCATGCTTTACTCCTTGCTCTCACACCTCACACCCAATACAAATTTTGTTGGTTCTGCTTTCAAAATACTCCAAATATGACCACTTTTTATTGTCAGTGCTATCATCAGCCCTGAATTGGATTATTGGTAGCCTCATAAGTTATCTTTCTTATTCCACTTTTGTGCCCCTACTTTCATCTCAGTAAAACAGTCAGAGTGATCCTTTTAAAACATAACCTAAGCCATTCCCCATTACCCTTCAATGTTTCCTCATTTCATGGAAAATAAGAACCACTATCTGAGGACTAGAGATTCAAGGTGAGCAAAGTGGATTAAGCACAGCTCTTAAAATTTCTGTAATATGCTATTGTAGCCCTCTACTTGTCTTTAGATAAAGAAGTTGAAATTTTTGCCTCAAAGATGATGGTTGAACTGAGATCTGAAGAAAAAGCAGGAATTAAATAAGAAAAGGGACAGATTAAAATAACTTTCCCAGCAGGGGAAACAGCAAACTTAAAGGTTCTAAGGCACAAGAGAGCATGGCATATATGAAGAACCAAAAGAGTGGCCAGATATCCAGACATCTAGAAGGTCTAGCTAAGTACTTAGGAAGTAGTATAAACAGAAAAGAAAAAATTGTGGCCTCTTTTTTAAAAAAATGATTTTAGTTAATTTTAAAGACTGGAAGAAGAAGAGATTAAATTAGTTATATTTATAAATACTTGGAATAGTACCTGACACGTAGTAATCATCAATGTTTGGTTAAATAAATCCTAATAAATATATTGCATCTACCTTTTTTGACTTAAATTTAGCCTCCTTTTTTATTTTTCTGCTCCTTATTAAAGCTTTGCTGCTCATGAAAGTCATCAAACACCTGTATTTCTTCTGATGTTGTATTTCATGATACTGAAATGCGCCTTGAATACTTCACAACATTATTCTTCATAATTTGTCCAATGCTGCTGGTCTCTTACTTAACTTTATTCTGAAATTCAGTCAAATTAGAGTTTTATCTTTTCTGCAAGAGCATTCTAAAGCTGCTGTTGTCAAGGTCTCCAATAACTATCATATTGCTAAATCTAATGGTCAATTCTTAGTCTCTTACTTGACCTGTCAATAGCATTTGACACTTTTGATCATTTTGTCTTCACTGCAATTTGTTCTTCACTCTGCTTCAGGGACATAATAATCTTTTTTTTCCTCATACCTCGTTGACTGCTTCTTCTTAGTCTCTTTGGCTAGTTCCTCCCCTTCTCTATGATCTCTTAATGTTGGAGTTATTTAGAGCTCAATCTTTTTATGTCTCTTATTTTACATCTATATGATCTTACCTAGTTCTCATGGATCAAAATACCGTCTATATTCAGGAACTCCTCTTTTGACTCCAAAATTGTATATCCAATTGCCTTCTTGACATTTCTACTTGGAAGTCTAATGGGCATCTCAAAATCAACACAGGCCAAAATCAGCTTCTGGTTATTACCCACCCAAAATTTGCCTCAACCAAGATCTTCTGTATCTTAGTTAATGATAAATTCAGGCTTCCACTTGATCAGGTGGAAATCCTTTGGAGTCCACCTTAATTTTTCCTTTGTCTCGTGCCTTACAACCAGTCTGTTAGGAAATTCTCTTGGTTTACATTCAAATTATACCTGGAATCCGACCATTGCTCACCACCTCTACTGTGATTAGCTTGCATTATATCTCTCATCTAGATTATTGAATAATCAACTAACTGTCTCTCTGCTTCTACCAGTGTCCTACAGCTTGTCCTCAGCACAATAGCCAAGTGATTTTGTTAAAATTTAAGGAAGGAGAAAGGACCAAAAACTCAATAGAGAAATGAGAAACGAAACATACACAGAGAAAATTCACCCTAAAAAAATAAAAATGACCTTAAAACATAGGGAAAATGTTTAAATTCACTTGAAACTAGGCGTATGCAAATTAAAACCACTCAGATACCATTTATCACTTTCCAGACTCCATGAAATGTAAAAATATGGCAATACATTCTGTTGGGAAGGCTGTGGGAAAATAGGTACATTCATACATTGCTGATGGGAATGCAAAAGTTTATTAGTTGCAATATTGTTCTTAGTTGCAAAGTATTGGAAGCAACCTAAATTCCCATCCACAGGAGAGTGATTTAATAAACTATAGCATGTCATGCAGTGGAATATTAAATAGGTATAAGAAAAGAATGAGGAAGAGCTCTATGAACTAATATGGAGTGATTTCCAAGATGGACTGTCAAATGAAAAAAGCAAAGCACAAAAGAGTATCCATAGCATGCTACCTTCATGTAGGAAAGAAAGGATATAGAAAGTAAATAGTTATCTGCTCATTTGTTCAAAAGAAATACAGGAAAGATAAAATACTAGTAAGGCTGATTACCTAGAGGGAAAGGAATAAAGAAGGAAATGAGGTTAGCAAGGATGAAGTACAGTAACATTTCTTTGATTATATCTTTCTGTGTAGCTCTGACTCTTGGAATCATAATTATGTCTCACATACCCTTCACATAATCCCAAATAAATAAATGATAAAACCAACCAAGAAGTGTGGGAAACCCTAAATGGAATACAAATACTAACAAATGAAAGTAAATGTATTAAGAATGAATAACAACCACAGTTAAGCAAGTGAGGAAGAAAATAACTAGGTAACTCTAAGTATCTTTTCTGGGCAATAAAAGGCTAATGACAAAAAGAATGGTACTAAAGTGCTGTAATCTAGTTAGTAAAAGGGTTTCTTGCAGGGGTATGAATTAGTGCTACTGAAGCTACCTTTACATGTACATTAGAATTGAACAACTAAGTACATATATTGTAGATAATAAGAGCCAGGTTTCTCACTGTTGGAGAAAGACTTATTAAAAGAAAGGAGGTAGGCCAAAATACACCCTGTAATGTTGGATTGGAGTAAGAGGTGTCAGTATAAATTAATGGTTCTTAATATAAATGTAGACAGATTAAGAAATATACATGTGACTATATCTGTGGCATAGTATATACATTTATACATTTCCTAACTCTTAAAGGGCCTAGAAGCAGTGAAACTTCAGAGTAATGAGCACATTTAACACCAGATCTTGTTTTTTATCTTCTTTTTTTACTTTAAACTTTTTATTTTTAATTTTTGTGAGTACATAGTAGGTGTATATATTCATGGAATACATGAGATATTTTAATATAGGCATGTAATGAGAAATAATCACATCATGAAGAATAGGGTACCCACCTTTTCAAACATTTATCCTTTGTGTTACAAGAAATCCAGTTACACTCTTCTAGTTATTTTAAAATGTTCAATCAACTTATTGTTGACTAGAGTCATGCTATTGTGCTATCAAATAGTAGGTCTTATTCATTCTTTCTATTTTTATGTATCCATTAACAATCCCTACCTCCCCCTCCAGTGCCCAAGTACCCTTCCCAGCCTCTGATAACTATCCTACTATCTCCATGAGTTCAATTGTTTTGATTTTTAGATCTCATAAATAAGTGAGAACATGCAATGTTTGTCTTTCTGTGTCTGGCTTATTTCACTTAACATAATAACCTCCAGTTCCATCCATGTTGTTGCAAATGACAGGGTGTCATTCTTTTAATTACTGAATAGTACTCCATTGTGTAAATGCACTACATTTTATTTATCCATTCATTTGTTGATAGACACTTAGGTTGCTTCCAAATCTTGCCTATTGTGAACATTGTGGCAACAAACATGGAAGTTCAGATATCTCTTCAATATACTGATTTCTTTTTTTGGAGGGTACATACCCAGCAGTGGGATTTCTGGATATATGGTAGCTCTATTTTTATTTTTTTCAGGAACCTCCAAACTGTTCTCAATAGTAGTTGTGCTAATGTACATTCCCACCAACAGTGTAGGAGAGTTCCCTTTCTCCACATCCTAGCCAGCATTTGTTATTGCCTGTCTTTTGGATAAAAACCATTTTAACTGGGGAGAAATGATATCTCATTGTAGTTTTGACTTTCATTCTCTGATGATCAGTGATGTTGAACACATTTTCATATGCCTGCTTGCTATTTGTATGTCTTCTTTTGAGAAATGTGTATTCAAATCTTTTGCTCATTTTTTGATCAGATTTTTTTTTCCTGTTGAGTTGTTAGAGCTCCTTACGTATTCTGGTTTTTAATCCCTTGTCAGATGGGTAGTTTGCAAATATTTTGTCCCATTCTGGAGGTTGTCTCTTCACTTTGTTGATTGTTTCCTTTGCTGTGCAGAAGCTTCTTAACTTGATGTGATCCCATTTGTCCGTTTTTGCTTTGGTTGTCTGTGTTTGTGGGGTACTACTCAAGAAATTTTTGCTCAGACAAATGTCCTGGAGATTTTCATCAATGTTTTCTTATAGTAGTTTCATAGTTTGAGGTCTTAGATTTAATCCTTTAGTCTACTTTGTATATGACTTTTGTATATGGCGAGAAATAGGAGTCTAGTTTCATTCTTCTGCATGTGGATATCTAGTTTCCCAGAACTATTTACTGAAGAGAATGTCTTTTCCCCAGTATATTTTCTTGGCACCTTTGTCAAAAATGAGTTCACTGTAAATGTGTGGATTCGTTTCCAGGTTCTCTGTTCTGTTCCATGGGTCTGTCTGGTTTTATGCCAATGCCATGCTGTTTTGGTTATTATAGTTCTGTGGCATAATTTAAAGTCAGGTAATATGATTCCTCCAGTTTTGTTCTTTTTGCTTAAGATAGCTTTGGCTCTTCTTGGTCTTTTGTGGTTCCATATAAGTTTTTGGATAGTTTTTTTTTCTATTTCTGTGATGAATGTCATTGGTACTTTGATAGGGATTGCATTGAATCTATAGATTGCTTTAGGTAGTTTGGACTTTTTTTTTTTTTTTTTTTTTGAGACGGAGTCTCGCTGTGTCTCCCAGGTTGGAGTGCAGTGGCGCGATCTCGGCTCACTGCAAGCTCCGCCTCCCAGGTTCATGCCATTCTCCTGCCTCAGCCTCCCAAGTAGCTGGGACTACAGGCGCCCGCCAACACGCCCGGCTAATTTTTTGTATTTTTAGTAGAAATGGGGTTTCACCGTGTTAGCCAAGATGGTCTCGATCTCCTGACCTTGTGATCCGCCCGTCTCGGCCTCCCAAAGTGCTAGGATTACAGGCGTGAGCCAGGACATTTTTAACTATATTGATTCTTTTGCTCCATGAACGTGGAATTTTTATTTTGGTGTTCTCTTCAATTTCTTTCATCAGTGTTTTATAGTTTTTATTATAGAGGTCTTTCACTTCTTTGATTAATTCCTAGATATTAATTTTATTTGTAGCTATCGTAAATGGGATTACTTTTTTCATATTGTTCACTGTTTGCCTATAGAAATGCTACTGATGTTGATTTTTTATGTTGTTTTTGTATCCTGGAACTTTACTGATTTTTTAAATTAGTTCTAATAGTTTTTTGGTGGAGTCTTTAAGCTTTTTGACTATAAGATCATATCATCTGCAAACAAAAATAATTTGACCTCTTCCTGTCCAATCTGGATGCCCTTTATTTCTTTCTCTTGGCTGACTTCTCTAGCTAGAACTTCCAGTACTATGCTGAATAACAGTGGTGAAAGTGGGCATCCTTATTGTGTTCCAGATCTTAGAGGAAAGGCTTTCAGTTATTCCCCATTCAGTATGATACTAGCTATGGGACCATCATATATGGCTTTTTTAAATGTTGAAGTGTGTTCCTTCTATCCCAAGTTCTTTGAGGGTTTTTGTCATGAAAGATGTTGAATTTTATCAAATACTTTTTCAGTATCAATTGAAATGATCATATCATTTTTATCTTTCATTCTGTTGATATGATGTGTCATGTTAATCGATTTGTGTATGTTGTACCATCCTTGCATCCCAGGGATAAATCCCACTTAGTCATGATGAATTATCTTTCTAATATATTGTTGGATTTGGCTTGTTAGTATTTTGATGAGTATTTTTGCATCAATATTCATCAGAGATATTGGCCTGTAGTTTTCATTTTTCATGTGTCTTTGTCTGGTTTTGGTATCAGGGAAATACTGGCCTCATAGAATGAGTTTGGAAGTATTCCTTCCTCCTCATTTTTTCAGAATAGTTTGAGTGAGATTGGTATTAGTTCTTCTCTCGATGCTTGATAGAATTGAGTAGTGAAGCCATTGGGTCTTGGGCTTTTCTTTACCGGAAGACTTTTTATTATGACTTTGATCTTACTATTTTTATTGGTCTTTTCAGATTTTGGATTTCTTCATAGTTCAATCTTGGAACATTATATGTGTCTAGGAATTTGTTCATGTTCTCAGGTTTTCTAATTTATTGGCATATAGTTGCTCATAGTAGCCTCTAATGATCCTTTGAATTTCTGCAGTATCAGTTGTAATGCTCCTTTTTCATTTCTGATTTTATTAATTTGTGTCTCCTTTTTTCTTCTTAGTCTGGCTAAAGGTTTGTAAATTTTGTTTAACTTTTCAAAAAACCATTTTGTTTCATTGATCTTTTGTATTTTCTCTATTTCAATTTCATTTATTTCTGCTCTTTATTATTTCTTTTCTTCTACTAATTTTGGGTGAGGTTTGCTCTTGCTTTTCTAGTTCTTTAAGATGCATTGTTAGATTGTTTATTTGAAGTTTTCCCCTTTTTGATGTAGGCACTTATAGCTATAAACTTCACTCTTAGTACTGCCTTTGTTGTATCCTGTAAGTTTTGGTATGTTGTGTTTCCATTATCACTTGTTTCAAGAAATTTTTCAATTTCCTTTTTAATTTCTTCATCAACCCACTGGTCATTCTGGAGCATATTGTTTAATTTCCATGTATTTGTATAGTTTTCAAGGTTCTTCTTGTTATTAATTTCTAGTTTTATTCCATTGTGATCAGAGAAGATGCTTGATATTATTTCAATTTTTTTGAATGTTTTAAGACTCGTTTTGTTACCTAAAATATGGTATATCCTTGAGATTTATTCATGTATTGAGGAGAAGCATGTGTATTCTGCAGCCGAGGGATGAAATGTTCTATAATTATCTGTAAGTCCATTTGGTCAATAGTGCAGATTAGGTCTGATGTTTCTTTGTTGATTTTCTGTCTGAAAGATATGTCCAATGCTGAATATTGGGTGTTCAAGTCTCCAGCTATTATTGTATTAGGGTCTATCCCTCGCCTTAGCTCTAATAATATTTGGTTTATATATCTGGGTGCTCAAGGCATGCATATTTAAAATTGTTATATCCTCTTGCTGAATTGACCTCTTTATCATTATAGAATGACCTTCCTTGTCTCTTCTGATAGTTTTTGTCTTGTAATATATTTTGTATGATATAAGTATAGCTACTCATGCTCTTTTTGGGTTTCCATTGGAATGGAATATCTTTTTCCATCCCTTTATTTGTAGTCTATATGTGTCTTTATAGTTGAATTGTGTTTCTTGTAGGCAACAGATTAATGAATATTGTTTTTTCATCCACTCAGCCATTCTCTTTTAATTGGAGAGTTTAGTCCATTTACATTCAATGTTATTATTGATAAGTAAGAGCTTACTCTGGCCATTTTGTTATTTGTTTTCTGGTCTTCTCCTCCTTCTTTCTTTCCTCCTGTCTTCCTTTAGTGAAGGTAGTTTTTTCTGGTGATATGATTTAGTTTCTTGCTTTTTATTTTTTGTGTATTCATTGTATGTTTTTTGTTTGAGATCACCGTGAAGCTTGCAAATACCATCTTTTAAACCATTATTTCAATCCGATAACTACTTAACACTGTGTGTATAAACAAACAAAGAAGCAAAAACAAAGCTAATAAAAAGTATATGCCTTAACTTCATCCTTCAACTTTTTAACTTTTTCCTGTTTCTATGTATATCTTATTGTACTATGTCATTAAAAGTTATTGCTATTTGTGATTGGTTCATTGGTCAGTCTTTCTTTTTAGGATAAGAGTAGTTTACATACCACAGTTACAGTGTTAGAATATTCTGTGTTTTTTCTGTGTACCATTACCAGTGTGTTTTGTACCCTTAGATGATTGCTTATTGCTTGTTAATGTCCTTTTCTTTCTGACTGAGGTACTCCCTTTAGCATTGTTGTAGAATAGACCTGGTGTTGATGAAAGCCCTCAGCTTTTGTTTGTCTGGGAAAGTCTTTATTTCACCTTCATGTGTGAAGAATATTTTTGCTGAATATACTATTCTAGGTTAAAAAGTTTTTTCCTTCATCATGTTAAATATGTCATGCCACTCTCTCTTGGCCTATAAGTTTTCCACTGGAAAGTCTGCTGCCAGATATATCGGAGCTCCATTGTATGTTATTTTTTTTTTCTCTTGCTGCTTTTAGAAATATTTCTTTATACTTGATCTTTGGGAGTTTGATTATTAAATGCCTTGAGGTAGTCTTCTTTGGAGTAAATCTGCTCATTGTTCCATAACATTCTTGTATATGGATATTGATATATTTTTCTAGGTTTGGGAAGTTCTCTATTATTATCCCTTTGAATAGGCTTTCTAGTTCTCTCTCTCTCTACCTCCTCTTTAAGGCCAATAACTCTTAAATTTACCCTTCTGAGGCTATTTTCTAGATCCTGTAGGTATGCTTTATTGTTTTTTATTCTTTTTTATCTCCTCTGACTGTATTTTCAAATAACAGGTCTTTAAGCTCACTAATTCTTTCTTCCGCCTGATCAATTCTGCTATTAAAATATTCTGATGCATTCTTCAATATGCCAACTGCATTTTTTAGCTCCAAAATTTCTGCTGAAAAAATTGTAATTCTTTTAAATTATTTCAATCTCTTTGTTAAACATATCTGATCAAATTCTGAATTCCTTCTCTGTGTTATCTTGAATTTCTGTGAGTTTCCTTAACACAGCTATTTTAAATTCTGTGTCTGAAAGGTCATATATCTCCGTTTCTTCAGGATTAGTCCTTGGTACCTTATTTAGTTCATTTGGTGAGGTCATGATTTCCTGCATGGTGTTGATGCTAGTAGATGTTCATTGGTGTCTGGGCATAGAAGAGTTAGGTATTTATTATAGTCTTCACTCTCTGGGCTTGTTTGTACCTGTCCTTTTTGGGAAAGTTTTTCAGATATTCTAAAGGACTTAAGTGTTGTGCTCTAAGTTGTATCTGTTTTATGGGGCACCCCAAGCTCAGTAATTCTGTGGTTCTTGCAGACTCATAGAGGTACTGCCTTGACGGTCTTGGACAAATCCAGAATTCTCTGGATTACTAGGCAGAGGCTCCTGTTCTCTTTCCTCACTTTCTTCCAAAGAAGCAGAGTGTTTCTCTCTGTCCTGAACCACCTAAAGCTGGGGATGAAGTGACACAAGCACCTCTGTGGCCACCACCACTATGACAATGCTGTGTCATACCTGAAGCTAGCATAGCACTGGATCTCACTCAAGATACTACCCCCTGGCTATTGTCTATGTTCACTTAAGGCCCTGGGACTCTACAATCAGCAGGTGGCAAAGCCAGCCAGGCCCGCCTCCTTCCCTTTAGGTTGGAAAGTTCCCTCAGGCCCTGCGTAGGTCCAGAGGTGCCACCTGGAAGTCAGGGACTAGGGTAAAAAACCTTAGACATCTACCTGGTGTTCTATTATACTGTGACTGAACCAGCATTCAAACTACAAAACACAGTGTTTCCCACTCTTCCTTCCCCTTTCCAAAGGCGGAGGAGCCTCATGCTGTAGCCACTGCCACCACAAGCCATGGAGAGTACTGCTGGAGGACCTCCAATGTTTTCTTAAGGCCCAAGAGCTTGTCAGTTAGCTGTGGTGAATCTTGCCCAGCCTGAGAATCACCCTTAATGGCAGGGGGCTCCCTTCCGACACAGGGCAGGTCCAAGGATGCCATCTAAGAGTCAAATCCTGGAATCGGGGAACCCAAGAGCATGCTTGGTTCTTGATCCGCCTGTTGCCATGCTGGTACCTAAGGTGCAAGACAAAGTCTCCTTTACTTTTCCTTCTGCTTTTCTCAAGCAGAGGAGTTTCATCCAATAACCACCATAGCTGGTAATGTGCTGAGTCTCACCTGAAGCCAGCAAGTCTCAGTGGCTCACCTAAAGCCCTCAACATAGTACCTGGGTATCACTGCTAGTAATTCAGGACTGAAGGGCTTTTCAGTTAGCAGGTGATGAATGCTGCCAGGACTGGGTCCTTCCCTTCAAGGCAGCAGGTTCCCTTCTCATCCAGGGTGTGTTTAGAAATGTCATCCAGGAGCTAGGGTCTGGAACAAGGGTCTCTGAACTCTGACCTGTGCCCCATCCTTCTGTGGCTGAGCTGGTATACAAGATACAAGACAAAGTCCCTCCTACTATTCCCTTTCCTCTCCTCAGGCAGAAGGAAGGGGTCTCTTTTGGAGCTGTGATCTGTGCACCCTGTGGTTAGGGGAGAGGTTATGTCAGCACTCCTTTAGCCACCCCAGCTGGTGTCTCCATAGGTCACATGTCCCCCAAGTCTACTGTTTCTTGGCCCAGTTCAGCACATGGACTCACCTGTGAGTTGTAGTCCTTATAGCCTGGACTGCCTTTCAAGTTTACTAAGCAACTCAGAATACTGTAGCTCTCCATGGCAAGGTTTGCATTAACTCAAGTTTCGACCTCTGGGATGGGTGATTCCCCTCTGGCTAGGGCTGGTTTAAGTTCTCCCTCCATGGGTGGGCATCAGGTGAGTTTCGTTTTCTCCAACAAGACAGCACTGAGTTCAATGCCCCGCAATTGCTGTGCTCTCCCTCCTCAGCACCCAGAGATGCCCTCCACACAACCTGGCCTCTACACCACCTGGCTGCTGTTGGGGGGTTTGGGGAGGGGTGGTGTCAGTGATTCAAGGCTTTTTTTTCTATGTCTTCAAGGCCTCTTTCAGCAGTACATAGTTAAAACCAGGTACTGAGTGCTCACCTGATTTTTGGTTCTTATGAAGGTGTTCTTTCTGTGTAGATAGTTGCTAAATTAGTGACCTTGTGGGGGCAGCAGGGACCATTGGTGGAGCCGTCTATTCTGCCATCTTGCTCTGCCTCAAGATCTTGGCTTCTAAACAACATTCTCAACATGAGAAACCAGTGCTTTTTGGAGAAGCTGATTTCGGAGCTGAGCAAGGAAAATATAAGATGAGCCTAGAGCATCTTGTGATGTCAGAAGGTAATTAAATATTTTGTAATAAATGGGGGCTTATCAAAGAAACAGAGGAGCCAACCTAAAGAAGTTACTAACAACCAAAGTTGGAATAATTTGAACAATAAAATAAATAGTATTTGACCTCTAGAATAAAATATACCTATTAATCTATACCAATATGAGACTGAAGCACTGCCAACTATCCCAAGAGGGAAACTTTTTAATCTATACCAATATAAAAATCAAGTAAATAAATGAGGGGAGAGGAAGCATTCTTCATTACAGTTGAATTCCAATTAATAATTGTTGATGGAAAGAGAAAATAGAGATTCATCACTGCAAATGCCCTAGTAATAGTAGCTGCAGACAAGATTCACCAATGGATGCTAAAATGAGTGGGCAAAAGTTCGAGGAGAAATAGGATTTCCATAGCCTCCAAAGAAGATACTTATTAAATATAAACAGAAAGATAGCAGCTTTGTAGCAGAGAAACCTAGCAGATACCAACAAAAATGATCAAGATAAGCATCAATAATAAAACATTACATGCTCATGGATAGGAAGAATCAATATCGTAAAAATGGCCGTATTGCCCAAGGTAATTCATAGATTCAATGCTATCCCCATTAAGCTACCACTGAGTTTCTTCACAGAATTGGAAAAAACTACTTTAAAGTTCACATGGAACCAAAAAAGAGCCCACATTGCCAAGACAATCCTAAGCAAAAAGAACAAAGCTGGAGGCATCACGCTACCTGACTTCAAACTATACTACAAGGTTACAGTAACCAAAACAGCATGGTACTGGTACCAAAACAGATATATAGACCAATGGAACAGTACAGAGGCATCAGAAATAACACCACACATCTACAACCATCTGATCTTTGACAAACCTGACAAAAACAAGAAATGGGGAAAGATTCCCTATTTAATAAATGGTGCTGGGAAAACTGGCTAGCCATATGTAGAAAGCTGAAACTGGATCCCTTACTTACACCGTATTCAAAAATTCACTCAAAATGGATTGAAGACTTAAATGTAAGACCTAACACCATAAAAACCCTAGAAGAAAGTCTAGGCAATACCATTCAGGACATAGGCATGGGCAAAGACTTCATGACTAAAACACCAAAAGCAATGGCAACAAAAGCCAAAATAGACAAATGGGATCTAATTAAACCAAAGAGCTTCTGCACAGCAAAAGAAACTCATCAGAGTGAACAGGCAACCTACAGAATGGGAGAAAATCTTTGCAATCTACCCATCTGATAAAGGGCTAATATCCAGAATATACAAAGAACTTAAACAAATTTCCAAGAAAAAAACAAACAACTCCAACAAAAAGGGGGCAAAGGATATGAACAGACACATCTCAAAAGAATACATTTATGCAGCCAACAAACATATGAAAAAATGCTCATCATCATTGGTCATCAGAGAAATGCAAATCAAAACCACAATGAGATACCATCTCATGCCAGTTAGAATGGCGAGCATTTAAAAGTCATGAAACAACAGATACTGGAGAGGATGTGGAGAAATAGGAACACTTTTACACTGTTGGTGGGAGTATAAATTAGTTCAACCATTGTGGAAGACAGTGTGGTGATTCCTCAAGGATCTAGAACTAGAAATACCATTTGACCCAGCAATCCCATTACTGGGTATATACCCAAAGGATTTTAAATCATGCTACTATAAAGACACATGCACACATATGTTTCTTGCGCCACTATTCACAATAGCAAAGATTTGGAGCCAACCCAAATGTCCATCAATGATAGACTGGATTAAGAAAATGTGGCACATATACACCATGGAATACTATGCAGCCATGAAAAAGGATGAGTTCATGTCCTTTGCAGGAACATGGATGAAGCTGGAAACCATCATTCTAAGCAAACTGTCACAAGGAGAGAAAACCAAACACCGCATGTTCTCACTCATAGGTGGGAATTGAACAACGAGAACACATGGACACACAGAGGGGAACATCACACAGCAGGGCCTGTCAGGGGTTGGGGGGCTGGGGTAGGGATAGCATTAGGAGAAATACCTAATGTAAATGACGAGTTGATGGATGCAGCAAACCAGCATGGCACATGTATACCTATGTAATAAACCTGCATGTTGTGCACATGTACCCTAGAACTTAAAGTATTAAAAAAAAAAATGTCATGCTGCCTTTTGATGGTACCACAGGCTGGACGACAGGGTCAAGATGCCAGCCCCCTAAGTCCATTATCAGAAAGAAACTTGGGGCCAGCCCGTCTCCTAAAAGCTGAGTATGTTGCACAGATTGCTGGTTTTGAATAGGATATTCTAATAAACATTGCTATTATTTAAAAAAAGACATATCAACATCATCAATACCTTAATATGATGCATAATGAAAGATTTTTTGTGCATATTGTGGTAGTCTTGCCAAAAATACAAAGCCTTCTGTTATGGACTGAATGTTTTTGTCCCCCCTAAAATTCATAGATTGAAGCATTAACCCCCAGTATAACTGTATTTGGAGATGATGCCTCTATGAAAGTAATTAAGGTTATAGTTACTTGAGATCATAAAGGTGGGACCTTAATCCAATAGTATAATATTAGAGTCCTTATAAGAAAGGGCATCAGACAGCTCATTTTCTAATTCCCCACCGCTCCATGCCTGCACACAGAGGAAAGGCCATGTAAGGAAACAGTGAGAAGGTAGGCATCTGCAAGCGGGGAAAAGAGCCCTCACCACAAACGGATCAGCTGAACTCTTGATCCTAGCTTTCAGAACCGTAAGAAATAAATTTCTGTTGTTTAAACCATCCAATCCGTGTTTCATTGTTATGGTAGCTTGAGCAGACTATTACAATTTCCAATCATGAGAAAAATGCTTTAACAAATAAACCCAAATTGAGGGGCATTCTACAAAATGGCTGATTAACAATCTTCCAAGTGTCAAGTCATGAAAGATAAGGAAAAAATTGAAGAACTGTTGCCGACTGGAAATGACTAAGAAAGGAAAACAAAAACAGTATATGACTCTGGATAGGATGCCAGACAGAAAAAGAACACATAGGAAAAAAATGTGTGAAAATCAAATAAGGTCTGTAGTTTAGTTAATAATATCGCACCAAACGTTGATTTCCTTTTCTTCAAAAAACTTTTATTTTAGGTGCAGGGGTACATGTACAGCTTTATTATATGGTAACCTTGTGTCATGGGAGTTTGATGTACAGATTATTTCGTCACCCAGGTGCTGAGACTAGTACCTAATAGTTCTTTTTTCTGTTCCTCTCTTTCCTCCTACCTTCTCTCCTGGTAGGCCCCAGTATCTGTTGTTTCCTCTTTGTTTCCACGTGATCTCATCATTTAGCTCCCATTTATAAGTGAGAACATGTGGTATTTGGTTTTCTGTTCCTGCGTTAGTTTGCTGAGGATAATGGCCTCTAGCTCCATCCATGTTTCTCAAAAAACATGATCTCATTCTTTTTTGTAAACTATGCTTCTGACAAAGATCTAATATCCAGCACCTATAAGGAACTTAAACAAATTTATAAGAAAAAAAACCCATTAAAAAGTAGACAAAGTACATGATCAGACACTTTTCAAAAGAAGACATACATGCGGGCCACAAGCATATGAAAAAAAGCTCAATATCACTGAGCAGTAGAGAAATGCAAATCAAAACCACAATGAGATACCATCTTACATCAGTCAGAATGACTATTATTCAAAAGTCAAAAAATAACAGATGCTGGTGAGGTTGTGGAGAAAAGGCAATGCTTATACACTGTTGGTGAAAGTGTAAAGTAGTTCAATCCTTATGGAAAGCAGTATGGTGATTCCTCAAAGAGCCAAAATCGAATTACCATTTGACCCAGCAATCCCATTACTGGGTATATACCCAAAGGAATAGAAATCATTCTATCATAAAGACACATGCATATGTATGTTCATTGTAGCACTATTCACAATAGCAAGGACATGGAAGCAATCTAAATGCCCATCAATGACAGACTGGATAAGGCAAATGTGGTATGTGTACACCATGGAATACTATGCAGCCATAAACAATTTCCTGTTTTGATGTTGGGTGTTTACATTAGGGAAAGTACAGTGAGGGATATAAGGAAGCTCTGTATTACGTTTGCAATTTTTATGTAGGTATAAAATTCGATGAAAATAAAAAGGTTTAAAGCAAAGTCTTAAAAATATAAATCACAGCAAGTCACTCCCCTGTTCAGACTCTCTAGTGATGTTTTATCTCACTCAAAGTAGATGGCAAATTCTACACAATGACCTAAAAGGCCTACATTAATTTTCCCCATCTGTCTGTCCTCTCTAACCTCATCTACTAGTCCTCTGTCACCACTGAACTTCAGTAAACTAGCTGCTTGCTGGTTGTTAAATATAGCAGGCATATTCCCAGTCTTTGCATTGATTTTTTCCCCCTCACTCTCTGGAAAGTTCCTCTTCTAGCTAGCTGCATGGCCTGCTCCCTGTCCCCACCACTTTGTTTAATATTACACTCACTAGCTTCTTAGAATCTCGTATTCTAACATTTTTTCCTACAGCGCTTATCATTGTTCATATTCTAAATAGTTTACTTATTTAATTCTATTATTGTTTGTTGATACACACTAGAGTTTAAGACACACAAAGGGAGAGACATTTGACTGTTTTGTTCACTGATGAATTACCACTGAACATAAATGCAGAAGGCATAAATAGTCACATGAAGGCTGCTTCACCTCCAATGTCTCATTCTAGTTTTAAGACCAGGAAGAAGGAAGTAATAAAGGAAGAAATATGTTAGAAAAGCAAAACCTCTTTTCATGCGTCATTGGATCACTGGCCAAAACTGTGTTACATAGCCACCTCTAATTGCAATGAAGGCTAGGAACATTACTATTCAACAAACAAAATTTAGTTTTTGTTGGTAAGAAAGCAAGGGGGCAAATTACTGGATAGCTACTGATAATATCAGTATATCTAGACACTTGTAACAAAAGGGTTAGGTTATAAAGACAAAGAATGAATACAAAAACTATTCAGACCTACTCCGCCAAAACTAGTGTTACTTAAAAGATAGCCAAAAACTGCCAGGAATTTTTACTTTTGTTTTAATAATACTGAGGGAAAACAGCACTTTTACAGAGTTCAGAGGGAAAAAACGTAGATCAAGGATTTTCTACACATGCACTTTTTGAATGATGTATAAGATGAAGGAAAAGATATTTTCAAGTATTCAAGAACTCAGAAAAGATACTCACCTTTTCTTTTTAAATAAAATTTTTAAAATATGTACTATAACAGCTGCTTATTATGTATTTTTTAAGAAAACTATTTCTACCTCTGATGGTTTTGTAATATGTCAGCCTGGCTAGGGTGAACTACATTTCCCAGAATTCACTTTTTTGTATATTTCTAGTTAGGGTGGGCTGCAAGAGACACTACTGTGGAAAACCTGGAAGGTAAAAGTGAAGCAGCAGCCATTTTGTAGCTGACCCGTATTGTCTCTGATCTACTGACTCATCTCATTGGCATGAAGCAGTGGCCACATCTGAAACTACTCCATCATCCCCTGGATCTTTCTTCAGCTTCTCTTACTCCTTGGCCAGGTAATTGTGTTTAGCTCTGTAACAAAGACTTCTGGCTACTGGAGCCCACCCATACCATTAATGTCAGAGACACTAAAAACCAACATAGGTTTCAATAGGTCCTCATGAGCTTCAGGTTATTCCTCTGTGTTCCAGCGTGTTCTTGCTCGCTCACACTACATTTATCTTTTTTTAATTCCTGACTTCTTATATTATGGACTCCAAGTTCTAGGATCAGGAGGAAAGACAATAGCTCCTCACAAGGAGGCAAGAAGTTCAGATCCCTGGAGCAAATTACTTTACACACACATACAGACTCACACACATACTCCACATTTTAGTGATTCTGCTCCTCTGATTGAAACGTAACTATACACTATTCTGAATTTACAAAGAAATTATCGCATAATTTCTTCTAACAGTTTTTAGAATTTCGCCTTTCAAACAAAGACTGGTCTTTAATTCACCTCATACTGATTTTATGTGTATAGTGTGAATGAAGAGTCCAGTTTCATTTCTTTCCATATGGTTAACCATTGTCCCAACATTCTTAATTGAAAAGTCTACCTTTTCTCAACTGATCTGTAATACCAAATTTATTATATGGCAAGTGTCCATATATGTCTGGGTTTATTTTCTAGTCTTTCTCTTAGGTTCCATTGGTATATCTATTTCTCAGTGCACACTTATGTCTTAATTACAATAGCTTTAACATAAATCTTCGCAGATACCCTATTTATTCTTTTTCCGCAGCAGTATCTTGACATTCTTGATCCTTTGTACTTTTATACAAATTTTAGAATTATCTTGTCAAATTCCATAATGCCATCTGTTGGCTATGTATTGGGGTTGAATGGAAACAATAGATTAATGCAGAGGTAATTGATACATATACAATGTTGAGAGATGCAATCTCTAAGCATGGTACATTTCTTCATTTATTTAAGTCTTTTGTAATGTCTTTCTAAGTTTTACTTTAAACTCTAATATTTTCTTTAAAAGGTCTTGTACAACTTTTTGGAGATTTATTTTTAGTTTCTTAATCTTTTGATATATTAAAAACAGTAATTAAAATATTTTTAGTGTGAAGTGTAATATATAACTCTAAAAGTGCTTAGTATAAATATAATATATATATTGTGTAATTTTTCATTCAATATTCTAGATTCATCCATCAGTTTCTTTCTGTTGCCATGTGATATATTATTGTATGAATATACCACCATTTCCATTTTATTGTTGATAGACATTAGGGCTTTTTATCTTCTATTCCCTTAGCCTAACTATCCTTGTGCCAATATTGTGTTGTCATGATTACCCTAGCCTCATTATGTCTTTATATTTGATAGATCAAGTCTTTTACCTTATACTTCACCAAGGATATATTGGCTATTTCCAGTTCTTTGAATTTCCATATAAATTTTAGAATTGTTGTCTTACACATACACAATATTGTGCTTTTGATTATGATGATATTTAAAACTATAAATCAATTTTGGGTGAAAATGACATTTTTACCAATCTTTTCCATCCATCATATTTATCTATTTATTTTGGTCTATCTTAATTTCTCTCAGTAAAATTTTGTGGTTTTCTCCATAGAATTCTTACACATTTGTTATTAGATTTATTCTTTTATTTGCTTGATTAAAGTATTTTTATAATATCTGGCTTCAATTTTGTTTTCTACCTGATTATTGTTAGCATATCAAAATATAATTTACATTTGTATATTGACTATGTACCCAATAACCTTGCTAAACTCTCTCATTCTAGATAATTCATCTCATTAGATTAAACTGGATAAACCAATTCTAACAGATTGGTTTACCTGCAGATGTTTTGGATTTTCTACATATACAATTACATATTATATGTAACGAATGATGGTTTTGTTTATCCCTTTCTCATCCTTTTATCTTATCTCTCTTTTTTTGTCTTATTCTCTTGCTGTAGAATCTCTAGTATGATACTAAATTATTATTTCCTTCTCAATATCAGAGAGAAATTTTTCAACATTTCCCCATGAAGAATGATGTTTGTTGTATGTTTTTTTGTAAATACTCTCTTTTACTGTGTATTGGTCCGGGTTCTACAGAAAAACAGAACCAATAGAGTGTGTATGTGTATGTGTATGCGCGTGTGAAGAGAGAGAGAGAGAAAGATTTTAAGAAATTGGTTTATGTGACCGTGGAGGCTGGCATGCCCAAGATCTGCAGAGTAGGCTGACAGGTTGGAGACTGACCTGAGGAAAGAGTTGCAATTTGAGTCCAAAGGCAGTCTGATGGCAGAATTCCCTCTTTGAGGAAGGTCAGTTTGTTTGTTTCTTTGTTTTTCTTAAGGCCTTCAACTGATTGGATGAAGCTCACCCACATTATAGAGGGAAATCTGCTTTACCCAAAACTACTGAGTTAAATGTTAATCCCATTTATAAAAACCTTCACATAAACATCAAGAATGATGTTTTACCAAATATCTGTGTACTGTGACCTAGCCAAGTTGATACATAAAATTAATCATCATTGTAGATTTTAAAAGTTTCCTTATACTACTAGTTCATTAAAAGGTGTTTGTTTTAATAATTAGTGAATGTTAAAATTATGTGAAATACTTTCTGGACATCTGTTGAGATGATCATATGTTTTTCTCTTTTATTTGATTAATATGATGAATTACGTTAGTTTTCTAATGCATTCCTAAAATAAACTTAACTTGATCATAATCTTTTATCCATTTTTCTAGGATAAATGCTGCTAATATTTTGTTTATAATTTTTGCATCTATGTTCATGAGTGAGAATGGCTATAATTTTTCTTTATCATAATGTTCTTTTTAAGTTTTGGTATTAAGCTGATATGGTTAGGCTTTGTATCCCCACCCAAATCTCATTTTGAATTGCAATCCCCATAATCCCCATAATTGTCACATGTCAAAGGAGAGACAAGGTGGAGGTAATTGAATCATGGGGGCGGTTTCCTCCATGTTGTTCTCATGATAGTGAGTTCTCACGACAGTGAGTTCTCACGAGATCTGATGGTTTTATAAGGGGCTCTATCCCCTTCACTTGGCCCTTCTTCATGCCACCTTGTGAAGAAGGTACCTTGCTGCCTCTTTGCCCTCTGCCATGATTGTAAATTTCCTGAGGTCTTCCCACCATGTGGAACTGTGAGTCAATTAAACTTCTTTCCTTTATAGCAGTATGAAAACGGACTAATACATAAGCCTGGGGAGTATTCTCTTTTTTTAGTCTGGAGTTTTTTGAGAAACATTACAATAATTTCTTTTTTAATATTTTGTAGAATTCACCAGTGAAACCATTTGGGACTAGATTTTCTTTATGATAATATTTTTGATTATTGATCCAATTTTGTAAATGGCTATTGGACTAGTCATGTTTTCTGCTTGAAATATTTTTGGTAACTTAAATTCCTAGGAATTTTTCCAGTTCAACTAACTTTTAATGTATTGTCATAAAGTTATTCACAATACTTTTATATCTGTTTAATGTCTCTAGAATCTCTAGTGATATCTCCTTTTCATTCTTTGTATTTGTAATGTGACTTTTCCTTTTTATCTACAACAATCTTACCAGAAAATTTCATTTTTGCTAAATTTTTGAAAGAACCTGTTTCTAGTTTTATTGATCCTATCTTCTACATGTTATTACATATCTTTAATTCCTGTATGAATGTTAATGTTTATTTTGTTCTACTTCTTACAGATTATTTTTGCCATTCTGTTTTTACTTCCTAAGGTGAATGCTCAGCTCTTTAATATTCACTCTTTTTTCTCTTCTAATATATGAATTTAGAAAACAAATGTCACTCTGGCACCTGTTTAACTGCATCTCCTACATTTTATCTGTTCTGAAAAATTTTTGGCCACTATCTCTCAATGGTATTTTCTCTGAGTTTTAGTTTAAACATTTTCTAATTGCCATTGTTTATTTCTTTAATTCATGGCTACTTAGGAGTGTATTTCTTATTTTTCAAATGTATAAAGATTTTCTGATTCTTTTTGTTATTGATTTCTACCAAAATTGCATCATGATAAAAAATTTTCATGTGATTTTTATCTTTTTATTTTTTTGAGACTTGATTTATGACCCTTGCACATGATAAAATTTGGTAAATGTTCATTTATTTGGTAGACTAATAATGCCCCTTCCCCAAAGATGTTGATGTCCAAATACCTGGAACCTATGAATATTTTTTCTTACATGGTAAAAGAAACTTTGTTGATATGGTAAGTTAGAGTTTTGTTGTTGTTGTTTTTGAGATGGAATCTTGCTCTGTCTCGCAGGCTGGAGTGCAGTGGTGCGATCTCGGCTCACTGCAACCTCCGCCTCCCGGGTTGAAGAGATTCTCCTGCCTCAGCCTCCAGAGTAGCTGGGGCTACAGGTGTGCACCACCACACCCGGCTAATTTTTATATTTTTAGTAGAGATGGGGTTTCACCATGTTAGCTGGTCTGGAATTCCTGAACTCAGACAATCCGCCCGCCTCAGCCTCCCAAAGTGCTGGTATTACAGGTGTGAGCCACCCTACCTGGCCAAGTTAGAGTTCTTGAGGTGTGGAAGTTATCCTGGATTATCCAGGTGGGTCCAATGTAATCACAAGAGGAAGAGAAGGAGAGCTTTGACTATGGAGGAGATAAGGCAATGTTACGATGGAAGCAGAGTCTGGAGTGATGTGGCCAAGACCCAAGGAATGCCATAGCCTCTAGAAGCTGAAAGAGGCAAAGAATAGATTCTCCCTTAATGCATGCAGAATGAACAGAAATGCTGAGACTTTGACTTTAACCTTTTAAAACTCATTCTGGGCATCTGATATCCAGAACTATGAGAGAACAAATCTGTGTTGTTTTAAGCCATTAAGTTTGTGGTAATTTGTTACAGTAGCAATAGAAAACAACTACAATGTGTGTTTATTTGAAAACAATTTGTATTATTCATATTGGACGGATAACTTTATATATGGGTTTGTTAGGACAATTTTATTAATCACGTTTCCTAAATCTTCTCTATCTTTACTGATTTTTTTTTACATCTACTTATTCTATTTACCTGTTTTTGTTTTGTGCTGCTATAACAGAATATCTGAAACTAGGTAATTTCTAAAAACAGAAATGTATTTCCCCACAGTTCTGGAGGCTGAGAAGTCCATGATCAAAGCCCCAACATGTGGTGAGGGCCTTCTTGCTGCATCATAACATTGCAGAAGGCACTGATATGAGAGAGGGAAGAAGGCTGAACTCATCCTTTGTAAGGAATCCACTCCCACAATAATGATTTAACTTCCCCAATAATGGCATTAATCAATTCATGAGGGCAGAACCCTCAAATCCTAATCATCTCTTAAAGGTACTACCTCTCTACATATACATCATAGAATACTATGCAGCCATAAAAAAGAACAAGATCATATTTTTTGCCGGGACATGGATAGAGCAGGAGGTTTATCCTTTTCCTTAGCAAACTAACACAGGAACTCAAAACCAAATACCACATGTTCTCACTTATAAGTGGGAGCTAAATGATGACAAGTCATAAACATAAAGAAAGGAACAACAGACACTGAGGTCTACATAAGGTTGTAGGGTGGGAGGAGGGAGAGGAGCAGAAAAGATAATATTGAGTACTGGGCTTAACACCTGGGTGATGGCATAATCTGTACAACA
Source organism: Homo sapiens (assembly GCF_000001405.40). Classification (NCBI taxonomy): domain Eukaryota; kingdom Metazoa; phylum Chordata; class Mammalia; order Primates; family Hominidae; genus Homo; species Homo sapiens. Next base: position 110,921,896 of record NC_000001.11, on the reverse strand, counting down.
AACCCTCATAACACAAGTTTGTATACCAAACCTTCACATATACCCCTGAAACTAAAATAAAAGCTTTTTTTAAAAAAGGTACCACCTCTCATCACTGTTGTCTTGAGTCTTAAGTTTCTAACACATGAACTTTAGGAGGCACGTCTAAACCATAGCACTATCACTGAAAAAAAGTTTGCTAGACATATCCCACTATAATTATCTACTTGTCTATTTCTCTCTATGGTTCTGTCAGTCATTGCCTTTATAAATTTTGAGACTATATAATTTGACATATAACATTTTTTAAATTGCTATTATTTTGGTGACTTGAAGTGGTCTTTCACTTATAATAATGTTATTTTCCTTAAACTATTATTTTGCCTGATTTTAATAATGCTTTTTTGTTGTATTAGTTAAATTTTGTTTTTATTCAATTTTATGATTTTTAAAAAAGTTGGACCTTTAATTGTTTTACATTTGGTGTTTCCATTGAAATATTTGGATTCACATTTCCATTTTATTTTTTATTGTTTATTAGTCCCAACAGAAAAGTCCTTTCTTGATATTTTTTGACTGAATATGTTTTCCTTTTTAATCATTTCATTTTTTTTCTATTAGTTTAGAAGTTATTCATACTATTTCTGCACTTCACTGGTAACCCAAGCATTGAAAACATGAACACTTAACTACCAAATTCGTAACTTAATTAAAACCTTTACTCACCTACCAGATGATACAAAGCTTTTAGAACACTTTAACTTCATATACACACCTCACAATTCAAATGTTATTGTCTGGGAATTTGAGTAGACCTTTTAAGTATATTTTAAACTTCATAAACATGATTCTGGTTTTGGAAAGTCATGTTCATTTGTACTTGCCCACTTTTTTCCCTCTCTTCATTTATTCTTGCATCTTAGACATTCTCCCTAGGACCACTTTCCCTTTGCCTGAAGTATATCTTTTAGAATTTCTCCTAACTAGATTTTGCTGGTCGTAAATTCTCCCACTTGTCTCAAATTGTTTTTATTTCACTTCAACCTTTTAAATTAATACACTTTATTTATTAGAGCAGTTTTAGGTTCACAGCAAAACGGAGTGGAAAGTACGAATTTTCTATATATGCCTTTTCCCCACCGCATGTACCGCTTCTTCCACTATCGACAGCCCCCATCATAGTGGTGTATTTGTTACAATCAATGAATTTGCACTAACACATCGTTATCACCCCAAAGTCCAGAGTTTAAGATTCACTTTTGGTGTTGTACGTTCTATGGGTTTTGACAAATGTTATAATGACACGTATCTACCATTGTAGTATTATAAGAAATAATCTCACTGCCATAAAAAATCCTCTGTGCTCTGCCTATTTATTTCTCCCTCCCCACTTAACCCCTGGTAACTACTGATCCTTTTATTGTCACCATTGTTTTGCCTTTTCCAGAATGTCTCATAGCTGGAATCATACATTAGGTAGCCTTCACATTGGCTTATTTCACTTAGTAATATGCATTTAGGGTTCCTTCATGTCTTTTTGTAGCTTGGTAATTTTTTTTAGCATTGAATAATATTCTATTGTCTGGATGTACCACAGTTTGTCCATTCATCTACTGAAGTATGTCTTAGTTGCTCTCAAGTTTTGGCAATTATTAATAAAGTTGTTATAAACATCTATATGCAGGTTTCTGTATGAACATAGGTTTTCAATTCTTTTGGGTAAACACCAAAGAGAGCATGATTGCTGGATCATGCGGTAAGAGCATGCTCAGTTTTGCAAGACTATATTCCAAAGTGGGTGTACTTTTTTATTACCACCAGCCACTAGTGAATGAGAGACTTCTGGTTGTTTCACATCCTCCAAGCATTTGATGGTGTCTGCATTTTGGATTTGGGCCATTCTATTGGATATGTATTATATCTCATTGTCTTAGTTTGCAATTTCCTAATGACATATGATGTTGAACATCTTTTTATATGTTTATTTGTCATCTGTATATCTTCTTTGATGAGATGCCTGTTCAGATCTTTTGCCTAAGTTTTAATTAGGTGGCTCATTTTCTTATTGTTCAGTTTTAAGAGTTCTTGGGTTATTTTGGATAACGACCCTTTGTCAGATGTGCCTGCAAATATTTTCTCCTAGTCTGTGGCTTGCCTTCTAATTCTCTTTTTATTATTTTCATTTTGAAAGACATTTTCATTGAGCATAGAATTCTAATTTGGCAGTTATTTTTCTTTAGCTTTGAAGTTATCATACTACTGATTTTAGCCTCCAGAAAAGTTTAGCCAATTTACCACTTTTTGGAAGATAATCTTTTTTTTGTTTGGAGGTTGTATTAGTTAGGGTTCCCTAGAGGGACGGAACTAATAGGATAGATAGATAGATATAAAGGGGAGTTTAATAAGTATTAACTTACACGATCACAAGTTCCCACAATAGGCTGTCTGCAAGCTTGAGGAGCAAGAGAGTCCAAACTTCAAAACTGAAGAACTAGGAGTCCGATGTTTGAGGGCAGGAAGCATCCAGCACAGGAGAAAGATGCAGGCTGGAAGACTAGGCCAGTCACACCTTTTCGAGTTTTTCTGCCAGCTTTATATTCGCTGGCAGCTGATTAGATTGTGCCCACCAGATTAAAGGTGGGTCTGCCTTCCCCAGCCCAGTGACTCAAGTGTTAATCTCCTTTGGCAACACCCTCACAGACACACCCAGGAACAATACTTTGCATCCTTCAATCCAATCAAGTTGACACTCAGTATTAACCATCACAGATGTTTTAAGGATTTTTCTCATTGACTTTGGTTTTCTAGTTTCACTCTGTTGTGCCATTTACTTTGTCAGGTACTTGTAGGTACCACTCATAAGAAACCACCTCAAAGTAAATGTATAGCCAGCAATTTTTTGGCTGACCTAAGCTATGTCTAACTCAGGTGTAAACTGGAGGGCCAGGCCGTGGCCCCCACTTCTTATGTCCAGTTTTATATTCCCTAAATATTATGCTCTGTTTGCTGGCAGAGAAACTCCTTCCAACTGGGTGGAGGGAGTGGTTTTTCTTCTGGTTGGCTCTTAATCTGAGTGTGTAGTTCTTTAGTGTCCAGTGTAATGTGTGGAGAAGATCTCCTGTAAGACTCCTTGCCTGGGGAAGTTCTTCCTCTGACTTCTGTACCATGAAGACTCTGAACCAAAGCCCAAGTGTGTGAGGTCTCTAAATGCTCAATACATTTTTGGGTGCTGATGTTTTGCCTATCTTTCTCATAAAATTGGCCTTGGAGTTTTCTCACTGTCTCTTCAAGTTGTCCATTCTTCTAAGGTGATTTTACAAATATTTTATCCCTCATTTCTATTATTTTCAGTGAGATAGTATATCCAAATAACCTCATCACAATTATCAGAAAACTAAATCTCCTGAGTTTTTTTCTTTCATTTTATAATTCTTTGTCATTTATACATAACGTTTAATTAATCTTTGGATTTGATATATCTTTATCAACTATGATACATTTTTAAATGTTTTGTCTATTAGTAATAATGGATTGACTATAAAATAAAATCATTATCATCTATGAGTAATAACAATATTATTTCTCCCTTTCCATTCTTATTTTTTGTTCCTGTCTTACTACACAGTCCTGATCTTCAGGACAGTGCTGAGTATTAGTGACAGCACACAATCTTATCTTGACATCAGTCTCAAAGGGAATGTTCGGCACCTCATCATTAAGCAAGGTGTTTGTTGCAGAGTTTAGGATTTCTTTTGGTTTTGTATGTGTGTGTATTTATGTTTGTGTAGTGGAGGGGAGGTAGGTGTTTTTAGATACCTTTTATAAATTTAAGAAAGTCAATTTTTAAAGTAATTTTGTTAAAAGTTTTTAATTTTAAATTTCATTCAGTGCATTTTGATATATTAAGATAATCTTACATATTTAATCTATCAATGAATTAAATCACATTTAATGATTTTAAAACTAATGTTTTTAATTTCTGAGACAAAATTATTTGAGCATAAAACACCATTTATATGTTGCTGAACAAATTCTGTTAGGATTTTGTTTAGGATTTGTATGTTATGAATAAGATGGTGCTATAATTTTCCTCTCTCATATTGTTCTTTGCAAGTTATAGATCTCAAACTAATCCCAGTCCCTTACCTATATCACCCCTTAGCTGATCTAATTTTTTTCCATAGCACATATAACTTTATAACATACTATACAGTTTAACTGTTTACTACAGCTATTTTTTTATGTTGACCTCTCTCCAAAAAAAAAAAACAAAAACAAAAAAACAAAAAAAATAAGCTCCTTAAGGGCAGGGATTTTTGTTATGTGCATTGATATATGTCAAGCACCCAAATTCCTGGCATATCATAAACTTTGAGTAAATATTTTAAATAAATGAGTTGAAGACAGAGATTGTGGTACAAATTACCCTATGCCCCTAATTGTGGTCAGTTTCTGCAGATGTTTCACATGCACTTGAATATACAAATACACACATAACTTGTTACATAAATTTTACTTACACAATTTTGGGAGCTGGTTAAACAATCTCTGAAAAGACATTGTCTTCCTGTCTGATGTTAGAGCTGGAAGTCTGCAGGGTAAGCAATTGGGAAGGAAAGATGGATGTAAATTGGGAGAGAGTGGCAACAAGTAGGAACCAACTAATGTAAGTTGGAATCTATGAGGACACACGAGCCCCTGTCAGTTCTCACTGCTCCAATAATGGATAATGTAGGTGTCCTGCAGGAGAAACTTTGTCCTGATGCTAAACATAACTCTGGCTCAGGAGTAGGAGAACCTGAAGGAGGATCCAGGAGAAGGGGAAACAATTGCTAGACTGGCTGCTGCCCACACCCACAAGGTGAGTCAGCAAATATGGTGACTCTGCCCTGAACTCGCTAGTGTAAAAAACATGACTGCAGTTTCACTATCATCCTCCAAATCTCATGTGAAAATATGTCTTGTGGCACACCCTAAGCAGGAAACATAATTTAGTTTAGACAAGTTGGACAAAGTCACAGCAGGAGTTTACAAATTTGAAGTTTTATTTTTTTCCTTATGAGTTGACAGTTTTCTCATTATAAAGTGACCCTCTTTATTTCTATAAATGCTGTTTGCCTTGAGGTCTATCTAATACAGCTTCATTGGCTTTTATTTGGTTAGTGCCTGCAAGACATATTTTTCCAACTATTCACTTTCAATTTCAGTATCTTTATGTTTTAGAGTATCTCTTATAAAGAGCATATATTGGAATTTATTTTTTAAACAGACAGTTTGGGGCAAGTTTTGTCTTTTTTATTTGTACATTTAGAATATTTACATTACTTATAATTACTAAGATGTTAGTGTTGACTCTTCTTATTTTTATTGCTTTCTATTTTCCAATCTTTTCAATATTTCTTTTTTGGTATCATTTTATATTACTTTGACCGAATTAGGTTTTACTTTTTATCATTTTTGAGTTTTATATGTTGTTTCTCTGCATTTACTGATTAGTTCATGTAACCACACATATTTAATATTAGTTGATGTAATGTGTTATTCGACCCTACAAGTCTAAAATTAATCAATATGTTCATCTTCTTTCCAGCAATAAAATTACATTTAAGCACTTTAACTTCATTTGCCACCTTTCCTGTGTCTACAATACTCTTAACTTTGCAAGATATTATTATTGTTGTTTATAAAGTCAAAATATATTTAGATTATTTATATATTTATCATTTTACCAGGCTCTTCATTTTTTTCTGGTTTCAGACTTTTCATCTGGGATCACTTTCTGCCTAAAGTACATATTTTAGAATTTCTTTTAGTGAGTAAAGGAAATTCCTTTACCTGCTCTTGATAAACACATTCAGTTTTTGTTTTTTTGAAGGTCTACATTTCACATACATGCTAAAAGATATTTTCCACCACGTGTAAAATGTTACATTGACATTTATTTTCTCCTACCACATCGAAGATAGGCAACAGTCATCAAAGATGTGCTGTTGTCAGTCAGGCATCTACTACTAGCTGTTGAGAAGACAGTTGACAATCTGTTGCTTTTTAAAAGTTAATTTGTCTTTTTGTTCTCACAGCTTTTATTATTTTTTAAATTTTTTACCCTTGTGTGACATAATATCTAAAAAATGAATAAGACATAAATAGCATTTGAACAAGTAGTGATAAAAGAAACACTGGCCTTGTGTATAACACCCGGATCAAGAATGAAACATTACTGGCATCCCAAGAGTTTCCTGCATATTCCTTCACAATCACCACTTGTTCTCCTCCTCCATGGATAGTCACTGTTCTGACTTTATGATAGTGACTTTCTTCCTTTACTTTGTGCTTTTGCTGTTGGTGAGGGTATCCCTAAATAATACGGTTTTGTACATTTTTGAACATAGTAAGTAAATTTATTTATTTATTTATTTATTTATTTTTTGAGACGGAGTCTCGCTCTGTCGCCCAGGCTGGAGTGCATTGGCGCTATCTCGGCTCACTGCAAACTCCGCCTCCCGGGTTCACCCCATTCTCCTGCCTCAGCCTCCCGAATAGCTGGGACTACAGGCGCCTGCCACCGCGCCCGGCTAATGTTTTTTTCTATATTTAGTAGAGATGGGGTTTCACCGTGTTAGCCAGGATGGTCTCGATCTCCTGACCTCGTGATCCGCCCGCCTCGGCCTCCCAAAGTGCTGGGATTACAGGCTTGAGCCACCGCGCCCGGCCGTAAATTTATTTTATAGCCTTTTTATTGTTTAATATTTTATTTGTAGGATTCATCTATGTTGTTAGAAATATTTGTAGCTTATTTTTACTATGTACTATAATTCCTTACGTGGCTGTACCATAATTTATTTGCCCATTGTAAGTTTATGATAATGTGGATGATTTCTAGTCACGGGTAGTTAAAAATAATGCTGCTACTGACATTCTTATACTTTCTTTTGGTGCACATAAACATGCATTTATGTTGAGTATATACTTAGGAATGGAATTGTTGGGTCATATCTTCAATTCTACTATGTAATGACATACTGTGGTGAAACATTGTTGTACCATGAAACATTTCCACCAGCAGTTAATCAGGTTTCCTGAGGCTCCATATCCTTGGTAAGATCTGTATTATTTATATATCTGATCTTTTAATTATTTTTCTAATCTGATCAGTATTTTTTTAGAGACGGATTCTGGCTGTGTCACCCAGGCTGGAGTGCAATGGTGTGATCTCGACTCACTGCAACCTCTGCCTCCTGGGTTCAAGTGATTCTCCTGCCTCAGCCTCCTGAGTAACTGGGATTACAGGTGCCTGCCACCACACCCAGCTAATTTTACGATTTTTGTAGAGACGGGGTTTCACCACGTTGGTCAGGCTGGTCTCAAGCTCCTGACCTCAGATGATCCACCCACCTTAGCCTCCCAATCTAATCAGTATTTTATTGTGGTTTTTGTTTGCATTATCCCAGTGGCTGATGAGTTTAATCAGTTTTACATATTTATTAGCTGTTTAGATTTCCTCTTCTTTGAATTGATTCTTCATGCCTTTTGCCACTTTTCCTTTTGGATTATCTGTCTTTTTCTCATTTATTTGTAGGAGTTGTCCCTTTTTTTCTTTCTCAACTTTTATTTTAGGTTCAGGGGATACATGCGCAGGTTTGTTACATGGGTAAATTGTGTGTTGCTGGGGTTTGATGTACAAACAATTTTGTCACCCAGGGAGTGAGCATAGTACTCACTAGGCATTTTTTTGATCCTCACCTTCCTTCAAGTAACCCTTCACCCTCAAGTAACCACGGTGTCTGTTGTTCCTCTCTGTGTCCATGTGTACTTAATGATTAGCTCCCATAAAAGAAGTGAGAACATGCAATATTTTGTTTTCTGTTTCTGCATTATCCTAAGCAAGTCTGCTTAGGATAATGGACTCCAGAAGCATCCATGTCGCTGCAAAGGACATAATTTTGTTCTTTTTTATGGTTGTGTTGTATTCCATAGTGTATAAGTACCACATTTTCTTTATCTAGTCCACTGTTGATGGGCATCCAGGTTGATTCCATGTCTTTGCTATTGTGAATAGTGCTGCAATGAACATACAAGTGTGTGTGTCTTTTTGGTAGAACAATTTATATTATTTTGGGTATATACCCAGTAATAGGATTGCTGGGTCGAATGGTACTTCTGTGTTAAGTATTTTGAGAAGTCTGTAAACTGCTTTCCACAGTGGCTAAACTAATGTACATTCTCACCAGCAGTGTCTAAGTGTTCCCTTTTCTCTACAACTTCACCAACATCTGTTGTTTTTTGACGTTTTAGTAATAGCCATTCTGACTGGCGTGAGATGGTATCTTTTTTGATTTGCATTTCTCTAATGATAAGTGATGTTGAGCATTTTTCATATGGTTGTTGGCCACATGTATGCCTTCTTTTGAGAAGTGTCTGACCATATACTTTGTCCATTTTTAATGGGGTTGTTTTCTCCTTGTTAATTTAAGTTCCTTATAAATTCTGAATAATAAATTTTGTCAGATGTATAGTTTGCAAATGTTTTCTCTCATTCTGTAGATTGATCGTTTCTCTTGCTGTGCACAGGTACTTTAGTTTAATTAGGTCCCAATTGTCTATTTTTGGTTTTGTTTCAGTTGCTTCTGGGCACTTTATCATGAAATCTTTGCCAAGACCTATGTCTAGAATGGTATGTCCCAGATTTTCTTCTAGGGTTTTAATTATAGTTTTACGTCTCACATTTAAGTCTTTAATTTATCTTGATTTGATTATTGTATATGGTGAAAGAAAGAGGTCCAGTTTCAGTCTTGTGTATATGGCTAGCCAGTTATTCCAGCACCATTTGTTTAATAGGGAGTCCTTTCCCCATTGCTTGTTATTGTCAAACATCAGATGGTTGTAGATGTGTTGCTTTATTTCTGGATTCTCTATTCTGTTCCATTAGTCTGTGTGTCTGTGTTTGTACCAGTACCATACTGTTTTGATTACTATAGTGTTGCAGTATAGTTTTAAGTCAGATTGTGTGGTGCCTCCAGCTTTGTTCTTTTTGCTTATGATTGCTTTGACTATTTGGGCTCTTTTCTAGACCCATGTGAATTTTAGAATAGTATTTTCTAATTCTGTAAAAAATGACATTGGTAGTTTGATAGAAATAGCACTAATCTACAAATTGCTTTGGGCAGTATGGCCATTTTAACAATATTGATTGTTCCTATCTATGAGCATGGAATGTTTTTTGCATTGGTTTGTGTGGTCTCTGATTTCTTTCAGCAGTGTTTTGTAATTCTTTTTGTAGAAATCTTTCACCTCCGTGGTTAGCTGAATTCCTACATATTTTATTATTATTGTGGCTATCATGAATGGGATTACATTCCTGATTTGGCTCTCAGCTTGGACATCATTGGGGTATTGAAATGCTACTGGCTGGGTGCAGTGGCTCACACCTGTAATCCCAGCCCTTCAGGAGGCTGAGGCAAGTGGATTACCTGAGGTCAGGAGTTTTAGACCAGCTTGGCCAACATGGTGAAACCCCATCTCTACTAAAAATACAAAAAGTAGCCACATGTGGTGGTGCATGCCTGTAATCCCAACTACTTGGGAGGCTGAAGCATGAGAATCGCTTGAACCCAGTAGGTGGAGGATGCAGTGAGCCAAGATCATGCCACTGCACTCCAGTCTGGGCGATAGAGCCAGACTCGGTCTAAAAAAAAATAAATAAGTAAAGGAAAGAAAGAAAAAAAAGAAATGCTACTGATTTTTTTACATTGGTTTTGTATCCTAAAACTTTACTTGTTTACCAATTCTAGGAGCCTTTGGGCAGAGACTATGAATTTTTCTAGGTATAGAATTATATTGTCTATGAAGAGAGATAGTTTGACTTGTTCTTTTCCAGTTGGGTGTCTTTTATTTCTTTCTCTTGCCTGATTGCTCTGGATGGAATTCCAGTACTATGCTGAATAGGAGTGGTAAGAGTGGGCATCCTTGTCTTGTGCTGGTTCTCAAGGGGAATGCTTCCAGTTTTTGCCCATTAGTATGATATTGGCTGTGGGTTTGTCATAGATAGCTCTTAATATTTTAAGGTACATTCCCTCATTGGCTAGTTTTTTGAGGGCTTTTAATATGAAGGGGTGTTAATTTTTATCAAAAGCCTTTTCTGCATTTCTTGAGATGATCATGTGGTTTTTGTTTTTAGTTCTGTTTATGCGACGAATCACATTTACTGATTCGTATATGTTGAAGCAAACCTTTTATCCCAGGGATAAAGCCCACTTGATTGTTTGGTAGATTACCTTTTTGATTTGCTGCTGGATTCAATTTGCTCGTATTTTGTTGAGGATTTTGTGTTTGTGTTCATCAGGTATATTGGCCTTAAGTTTTCTTTTTTCTTTTTATCTTTGCCAGGTTTTAGTATGAGAATGATGCTGGCCTTGTAGAATGAGTTAGGAAAAAGCCCCTCCTCCTCAATATTTTTGAGTAATTTTAGTAGAATTGGTACCACCTCTTCTTTACATATCTGGAAGAATTCAGCTGTGAATCTTTCTGGTCCAGGGCTTTTTCTGGTTGATAGGGATTTTAAAAAAATAACTCATTAAATTTTGAAACTCATTAATTGATCTGTTCAGGATTTCAGTTTCTTCCTACTTCAGTCTTGGGAGGTTGTATGCTTCTAAGAATTCATCCATTTCTTCTAGGTTTTCCAGTTTGTGTGCATAGAACTGTTCATAATAGTCTCCAGGTTTTTTTTTTCCCTGGGGGGTTGAGGGTAGCATAAACTTTATCATTTCTTATTGTGTTTATTTGTATCTTCTTATTCTCATTTATTAATCTATAGTGAGCTACTGTTCCTGTTTATTCTTTTGGTGGACCAACTCTTGCCTTCATTGATATTTTGTGTGAATTTTCACATCTCAATTTCATTTACCTCAGCTCTGATTTTGGTTATTGCTTTCCTTTTGCTAGTTTTGGAGTTGGTTTGTTCTTATTTTTCAGTTTCTCTAGGTGTGATCTTAGGCTGTTAATTTGAGACCTTTCTAACATCTTGATGTAGATATTTAACACTATAAAATTTCTCCTTAACACTACTTTAGCTGTGTCCCAGATATTCTGGTATGTTGTATTTTTGTTTTCATTCATTTCAAAGAACTTTTTCAATTTTTGCCTTAATTTGATTCTTTACCCCAAAAGTCATCAGGAGCAGGTTGTTTAATTTTCATGTAATTATGTGGTTTTGAGAAATCGTCTTGGTATTTATTTCTATTTTTATTGCACTGTGGTCTTAGAGAGCATGGTTGGTATGATTTTCAGGTTTGTTTTGTTTTGTTTTGATTTTTTTGAGACAGAGTCTCACTCTGTTGCCCAGGCTGGAGTGCAATGGCACGATCTCAGCTCACTCCAACCTCTGCCTCCTGGATTCAAGCGATTCTCCTGCCTCAGCCTCCCAAGTAGCTGGGATTACAAGCCTGTGCTGCCATGCCCAGCTAATTGTTTTGTATTTTTAGTAGAGACGGGGTTTCACCATGTTGGCCAGCCTGGTCTTGAACTCCTGACCTCAGGTGATCCACCCACCTCAGCCTCCCAAAGTGCTGGGATTACATGCGTGAGCCACTGTGTCCGCCCCAGGGATTTTTTTTTTTTTTTTTTGAGAATTGCTTTAAGACCGAATGTGTGGTTGATCTCAGAATATGTGCCATGTGTAGATGAGAAGAATGAATATTCTGTTTTCAGGTGGAGCATTCTGTCGATGTCTGTTAGGTCTGTTTTTTTCAAGTGTCAAGTTTAGATTCTAGATATCTCTCTTAGTTTTCTGCGTTGATGATCTGTGAAACTGTCAGTGGAGTGCTGAAGTCTCCCACTAATATTGTGTGGTTATCTAAGTCTCTTGGTAGGTCTCTAAGAGCGTGCTTAATGAATCTAGATGCTCCAATATTGGGTGCATGTATATTTAGGATAGTTAAGTCTTCTTGTTGAATTGAACCCTTTATCATTATATAATGTCCTTTTTGATTGTTGTTGGTTTAAAGTCTGTTTTGTCTGATATAAGAATAGCTACCCCAGCTGGGCGCAGTGGCTCACACCTGTAATCCCAGCACTTTGGGAGGCAGAGGTGGGTGGATCACCTGAGGTCAGGAGTTCGAGACCAGCCTGACCAACATGGAGAAACCCCGTCACTATTAAAAATACAAAAATTAGCCAGGTGTGGTGATGCATGCCTGTAATCCCAGCTACTTGGGAGACTGAGGCAGAAGAATCACTGGAACTCGGGAGGCAGAGGTTGCGGTAAGCCGAGATCGCGCCACTGCACTCCAGCCTGGGCAACAAGAGCGAAACTCCGTCTCAAAAAAAAAAAAAAAAAAAAAAAAGCTACCCCTGCCCTTTTTTGTTTTCTGTTTGCTTGATAGATCTTTCTCCATCCCTTTACTTTGAGCCTATATGTGTCATTGCATGTGAGATGACTCTCTTGAGGACAGTATAGAGTTGGGTCTTGCTTCTTTATTCAACTTGCCACTCTGTGCCTTTTAAGTGGGGTGTTTAGCCCATTTACATTCAAAGTTAATATTAATATGTGAGAATTTTATTCTGCCATTATGTTGTTGGCTGGTTGTTATGTAGACTTGATTGTATAGTTCCTTTATAATGGCAGTAAGCTCTATGTATTTAAGTGTGTTTTTGTGGTGACAGGTATTAGGCTTTCATTTCCATGTTTAGCCCTCCCTTAAGGACCTCTTGTAAGGCAGGTCTGGTGGTAACAAATTTTCTTAACATTTGCTTGCCTGAAATGGATTTTATTTCTCATTTGCTTATGAAGCTTAGTTTGGCTAGATACGAAGTTCTTGATTGGATTTTTTTTTCTTTAATGATGCTTAATATAGGCCCCCAACCTTTTCTGGCCTGTAAGGTTTCTGCTAAGAGGTCCACTGTTAGCCCTTGTACATGACCTGCCCCTTCTCTCTAGCTGCCTTTAAGATTTTTTCTTTCACATTGACTTTGGGGAATCTGATGACAATGTGGCTTGGGGATGGTCATCTTGCATAATATCTTACAGGGGTTCTCTGAATTTCCTGAACTTGTGCGTTGACGTCTCTAGAGATGTTGGGAAAATTTTCGTGGACAATATCCTTAAATATGTTTCCAAAGTTACTTGCTCTCTCTCAATCTCTTTCAAGAATCCAATGAGTTTGGTCTCTTTTACATAATTCCATATTTCTTAGAGGTTTTGTTCATTTTCTTAAAATTATTTTTTTTTATTTTTATCTGCTTGTATTGATTCAAAAGAATGGTCTTTGAGTTCTGAGATTCTTTCCTTAGCTTGGTCTATTCTGATATTAATGCTTCCAATTACATTATGAAGTTCCTGTGCTAATTTTTCATTTCAGAAGTTCAGTTTGGTTCTCTCTTAAAATGAATATGTCCTCTCTCAACTCTTGAACCATTTTACTGTTTTCTGTGGATTGAGTTTCAACCTTCTGTATCTCAATGAGCTTCCTTGACATTGAGATTCTGAATTCTATGTTATTTCAGTCATTTCAGTCTGGTTGAGAACCATGGCTGGGGAGCTAGTGTGATCATTTGGAGGTATGAAGACACTCTTGCTTTCAGAGTTGCTGGAGTTATTGCACTCGCACTTTCTCACCTGTGTAGGCTGATGTTCCTTTAATCTTTAAAGTTATTGTCTTTTGAATGGGGCTTTTTGCTTTTATATTCTTCACCATCATGCCCAGACTCCCCAAAGCTTTCTATATTTGTCTTTTACATCTAAATATTTAATTCACTTGAAATTGATTTACGAATTGCTGTGATGTGAGATAGGAATCAAAACTTGTTCTTTTTATATAGAATTTCTGTTTTCCCAGGAACATTTGTTGAAAAGACCCTTCTTTTATCATCTCTCTGAAAGGTCACCGTGATATAAATCAAACATATTAGCATTTTGAAATATAAACAAGTTGGGCACTAGTTAAAGCAGTAAAGGCAAATTGTATTCAGTAATAACTATTGCAATAGGGGAGAGAACCACATGTCATCTTAGTTCAACTCTGTTGAAACAAAAGGCAAGAGATTTTTTAACATCTAGAGTATGCTAATGGTAAGGTGCTGAAGGATGTTAAAGTGGGTTGGTGTGTGTGAGTGGGCCATCTGGGTTTACTAACTGGCACTTAACTGGAAAAGAAAAAAACTTCTCAAAACTTTTTTTGTGTGTGTGAGATGGAGTTTCACTCTGTCACCCAGGCTGGAGTGCCGTGGTGCAATCTCGGCTCACTGCAACCTCTGCATCCCGGATTCAAGCAATTCTCTGCTTCAGCCTCCTGAGTAGCTGGAATTACAGGTGTGTACCACCAAGCCCAGCTAATTTTTTTTGTATTTTTAGTGGAGAGGGGGTTTCACCATCTTGGCCAGGCTGGTCTTGAACTCCTGACCTCGGCCTCCCAAAGTGCTGGGATTACAGGCGTGAGCCACCGCGCCTGGCTCAAATCTTAATCACAGGAGGCAGTGGTGGAAGTTGGAGCAAGATGCCCACCAAAATTAAGTCCTTATCCTCCCACAGAGACTGACAGTAAGTTATCTACCTTAATGTTTGCATTTCTAAAATCTCTGAGAAGAAAATTCTGGTAGAACATTTACATCTCAAAGGGTAGCAAAAAATATATAATTGCAAGCCTTCTAAAGTCAATGTTTTAAGAGGAGGTTCAGGGATCTACTTACGTATCACCAGGTTTTGGCTGGAACAAACAGGAAATTATCCCATCATTTTTGAGCTTTCTTAAAGCTCAAAAGGGGGATTTGGCTATTTTTCAAGACACGACCTTAGGCTGCTAGAAGCCATGCTAGAGTATGGTCAGGTCTCTTAGTGCAGGGGTTTGGACTGAGTTGTTATATGCTGAGAGTTCTTTTGTACTTCTCAGCATGGGGCCTCTTTAAGAACTCTAATATATTCTACTGGTCTGTTTAACCTGTCCCTGAAACAACATAAACTATTATAATTTCCATACTATTGTAATAACCTTAAAATATGTATCAATATTTTTAAAGTAAGTTCTCCAACTTGGTGTTTTTTCTTCAAGAGCATCCCAGTTGTTTTGACCTTTTGTATTTACATGTAAATTTTAGAATCAGCTTGTTCAAGTTCCATTAAAAAAGTTTGTTGGGATTTTTTTTTGAGACTGCATTGAATCTATAGCCCAATTTGGAAAGAATGGACATATATAAAATATTGAGTCTTCCTATTAGTGAGTATGATAGTTTCCTGTGGGTATACATCTTCAGGATATAGCTCTCTTCTTTAGAATTCCAATCAAATTAGAATATTTTCTGTGTAAAGGTCTTGTACATCTTTTTCAGGTTTATTTATTTATTTTTTTGATGCGATCATAAATGTTCTCTGTCTCTCTTTTGAGACAGGATCTCACCCTGTCACCCAGGCTGGAGTGCAGTGGTATAATCGTGGCTCACTGCAGCCTTGAACTTCTGGGCTCAAGTGATCTTCCTGCCTCACCTTCCTGAAGAGCTGGGACTACAGGCATGAGCCACCACGTTTGGCTTTTAATTTTTCTTTGGTAGATATGGGGTCTCGCTATGTTGACTAGGCTGGTTTCAAATGCCTGGCCTCAAGCAATCCTCTGCTTCAACCTCTCAAAGTGCTGGCATTATAGGCATGAGCCACCATGTCTGTTGTCTCTTTTTTATTTTATGTTTCTGGTAAGTAGAAATACAGTTGGCTTTAGTATATTGATTTTATACCCAATAACATTGCCAAAATCTCTTATTAATTCTTACAGTTTATCTGTAAATGTTTACATTTTATCTAGTTGTTTTGTGGTCTTCTCTTCCTTCTTTCTTTCTTGTCTTCCTTTAGTGAAGATTTTTCTCTGATGATATGATTTAGTTTCTTGCTTTTTATTCCTTGTGCATCCATCATATGTTTTTGCATGAGACTTGCAAATACTATCTTATATCCCATTATTTTAACCTGATAACAACTTAACACTCTCTGCATTTAAAAAAAGCAAAAAGAAAACTAATAAAACCTCTATGCCTTAACTTCATCCTTCTGCTCTTTAACTTTTTGTTGTTTTTACTTATATCTTATTGTACTGTCTATGTCTTAAAAGTTATTGTAGTTATTATTTTTGATTTATTATTTAGTCTTCCTACTTAGGATAAGAGTAGTTTATACACCACAGTTACAGTGTTATAATATTCTCTGTCTTTTTGTGTACTTACTATTACCAGTGAGCTTTGTATCTTCATATGATTACTTATTGCTCATTAACATCCCTTTCTTTCTGTTTGAAGTACTCCCTTTAGCATTTCTTGTAGGACAGAACTGGTGTTGATGAAATCCCTCAGCTTTTGTTTGTCTGGGAAAGTCTTTATTTTGCCTTCATTTTTGAAGGATATTTTTGCTGGTTATACTATTCTAGGGTAGGTTTTTCTCCTTCAGCACTTTAAATATGTCATGCCACTCTCTCGGCCTGTAAGGTTTCCACCGAGAAGTCTGCTACCAGATGTATTGGAGCTCCATTGTATGTTATTTGTTTCTTTTCTCTTGCTGCTTTTGGAGTCCTTTCTTTGTCCTTGATCTTTGGGAGTCTGCTTATTAAATGCCTTGAGGTAGTCTTCTTTGGATTAAGTCAGCTTGGTGCTCTATAACCTTCTTATACTTGGTTATTGATATCTTTCTCTAGGTTTGGGGAATTCTCTGATATTATCCCCTTGAATAAACTTTCTACTTCTATCTCTTTCTCTACCTCCTCTTTAAGGCCAATAACTCTTAAATTTGCCCTTCTGAGGTTATTTTCTAGATCCTGCAGACATGCTTCCTTGTTTTTTATTCTTTTTTTAAATCTCCTCTGACTGTATTTTCAAATAGCCTGTCTTCAAGCTCACTAATTCTTTCTTCTTCCTGATCAGTTCTGCTACTAAAAGATTCTGAAGCATTCTTTAATATGCCAATTGCATTTTTCAGCTCCAGAATTTGATTCTTTTTAATTATTTTAATCTCTTCATTAAATTTATCTGATAGAATTCCTAATTCCTTCTCTGTGTTACCCTGAATTTGTGTTTCCTGAAAACAGTTATTTTGAATTCTGTCTGAAAGCTTGCATATCTCTGTTTCCCCAGGATTGGCCCCTGCTGCCTTCTTTAGTTTTTTTGGTGAGGTCATGTTTTCCTGGATGGTGTTGATTCTAATAGATGTCCTTTAGTGTCCGAGCATAGAAGAGTTAGGTATTTATTGTTGTCTTCACTGTCTGGGCTTGTTTGTACTTGTCCTTTTTGGGAAGGCTTTTCAGATATTCAAAAGGACTTGAGTGTTGTAATCTAAGCTGTATCTGCTTTAGGGGCACCTCGAGCTCAGTAATACTGTGGTTCTTATGGACTCATAGAAGTACTACTTTGATGGTCTTGGATAAAATTGGGGAGAATTCCCTGGATTACCAGGCAGAGAATCTTGTTCTCTTCCCTCACTTTCTCCTAAACTAAGGGATTCTCTCTCTCTTTCTGTTCTGAGCCATCTAAACCTGGGGATGGAGTGACACAAGCACGCCTGTGTCACTCTATGACCACCACTATGACTGTGCTGGGTCATACCTCAAGCCAGCACAGCACTGAGTCTTGCCCAAGGCCTGCTGTAACCACTCCCTGACTACTGCCTATGTTCACTTAATGCCCTGGGGCTCTACAATCACAGATGGCAAAGCCAACCAGGCCTGCGTCCTTCTCTTCAGAGTGCCAAGTCCCTCTAGACCCTGGGTGGTTCCAGAGGTGCTGTCTGGGAGTCAGGGACTAGAGTGGAAAACCTTAGAACTCTAGCTGATATTCTATTGTACTGTGGCTGAGCTGGCATTCAAACCATAAGACTCAGTTTTCCCCACTCTTCCCTCCCCTTTCCAAAGGAGAGGAGCCTCACCCTGTAGCCACTACCACCACAAGCCATAGGGAGTACTGCCAGACTACTGCTAATGTTCCTTTAAGGTCCAAGTACTCATAAGTCAGCTTGTGGTGAATGCTGCCTGTCTTGGGACTCACCCTTCAGGGCAGTGGGCTCCCTTCTGGCCCAGGGCAGGTCCAGAGATGCCGTTCAAGAGTTGAGTCCTGGAATCAGGGACCTCAGGAGCCTACTTGGTGCTCTATTCCCCTGTGCCCATGCTGGTACTTAAGGTGCAAGACAAAGTCTCCTTTACTTTTCCCTCCGCTTTTCTCAAGTAGAAGGAGTTTCAGCCAATAGCCACCACAGCTAGCCATGTGCTGAATCTCATCTGAAACAAGCAAGTCTCAGAGGGTCACCCAAAGCCCTGGACATAGTAACTTGGTTTCACTGCTGGTTATTCAGAGCCTAGGGGCTTTTCACTTAGCAGGTGATGAATGTTGCCAGGACTGGGTTCTTCCCTTCAAGGCAATGGATTCCCTTCTGGCCCAGAGGTTGTCTAGAAATGCTATCCAAGAGCTAGGGCCTGAAACAGGGACCTTACAACTCTGACCGGTGTCCTATCTGCTGTGGCTGACCTGGTATCCAAGATGCAAAACAAGTCCTCCTCTCTCTTCCCTCCCCTCTCCTTAAGCAGAAGGAAGGTGTCTCTTTCGAAGCTGTGAGCTGTGCAGCCTGGGGTTAGGGGAAGGGTGATGCCAGCACTCTCTTAGCCACCCCAGCTGGTGTCTTAGTAGGTCACATGCCCCTCCCAGTCCACTGTCTCTGGGCCTGGTTCAATGCTAGGACTTACCTAAGATTTGCAATCCTTATGGCCTAGACTGCCTTCCAAGTTTACTTAGAAACACATAGCACTGTAGCTGTTGGTGATGAGGTTTGCAGGAATTCAAGTTTTGACAATTGGAATTGGCGATTTCCCTCTGGTTAGGGCTGATTTAAATGCTCCCTCCATGGGCAGGCACCAGCAGAGTTTGGTCCAGTTTCCTTTCTGCTCTAACGGGATGGTACTGAGTTCAGTGCCACACAATTGCTGTGTTCTCCCTCCCCCGGCACCCAGAGACACTCTCCGCATCATGCTGCTGCTGCCAGGGGTGGCATTAGAGATTCAAAACTGTTTTACTCACCTCTCCAGCATGACTTTCAGTGATACCAACTTAACAGCAGGTCCTATGAGGACTCACCTAATTTTTGGTTCATACGAAGGTGGTTTTTTGTGTTAGACAGTTGTTAAATTGGTGTCCTTGGATGGGGAGGGGAAACTGGTATTCTATTCCACCATCTCGCTATACCTTCTATCTTTTGTTTATAATTCAAGGAACACATTGTTATAACTTTTATGAAATCAGTGGTCATTTATATTTTCCACATATTTACATCTTCTCTTTGATCCTTCTTGTATTTCAGACGTTCCGAGATCACTGTTTTTAATGCCTGAAATTTATTCTTTAGAATTCTTTCTTTCTTCTTTCTTCCTTTCTGTCTGTATTTCTTTTTTTTTTTTTTTTTTTTTTTTTAGTGATTGATTTAGTTCGATTTGATCACTGTAAGCAAGTGTTAGCATGCTGTTAAGGGATGTTTCTTGCCTTTGTTCCACAAAGCCTTATTATGAAAGGTTTACATATACCCATTTAAAAGGTAAATCTAAGCATGCTTCTTTTAAGATGCACTATGTGCTGTATTATTTTGGTGAGTAAAACAAAATGAGAATGGCAAGAGGAAGGCTGGAGAGCTAAGAGTGAGCCATCTCATGTAGGGCTTGACAGCTATAATAAATAAAAAATCTAGACTTTATCCTAAGAACAGAGTCATTGAAGAGTTTCAAGCATAAAAGTGTCATTATTACATTTATGTTTTAGAAATATTACTTTGGCTGCTATATGCAGAATGGTGTAGATAAGGGCCAATGGTGAATACTAGAAGAGCAGATAGTAGACTATTGAAGGAATACAGGCAAGTTAATGAAATAGGGAGAATTAATGAATTTGGTGATACTTGGTGGGTGAATCCTCAGAGCTTCATGACTGACTGTGACTTGTTTTTGGGAGTAAAGGACAGGCTAGAGTTAAAGACAAAGCCTAGGCTTCTGGCTAGGAAAACTAGGTGGGTGATGTTATCACTCACTCATATGGGGAACAAAGAAGAGAAGCAGATTTGGAAGATAGAATGATAAGTTTCATTTTGTGCATGTTTAATGTGAGATACTTTTGAAACTTGTGATACTCAAGAGAATGTCTCACCGGGGACGGTGCCTCACGCCTATAATCCCAGCACTTTGGGAGGCCAAGGCAGGTGGATCATCTAAGGTCAGGAGCTTGAGACCATCCTGGCCAACATAGTGAAACCCTGTCTCTAGTAAAAATACAAAGATTAGCCAGGCTTGGTGGTGTGCACCTGTAATCCCAGCTACTCAGGAGGCTGAGGCAGGAGATTGCTTGAACTAGGGAGGCAGAGGTTACAGTGAGCCAAGATCAGGCCTCTGCACTCCAGCCTGGCCACAGAGTGAGACTCCGTCTAAAAAAAAAAAAAAAAAAAGGCCGGGTGCGAGGTGGCTCACACCTGTAATCCCAGCACTTTGGGAAGCCAAGGTGGGCAGATCACAAGGTCAGGAGTTCGGGACCAGCCTGACCAAAATGCTGAAACCCCATCTCTACTAAAAATACAAAAATTAGCCAGGCGTGGTGGCGTGTGCTTGTAATCTCAGCTACTTAGGAGGCTGAGGCAGGAGAATCACTTGAACCCAGGAGGTGGAGGTTGCAGTGAGCCAAGATTGCACCACTGTACTCCAGCCTGGGCAACAAGAGCAAAAAACTGTCTCAGAAAAAAACAAACAAACAAAAACAAAAAACAAACAAAAAAAAACAGAGAGAGAGAATGTCTCCTCTGCTACTTCTTTGTCTCAGGAAAATGCAAAAGTTGTAGGTTTTTCTACAGACTACCACTGAAATACTAATTTTTTTAAAAGGAGAGGGGAGATGATACATAAAACTTCAGGAACAGAAACCAGTTTTTCTCTATTCCTTTCTCTGACTTCTCTACATTTGGCTCCCTATTAGATATGGTCTTATTTTCTGCCTTACAAAGTGTGGTTATACGTAGATAATTAAATTTAGCTTATAGACAATTCAATTTAGCTTCTTTTTTTGACCAAACAAATATGGTGGGGTTGGCAACCTCTTAGATGACCTCCAGTGATCTCTATGTGCTACAGATTTATACCCTTGTCTATAATCTCCTTTTTTTTTTGTTTTTTTTTTTTTTTGAGTGTGAGCTGAACAATTCAACTCACTTTTTTAAAACAGTGTATGGCAGAACTGATGTGGTGGCACATCTGGGGTTATAAATAAAAACTGTGGCGTGGCTCATGCCTGTAATCCCAGCACTTTGGGAGGCTGAAGCAGGTGGATCACCAGAGGTCAGGAGTTCAAGACCAGCCTGGCCAACATGGTGAAACCCCATCTCTACTAAAAACACACAAAAAAATTAGTCAGGCATGGTGGCACACACCTGTGGTCCCAGTCAGGAGGCTGAAGCAGGAGAATCGCTTGAACTTGGGAGGCAGAGGTTGCAGTGAGCCGAGATTGTGCCACTGCACTCCAGCCTATGTGACAAAGCAAGTCTCCATCTCAAAACAACAACAACAAAAACAACAAACTGTGGCTTCTGTTTTGGGTGCCGAATCTCATGCCCTTTCTTGGATGTCTTTAAATGGGGGGAAGCCAGCTTCCATGTCATAAGGAAGCCCCGTGGAAAGGCACAAGTGGCAAAGATCTGAGGCTTGCCAACAGCGATGTGAGAGAGCCTGAAAGTAGATCCTCTTTCAGTTGAGCCTTAAGGTTACTGCAGCCCAGGCTGACATGTTGATTGCAGTTACATGAGAGACTGTGAACCAGAATCACCCAGCTAAGCTGCTCCTAGATTCCTGACCCACAAAAACCATGAGATAATAAATGTTTGTTGTCCTCAGCCACTAAATTTTGGAGTAATATTTTATGCAGCAGGAGACAATTAATACACCTGGTTTGGTGCATTAATCAGGGTAATCAGGCTGGGTCATGGAAGGAGTGTTTGATATATAGCAATGTTGTGATTGAGATAATAAACTTTTATTTATTGAAGAGTAAAATAGTACATTAACAAAATCTTATCTGATAGAGAGATAATACCAGAAGTCTTCTTACTGTGATTATCAGCTAAGTGACTGGTTGAAATCAGGATATAAATCACTGGATAGTTTTTTTCTGGAAAGACTTAGAACACATCAATAAGGCCCTCTAATAAAGAAATTGAAATGAGATCTTGCCCTTTGGAGAAAGAGAACTGTGTAATTCCTGTAGCCAGGGCACTTAGTCAAAGAGAAACAGAGGGTTGTGACAATGGTCCAGTGAGCCTGGCCCCAGAACTCCCTTCAACTAGTCTCTTGCTTGACTTTGGGGAGAAGACTGGGCATTATTTAGAGGCTGGAGACTAATTCGACAATGGGAAGATGCAAAAATTCATATCCTGGGTTCACCCTTTGATGTTGGGCCATTAAATCCAGTTTGTCTTTGCCTCTCTTGTCTAAAAG
This sequence comes from Homo sapiens, assembly GCF_000001405.40. Classification (NCBI taxonomy): domain Eukaryota; kingdom Metazoa; phylum Chordata; class Mammalia; order Primates; family Hominidae; genus Homo; species Homo sapiens. The sequence goes on along the minus strand of NC_000001.11, from coordinate 110,899,445 downwards.
ATGCTCAGATATTAGTTTCACCACTTTGAGAGACATGGCTGCTGCCGTCAGTGAGTGAAAGATTGTCTTGCTGCCTGAGATGGGATGTGCCTGGCCAACACCCACTTCTCTGGTTGTATAAGACAGGGACCTAAAAAGGGAAAGGATGGGAGGAGGATCATCCTGCAGTGATCATGTAGGGCTTCATGCTATAAATGGTTTTGCATTTCCGGAGATGAAACAAGTCTCTTCACCACAGGACTACTGCAGATCATAGCCCTATGGTCTGGCTGGTTTTGTCAATCTGGCAGTTCAGGGTCAGTGCAAAGGACATCCCCAACACCTGTGAAAAGAGTTGGGAAAATTTGAAGTCTTCATAAGAAAAGCCATTTCTTTCACAATGCCTGGGATTGGCCTCTGAGAAAAAGAATGTATCCATTACACTGAAACCACCCTTCCAACCATTACTTTCAAGTCTCTCTCAGGAGCTCTTTCCTTTGGTTAAAGAATAGCAGTGAGGAGAGAAACGGGGTCAATGATGACAAGATAACAGGCTGTAAAGTACTGGAGCATGTTTTATCTTCTGAGGAAGTCACAGAAGCCTTGCTGCTAGGATGGTCATATTCTGCTCACTGAACACTGTGCAATGAGTTATCTCTATCCATGCTCTGTGCCTCCTTTGTTTCCAAACAGAGAAAAATCATTTTCTCTGAGCTTCCTGATTGAGTTTTAACTAATCTATGATATACCCAACACTTTGGGTAGAAAAATGTTAGAAATATCACATTATTTTTGTCCTTTTTTATTAAAAAGGACAAAAAACTACCCTCAATTCACCCATCACTTGTCAAACTAAGCACAGAAACAAAGAGGAAATTGATTACAATTTTCGTCATCAGCCCCTTAACATGCAAGATCAGGTTTTCAAATGAAATACTTTATCAATTCGTATTTTTCAGACCAGCTGAGGAGGGATCACAGTGGGATTCTGCTTGGTGGCTTTTTTGTTTGACTGTGAATCATGTGAATCACTCATATCTCTGAGGAATGAATTGACCAGAGAGATGTTCTTTTTTTTTTTTTTTTTCTGGAGACAGAGTCTCGCTCTGTCGCCCAGGCAGGAGTGCAGTGGCACGATCTTGACTCACTACAAGCTCCGCCTCCCAGGTTCACGCCATTCTCCTACCTTAGCCTCCCAAGTAGCTGGGACTACAGGCACCTGCCACTACGTCTGGTTAATTTTTTGTATTTTTAGTAGAGACGGGGTTTCACCATGTTAGCCAGGATGGTCTTGATCTCCTGACCTCGTGATCTGCCTGCCTCAGCCTCCCAAAGTGCTGGGATTACAGGCGTGAGCCACCACGCCCGGCCAAGAGATGTTCTTATAGCACATTTTCTATATACCTTAAAGCAAATTGTTAATTACATTATTTGCTACTTGGCTGGGGGAATTCATATATTAGTAAAAATAGCTAACATTTATTGTGTAAATACTGTGTACCTGGTATTATTCTGAAATCTTACCTGACTTAACTCATGTAATCCTCACAATAACCCTGTGGTTAAGCTCTTACCTCAATCACACATACACAGATGGTGATGATTCCGATATACAGGAAATTGGAATGAAACCACAGTCTTGCTTTCGCATAGCAACCCTAGAAGACATTTCAGTTACAAATGATACTACTCTATAATTCCACCATATCAAGAGGAAGTATTTGGAAGATACAGTGCTTTGCATTTTGCTTTATGTAATACAAAGAGGCTTAGGTATTATATTTTTATTTTCTTTGCGTGAATGAAGAAACAGGCATAAGGTGGGAAATATTAAACTACAGACTTTTCTGGTGGTGTTATCATTACAGTGGTAACTAATGTAGAAGTCCTAGATCCTTACCCGCTGAGTTAAACTAGCTTCTAAGAGGCAGGTCAGCAACCGACGTCCTACTGTCTTTGAACACTCAGTGCTGACCAGAGATTAACATAGGGCATGCAATACTAAAATTGGTTTGCATTTCACTTTCTGCTTCAACATTCAGTAAATCCATCATAGCCCTACCAAGTGCCAGGGCAGTTGCTGGTCAGTGGTTGTCCTAGTCTTTCTCCACAAACCTGAAAAACCCTGGAGATTTCCAAACCCCTTCAGGAGCAGATAACATGAGGAGACAAGACCTCAGGGATTCGGTCTAGTTGGAAGATAGTTGTGGCTTCTTCTCAGAGCCTATTCTGGAGGTCCAAATTAATTGGACAGGTTGTTTCAGTAGTTCCACTAACTCTGTCTCCCTCAACTCCTTACTCCTTCACCTATGATTCATTTCCCTAAGGGGCTGGATTCTGCCATCTCCAAGGAAGAAGAGCAGAGAAAGAGGGAGAGGGAGAAACTTTTCTATCTCAACCCTATACATTTCACTTTAACCATAAGGAGACCTACTTCTTGCTTAAGAAATATCTAGACACAACCCTCTCCTACTTTCACACAAAAGTAACTGTTCCCCTCTAATGTAATAGTCTAGTGTAGCAAGATCAATCACAGTGTCTCTAGTCTAAATGAGTTTGTTTGTATGTTTTTCTGACTTTTCTAATTACCCAAGGTTGTTGCCCTGGCCTCTCTTTTATTCAAGGTCCCCTGTTTCTCAATAGAAGGTCTAGGTCCTCTATGACTGCAGTTTCCGAGGTAATTAAACATTTAAACAAAGAGGTCAATAACAGAAACATTGCCGACAAAATTACCTCCACTTTTCGATCTGAGGGGCAAGATGCTGGTGGGCCACTGGTCCAATCACTCGTGCCATTTATACCACAACACTGCAGCTAAAAGCCAAACCCCCAAAATGATGATGGTTAGAAAGTCAACAGTGAAAAAAAGCTGTGGACCTTAGAGGAAAAGGTGTGCCCTTCAGATCTGACTCTATAGCAGAAGTCCAGAATTGGTCTGATTGCTATGGGCTCCTTAAAACAAAGTGCTTTCTAATCTGTTATACCATTTCATTCACATAAGATCCCTGTGGAGTAGAGACCCCTGTGCTTAATCTAGTCACATTTTACAGATCAAGAATAAGGCACCCAGGGACTGCATAATGGAGGGATTAGGCTGACCACCCCTGGACCCACCAACCAATCTTAAGATCACAGAAAGGAGGACCATCAGACATTATGTACCTGCTTACACGATGCAACAGGAAGTGACAGCTATGGCAGTCTTACCACAAAACAAAAACCACATCAAACTTTTAAGTTCATGGGGCTTATGGGAGACAGAGACTCCCTGATACCAAAATACTCGAGGAAGCAACTAGCCTGATCTAGAGAGTGGAGAAGTCTAAAGGACAAATAGCCTAATTTCTTTCCACAAAGAGCAAGAACAAAGAGGTGTACTATTATAGATTAAAAGATAAATAGAGAGACCTATCATTCAAATATAAACACATAGGCCTTGTTAAGATCTTGATTTGAACAAGTCAATTAAAATTTTTTGAGAAAATTAGGGAAATTTAATTATAGACTTTATTAGTGGTATTAAGAAATTATAAAATTTTAGGTGTATTAAAAAGAAGTTCTTTTATATTTAGTGGGTGAAATAATATATTGTCTAGTATTTGCTTTAACATATTCTAACGAAAAAAGTGTGGGGAATTAGATGAGATGACACTGGAAAATGTTAACTATTGAAGAGTTGGGAGATTCATTTTTCTGTTTTTCTCTTTTGTATATTTCTAAAAATTATGTAATAAAAAGTTTTCTAAACTGAATTAAAAAAATAAAGAATTGGAGATCTAAATAAGTTAAGTGACTTCCCCAGGGCTACCCAATTCTGGTCTCCAGGCTCTAATTCCTGTGCCATTTCTTCTACTCCACACTAAGCCAGCGTGCTTTCATAGTGGTACTGTTTCGAGACACAAATAGATTATACTGGTGCAAGGCTCCATCTTTATCTCCCAACACATCATGTCAGGAATGCAGAGCTTGTATATGCTGTACATATACACGTTTGTGGGTGGAAACAGCACATGAGGAATGGGATGTTGGTGGGCTAGGTAACAAGCCTGATTTGGGCAACTCGGGAACTCAATGGCAATTTCTTGTGTTATACAATGCTGTTTTCAGTAAAATTTTGGAAAATACATAAACTAATCCAGTTTGCTGTGTTTGGGTCTTCTTCACATCCTAGCAGAACTTAGAAAATAAACCTATTCATGTTAGAAAAGGATGAAAGAGAGAATGTAGAGAACTTTGTACTAATCAGACTAATTACTGGGCTCCCATGTTTGTGATAGCCAAGGCATTATTCTGGGATTCAGGGATGTGGACCTTAGATTCTGAAACTTCCAGAAAAAGGAACTAGCCCCCAAGGATTTAGGCTTGAAAATGAAGTCTGGGCTGATCTGAAGAGGATTCCACCTGTACTCACAAATGACTGGATGGAGTCCCACGCTGCCTTGGTGCTATTGTCTGAGTGGTAACGGTGGATGCTGTCGGTCAGACCCTTAGCCACATACTCATTCAGCTGGGCAGGCACATTCCAGCAGAGGAGACATGGTAAAAAGCAGGTGAGTTCAAGGAATAAGGAATTTCCAGTATAGGTTAGTGGTTCCACTTGCGCTTCCCTTCCAAATGGTCTCCTCAGAACTAAGGGTGAGGGGAGGGTGTTTATCTATGGGCATACAGGCTGAGCATGAGGTGGCATTGAAGGAAGAAGTATTTAGTAGGCTTGCTTCCTTCTAGAGCTCTGGCTTTACAAGGGAGGAAAAGGAGCAATTAAAGCAAGGGCTATCCTTAGGCACTGAGGCAGACATTCTCTCCTGCCAAACACACAGAGGAAAGCAAGTAGAGGAAGAGACACTTGTTTTACTGCTCTTTCCAGGCACCCCTCAAGATACCACTCAGATACAATCTCTTTCATACAAATTTTCCCCCCAATTACAATTACTCTCTGTTTCCTCTATCCTTCCACTTCATTTCTATCTCTATTATAGAACTTATTCTGTAACTTTGTACCAACTTCTCCACTGCATACTCCCCACTTTCAGTATTAAGACAATAAGTTGTTGTCTTTATAACTTACCTTCTGTTCATATACAAAGAGCAGGATGGCCAAGGTCACCTCAGCAAGGAGGATAATCAGCAGCAGGATGAAGAACTGGGACAAAGCAGATACATTCTCACAGCACTGATCCCCATTCTCGTCCCACTCCCACTCAGCTCTGGGAGCATCCAGGGGCATTTGCACGAGTACAGGGTGTTCCTGTTCTGCCTCCTCAGGCCGTTGTAAGCCTTCTTTTGTTTTGTGAAAATATGTGTTCTTTTTCTACAATTAGACTCTAGAGGGCAGATCAACTGTCTTCTTTGCTCTCTCCTACCTGCTGTGCCTATCAGAGCACTACATGCATAATACATACACACCACCACCTGTTGAATAAGTTAAGCAATTTTGACATCTGCCTATTGAAGCAGTTAAGCAAAAGGTTGGTAAACTAGATCATTTGGGGCCTGGTCCTTTCTACAAGATCAGGGATACCTCTGGGTGGAGGACTGCTGGTAGTGGCTGAGAGGAGCCCTGTACAATGGTAGAAAGAAGGGTCCTAGCCATGGTTCTAACTCATATTTGTTTCCAGCTTTCGATGCTTACTCCTTTTATGCTAATAACACACAACAGAAAACATTTTCACTTATTCCTTCTCCTTCACCTTTTTTACCCCAACATTAATTTTGACTGCTTAAAACATTTGCCTTACCCCATGTCTGCTATCTTCCATCCTTTGCCATTAGTCTGACAACTATCTGAGAAGAGGGACTTTTTAAAAAATTCTTTCTCTTGGCTCCAGTTTAAGAGTTGACCCATACAGACTGGGCGCAGTGGCTTACGCCTATAATCCCAACACTTTGGGAGGCCGAGGCAGGTGGATCACCTAAAGTCGGGAGTTAGAGACCAGCTTGACCAATATGGAGAAACCCTGTCTCTACTAAAAATTCAGAATTAGCCGGACATGGTGGCGCATGACTGTAATCCCAGCTACTCGGGAGGCTGAGGCAGGAGAATGGCTTGAACCCGGGAGGCGGAGGCTGTGGTGAGCTGAGATCATGCCATTGCACTCCAGCCTGGGCAACAAGAGTGAAACTCCATCTCCAAAACAACAACAAGAAGAAAAAAACAAAACAAAAAACCACCACCAAAATGTTGAACCATAATGGAAAAAAGATTAACCAAATGATTTAAGGAAGAACCAATGTGATTAGAAACCCACGCCTATTGGTAGAGTGGCACTGTTACACCAAGCTCTGTTCTGGGAACACTACAGAAATGTAGAGCTCAGTGCTCTACAGGCACTGTGCTTACAGGCAAAACCTAAGCCTTAAGGTACTCCTCAGGATAGTACCTGATAGGGAACATGCAAAAGGCTGTAGCATCTCTCACATTAGACCTCAATGGCTGCAGCCAGAGCCCTCACCTAAGTTGGATCTCTCTACGGAGTATCTTGTGCAGACATGAGTTAAGGAAGCATCCTTTGGCATTTGGGGAGGAAAGAGCCTAGAAATTATTTTCCATTAGTTAGCGACTCTCAGTCAGAATCTGAAAGTACATAATAATAGCTAGCATGAGGAGGATTTTGGAAGATGGATGACACCTGATTTCATCCAGACATAAAGAAAAAATAAAATGCTATAAAGGGGAATTACAATAATGACAAAAGTCATTATTAGCAATATAAAAATGGCTACAAGGGGGATAGCAATGCCCTCTTTCACCTGTCCGTGGGACCCTAGTCATACATAATATACTATTGGTCTGGGCAGACTTGGCTGATCTGAGGTACCAATCTCATTTTCCTATGATCTTTCTGTGCCTATAAGTGATCTACCAAGAAACATCTTGCCTGGGATTTAGGCACCATCTCCCCGACTTGGGGCACCACATCTGCTGTAAGGACTCACCGACATAAGCAGACACTTGTTTTCCTTGATAGAGCCCATGCAGCCCAGGAAGGCAACTACCATGATAATAGAGCCCACGATGACAAACACATTGCCCAGCGTGAGGGAGGGGAGGTTATGGAAGAGCACTCCGAAGTTGTTGTGGATCAGCAGGTAGATCCCAAAGCCCAAAATGCAGCAGCCACAGATCTGAAAGGAAGAATCCCACAACATCCTGAAGCAAAATGTGGTTCTTGGGTATCTCCTCATATTCTCACTTCCTTGAGATCAGAATCACTTTATTTTTAACTGGCTCAATCAAGAGTCTCATGAACAATTTCTTTACCAAACTTTTCCATGCTTACATTGGAGAGGCAATCTCAGCTTTCTCATGTGGAGACCTACTCACAACTCTTCCTACCCATCTCCAGATACCAAGGAAAGATCACTTCTGTGAGCCACACAGTATCTTCACCATATATAGGTCTAACTTCTTTTTCCTTATCTTTTCAGTCGCTCACACATGGCTTTCTCTGTAGAAACCATGACCATGTAGAGAAGATGCCCTGCTTGAGGAAGCTCATCTTGCTAGGCAGAAAACTAGAGAAGCCAAACTTATAATAATCTTCTCATATACACAAGTACCAACCCATCCTATATCTGAAATTCAATTGCTGAATTTTATACAGTGAAACCTCCCTGGAAAGGGTGACTTTCCTTTCAATCACTTATTGTTTCAAGGAATCTAGAAAAAAAGACAAGAAAAACAGAGGCACTCAATATCCAGAGCACAGTCTCAGGTTTCTCACCTATATATGTTAGCTACGAGTAGTAGTAAACTAAAGCCCTCAGAGAGAAACAGCACCTCCATTAATAACTGCACTGGTACCTTTCAATTTTGCAGGTTTATTCTGTGGCAGGAAGAGGGGAAAAATTATTACTCTTTTGTTTCTAGGATGGTTGTGCTGGACATGACCCAAACACGCATGCATTTTACCCCACACCAGCCTCTTCAGTAGAGGAATGAGGAGAGCTTAGCTGGGTAAAGGTGAGCTAAACCGTGCTCAGAAGAGATACACTTACCCAAAAGAGCAAGTTGAAGAAAAACAGGACATACTTCAGCAGTTTCAAGCTACTCATGCCCATGCCGTGATATTCTTGCCCTAAGGAATAAGGAAGAAGAAAGTAAGTTACCTCACTCTGTAAGGTAGCCAGAGATCAGAGTGCACAAATGTTCAGGGATCTCTAGCATTACCTTGGGTTTGAGCTGTGGCTCTCCTCTGGAAAGTTTCCCCAAACTCTGCGCTTTCCTAGTTCTAAACTGAAATACCAACTGGCTCATCTTAGACATTCAGTTTTTGCCCAATTCGGCAAGCCAACAATGCTTAACATTGAATTAAGTATTGTAGAAGAAAATAGAGCCATTCTTAGAAGAGGATGAGTCACAGTGACAGAGACCAGGCCAGTGCTTTAGCTCTAACTGCAGCATTAGCAACTAGTGCCTGGGCACTTAAGCCCTTGAAGTCAGGGATGGACTGGTCAATCAGCCATCAAGAAAGCCAACAGCTTGATCAGCCAGTTTCTTAAATACTCTGTGATTTATGTACATGCTACATTTGATCAGTAAACTTCTCCACATGAAAGTAGGGGGAACATATCCACGCCTCATTTATTCTTTTATTGCAGAAACATTTATGTTTTCTGTTCTAGATGTTGTGGAAGATGCAACCATGACTAAGCAGTAGCTATCCTCCAGAAGACAACAGTCTTACAGCAAAGATAAAACAAGCCAACAAATATGCAATGGGGAAGTAAAAAGAGATAGCAATGTAAGCTTTATTTTTTTCAACTAGAATATCATTTTCTTAGTGAGGACATCAATGTCCAATGTCTGGTTCTCAATTCTAGAAATCCAGATACAGAATTTTGACTTTTCCTTTTCGCTTTCCTTTCCTTTCTCTTTCTCTTTCTCTCTTTCTTTCTTTCTTCTTTCAGGGTCTCAATCTGTCACCCAGGCTGGAGTGCAGTGGCACAATCTCAATTCACTGCAACCTTCACCTCCCAGGCTCAAGTGATCCTCCCACCTCAGCCTCCCAGGTAGCTGAGACTAAAGGCATGCACCATCATGCCCGGATAATTTTTGTATTTTTAGTAGAAACGAAGTTTCACCATGTTGCCTAGTCTGGCCTCAAACTTCTGACCTCAGGTGATCCGCCTGCCTCGGCCTCCCAAAGTGCTGGGATTACAGGCATGAGCTACCGCACCTGGCCAGAATTTTGAATTTTCTGTCAGAGGTAATGATATTCTATAAAGTGACTCATTTTTAAAACCGTGCACAGGACTGATATATCAAGCAGAATGTTGGGGCAGTGATTTTTTTCCATTAAAATTATGCCTTTTCCAGTGCATGGGTCACTTGTGCAATCCATAGTATCTCCTTTGCAGTTTCAAGGTACCTGGGAATCACATGGTCTTGAGGGAATAGTTCATCCAGGCTGTAGATAAGCCTGATGAGCTACTTCTCTTCCACAATAAAGTGAATTTCTCTGTTGTAAACACCAAATACTTGTATCTATCTCATATCCTTTTCCTTTACTTTGTGCTCTTTTCCCCTCTTTTCTTCTTGTCTTACTCCTCAGGATTATTCTTAAATCTACATGATTACTTTAATAAAATAAAATAAATTAGATTATAAATGCATTTGAATATATATCAGAAGTAAAGTGTAATGATTTACTACCCAGGCTTTGGGGTCAAACTTGAATTTTCCTCTTACATATGCCTCTAAACAGCTGTGTGAGAATTGCACACCAACTTAACAGTTCCAGTCACAATTTCTTCCTATGTAAAACGGGCCAACACTTATCCCTTATAGGGTGGTTGTGAATATTAAATGATCTTATCACACAGACTGGCATACAGCAAGACCGGTACTCAATAAATTGAACCCATGATTATTTAGTCTTTATTTATTTATTTATTTATTTATTTATTTATTTGACGGAGTTTTGCTCTTTCGCCGAGGCTGGCATGCAGTGGCATGATCTCAGCTCACTGCAACCTCCACCTTCCAGATTCAAGCCATTCTCCTGCCTCAGCCTCCCGAGTAGCTGGGTTACAGGCGCCCGTCACCACGCCCGGCTAATTTTTGTATTTTTTTTTAGTAGAGACGGGGTTTCACCATGTTGGCCAGGCTGATCTCGAACTCCTGACCTGGTGATCTACCCGTCTCAGCCTCCCAAAGTGTTGGGATTACAGGCTTGAGCCACCACACCCGGCCAATTATTGAGTCTTAAAGAACTACTCTGTTTATCAGGAGTGAATGATGAATTTGAGTGTTTCCCAGCCCTTTATCAGTATCACACTGACAAAATATCTCATAGAGTAAGACACATCTATGAATAAATAATCTTATTCATTTTATCTAGAATTTTAAAAAAATTAAATTAACTCTTAGAATGTGACATTTGCCAGTCCTCATTTCCAAATTCTTGAGAATCCTTCCTGTTGCCCTTTGCACAAGCTACATCAATCAATAAAAGATAAAATATGTCAAGTCCCAAAGAACAGTAACAAAGGCCATGAAGATGCAAAGATTTGCAGCTGGGTTGATCAAAGAATATTTCATGGTGGAGGACATAAAAGCTGAAACATTCAAATGAATGTAGTCCCCTTGAGCAGCTAAACACAGACTCTCATGATTCACTGTACCCTAGAGCTGTGCTACAGCTTTGAGCACTTAGAATCTGGCTAGTCTGAATTACTATGTGCTATAAGTGTAAAATATACACTTAGTACAAAAAGGATTATATCAGTAATTTTTCAATATGGATTACATTTTTAAATTATAGTATTTTGTACATATTGAGATAACTAAAATGTTATTAAAATTCATTTCACCTTTTTCATTTTCCTTTTCTTAACGTAAAAATATAAAATCATATATTTGGGAAATGTGCCTCTGGCCAATGGATTAACAGGGACCAGATTTACCCCCTCACCTGAAACAGCTAAAAAATGTAGACTATAAAATAATGGTCTGCAAAACACTGAATGTGAGACAATGAAGGGCACGGACCCATGAGAGACGGGAAATAAATGGTGTGAGCCCTGTGATTGCCTCAGCTTATATTCACAGACAGTTTCCAAACCATGGAGCATAGAGGGAGAGCCTGGCAGAGCTGAGATTTTGAGGAGACCAAGGCAGCTAGGGTTTACAGGACACCGCAATGTACAAAAGAAAGGTGCACAGAGAGCAAACCCCAGAGATTCGCAGCGGGTGCTTGCATCAGTTTCCTATTGCTGCTAAAACATTACCACAAACTTCGTGCCTTAGCAACGCAAATTTATTATTTTACAGTTCTGAAGGTCAGAAGTATACATTCAGGTTGTTGGCTAGGCTACATTTCTTCTTAAGGGCTCAGGGAGAGAATTTGTTTCCTTGTGTTTGTCAGCTTCTAAAGTCACCTGCATTCCTTACCTCCTTTCTTGCATCGTGCAACTTCTTGCTTTTGTCATCACATCTGCTACTTTCCACTCTTATCTCCTGCTTCATTCTTATAAGGGCCCATATGATTAGATAAGAACCACCTGGCTAATCCAGGATAATCACCCCATTTCGAGATGTTTGATTTAATCACAACTTCAAAGTCATCTTTGCCCTATAAGGTGCATGGACATATTTGGGGCCTATTATTCAGTCTACCAAAGTGTCCATTAAGAATTTAGCTGAGTCCTGATTAGCACCTGCATGTACAAAACTGCCCAAGGATAGGTACCATCTGAGCAGTGCCTGGCATTCACACAGCACCAGTGACTATTCCCACCAGTCAGACTGGAAAACTCCAAGATTCACAGGCTAGAGTACACAGAAGGATGTAGCCTCAGTAATAGGGAACAGATAGCTCTAGACTGAACACTGTTCTACCCAACAAATCTTAAGAGTAAGGGCCCAAGATATTAAACACTTTCCAAGTAACTTAAGTGCATCCTAAAACAAAGCTCAATAAGATTTATAGGAATGCCAAATATTTAGCACCCAACAAAGTAAAATTTACACATAGATTCACTCAAAATATCAGGCATGCAAGAAGCAAGAAAGTACAACCTATAATATGGCGATAGATGAAAACCAACCCAGGTGTTAGATTAGTAAAGCCATTAAGCCAGATACTATGTTTTCAAAAAAATAGGCTGGGCGCGGTGGCTCACGCCTGTAATCCCAGCACTTTGGGAGGCCGAGGCGGGCGGATCACAAGGTCAGGAGATCGAGACGATCCTGGCTAACACGGTGAAACCCCGTCTCTACTAAAAAATAGAAAAAATTAGCCAGGCGTGGTGGTGGGCGCCTGTAGTCCCAGCTACTCGGGAGGCTGAGGCAGGAGAATGGCGTGAACCCGGGAGACGGAGCTTGGAGTGAGCCGAGATCGCGCCACTGCACTACAGCCTGGGTGACAGAGCGAGACTCCGTCTCAAAATAAAATAAAATAAAATAAACATAAATAGAGACATGGAAAGTATAAAAAGACTCAAATCAAACTTCTAAAGATGAAACTACAATGTGTGACATGAAAAATACATTGGATTGGATTAATGGCAGATTAGATATTGCTGAAGAAAAAAACTAGCGAACTTGAAGACGGCAAGAGAAAATATCCTCAAAGAAACACAGACAGAAAAAAAAAATATATATATATATATATATATATTGGAGACAGAGTCTCGCTCTGTTGCCTAGGCTAGAGTGCAGTGGCGTGATCTTGGCTCACGGCAGCCTCCACCTCCTGGATTCAAGCAATTCTGCATCAGCCTCCCGAGTAGCTGGGACCACAGCACGTGCCACCATGCCCAACTAATTTCTGTATTTTTAGTAGAGACAGGGTTTCACCATGTTGGCCAGGCTGGTCTCGCATGCCTGACCTCAAGTGACCCACCCACCTCGGCCTCCCAAAGTGCTGGGATTACAGGTGTGAGCCACCATGCCTGGCCAGAAAATAAAATGTTTTAAATGAACAGAGCATCATGAGTTGAGAAATAATTTCAGGTGGCTTAATATACATGTCACTGGAGTCTCTAAAATTGAGGAGAGAAGAGAGATAGAAAAATAATTTGAAGAAATAATGACTAAATAAAATCCTAAATTTGATGAAAATAATATCCCTATGGAACCAAGAAGCTCAATAGCTCAATGAACTCCAAGCACAAGAAACATGAAGAAAGCTACACTAAGGTCTTTATAATCAAAGTACTCAAGGAACAGTGATAAAAAGAAAATCTTAAAACAACCAGGGGAAAAAAAGACATGTTATGGACTAAGGAACAATTGTAAGGATAAGAGCAGACTTCTTATTGGAAAACAGGCAAGCTGGAAGAAAGTGGAGCAACACATTTAAAATACTAAAGAAAAAAAATTGTCATACTAAAAATCTATACCCAATAAAAATACATTTTAATAACTTAAAAAAAGGACTTTAAGATATACAAAAGGTGAAAGAATTCCTCATCAGTAGATCCATACTACAAGAAATGTTAAAAGCAATCCTCTAAGTAGAAGAAAAATGAGACCAGATGGAACTACAGATTTACACAAAGGAACAAAGAGCACCAGAAATGGTGACTACAGGAATAAATGCGCAATACTTTTTTTCTTGTTATTTAAATCTCTTTAATTCATTTTTATTTTTATTTTTTTGAGACAAAGTCTTGCTCTGTGACCCAGGCTGGAGTGCAGTGGTGTGATCTCGGCTCACTGCAACCTCCGCCTCTCAGGTTCAAGAAATTCTCATGCCTCAGCCTCCTGAGTAGCTGGGATTACAGGCATGCACCACCACGCCCAGCTAATTTTTTGTGTTTTTAGTAGAGAGGGGGTTTCGCCATGTTGGCCAGGCTGGTCTCGAACTCCTGACCTCAGGTGATCTGCCTGTCTCAGCCTCCTAAAGTGTTGGGATTACAGGCTTGAGCCACCGCACCTCGTCTTAAATCTCTTTTTTTGTTGTTGTTGTTTGTTTTTTGTTTTTTGAGACAGAGTCTCGCTCTGTCGCCCAGGCTGGAGTGCAGTGGCGCGATCTCGGCTCACTGCAAGCTCCGCCTCCCCGGTTCACGCCATTCTCCTGCCTCAGCCTCCCGAGTGGCTAGGACTACAGGCGCCTGCCACCACGTCCAGCTAATTTTTTGTATTTTTAATAGAGACGGGGTTTCCCCGTGGTCTCGATCTCCTGACCTTGTGATCCGCCCGCCTCGGCCTCCCAAAGTGCTGGGATTACAGGCGTGAGCCACCGCGCCTGCCCAAATCTCTTTAATAGATACTGAACTGTTCAAACAAAAATAGTAACAGTATTGCATTGCATTAATAATAAATGTAAAAGTAAACTTTATGATAATAATAGTGTAGAGACTGGGAAGGGAGAAATGGAAGTATACTACTGTGAGCTTCTTATATGTAAAGTGGAAATCTCACTTGAAGGTAAAAATCTTAAAAAATACTCGATTAATCAAAAGAAGCCAGAAAAAGAGAAAAGGGGTAACAACAAATGGGAAAAAATAAAGAACAAGTAGAAAAATGAGACAAATAAAAAACAAATATGCTAAAATCCCAACCATACCAATATCACAGTAAATGAAATGGTCTGAATACTTAAAATATGAAGCAGGAATAAATAGATGGATTGAAAAAACAAGACCCAATTATGTTGTTTACAAAAAAATGCATTTAAAATATAAAGAAGCGAATACATTTTAAAGTAAAAGGATGGAAAAAGATATACCATACTAACACTAATAAAAGGGAAAAAAAGGCTGGAGTGTCTATATTAGACTAAAACAAACACTATTACAGAAAAAATTATCAAGGATAAAGAAGATTACTTTATAAAGGGACTGATTGAGCTAAAAAACATAAAAATCCTAAGTGTTTTTGCACCTAGTCAAAATTTATGAGACAGAAATGAACAGAACTGAAAGAAGATATAGACAAGTATAAGTTATACTTGAATAGTTCAATATCCTTCTCTCAATAGTTGATGGAATCAGTAGACAGAAAAGCAGTAAATATTTGAACAACAGCATCAGTCAACTTAAACTAACTGATTGTGATAGAACACTCCACCCCACAACAGCAGAACATACATTCTTTTCAAGGTTACATGAAACATTTACCAAGATAGACCATTCTGGACCATAAATCAAGTTTCAACAAATTTAGAAGGAATTGAATTAGCAATCAATAACAGAAATATCCCTAGAAAGTTTCCTCAAATTGGGAAACTAAATAGCATATTTCTAAATAGTTCATAGATGAAAGAAGAAATCAAAGAGAAAATTAGAATTCTGAATTGAGAAAAACTTTAAAAACATGTTGAAAATGTGGGAATGTCACTAAAGCAATATTTTGGGGTGAATTTTAGTGCTAAATGTCTATAGCTGAAAGGAAAGTGGTCTCAAATTAATGACTTCAGATTGCATCTTGAGAAACTAGAAAAAGTATAACAAACTAAACCCAAAATAAGCAGAAGGAAGTAGATAATGAAGATAAGCACTGAAATCAATTAAACAGAAGAACAATTTTAAAAACCCCACAAAAGTTGGCTCTTTTAGAAGACTGATAAAATTGATAAACTTATACACAGGTAATCAATTTTAAAATAGAGAACAAAGATTATCAATATTAGGATTGAGAGAACAACACTACAAATTCTATAGATATCAAAAATATAAGTCAATATAATAAATGACTTCATGCCAATACAACTTAGATGAAATAGATGAATTCACTGAAAGGCACAAATTACCAAGTCTCACTCAAAAAATAGATAACCTGAATAATCCTATCTCTAATAAGAAACTGAATTTGGAGTTTAAAAGTCTTCCCATAAAGAAAACTGCTAGTCCAGATGTCTTATTGATGATTTCTACTAAACATGTAAGGCAGAAATAATACTGATTCTATATCAAGTCTTCCAGAAAATAGAAAAGGAGGGTACACTCTCTACCTTATCCTGTGAGGCCAGACTTTTCAGATACTAAAAGCAGAAAGATATTACAAGAAATAAAACCACGGGCCAATGTTCCTCAGAACAAGATGTGAAAATTATAAACAAGATTTTAGTAAAAAGCATCTAACGATATAGAACAATGATAAGAAATTATGAACAAATGGGGCTACTCTCAGGAATGCAAGGTTATTTTAACATTGAAAAAACTACTTAATTAGTCATATTAATGAATTGAAAGAGAAAATAAATTATCATCTCAATAGATACAGGAAATTTATTTGACAAAATTCAACATCTATTTTTGATGAAAACTCTTAGCAAACTAGGAATAGAAGAACGCTTATGCAAACTTATAAAAGGCATTTATGAAGGGCATAGAATTAAGAACATCATACTTAATGGTATAACACCAAATGCCTTACCCTTATATAAGGAGGAAAATAAGTCTGTTTACTCTTAACTACTCTATTTGGCATTGTACTGGAGTTTCTAGGCAGTGCAAATGAAATATGAAAAGAATGGCATCCAAACTGGAAAGAAAAAAAAGTAAAACTGGCTTTGTTCACAGATATCATGAATGTCTTTGTAGAAAATCTAAATAAATCTACAAAAATACTACTAGAACTAACAAGTAAGTGTAGCAAGGTTGCTAGAAACAAGATTCAATCCACAAAAAATAATAGCATTCTATGCACTAGTAACCATTAGAAATCAAGTATTTTTAAAAGTATCATTTACAATAGCATCATATATGAAATACTTAGGCATAAATCTGACAAAAGTTGTGAAAGAATTGTACACTGAAAACTTAAAAACAAACATTGCTGAAAGAAATTGAAAAGATGCAAATAATGGAGAGATATACCACGTCCATCTACCAGGAATTCAATATTTTTAAGATGTCAATTCTTCCAAATTTATCTATAGATTGTAATCCCCATCAATATTACAGCAGAATTTTTTGTAGGCTTCAAGAAATTAATTCTAAAATTCATTTGGGAATGCAAAAGACTTAGAATAGTAAAAATGAGTTTGATAAAGAACAAAATTGGAGTACAAACACTACCTAATTATATTGCTTTCTATAAAACTACAACAATAAAGACAGGATAGCACTGGTGTTAAATAAATATATCAAGAGAACAGAATAGAGTCCATATGCATATGGACAACTGATTTTCAAAAAAAATACAAAATTAATATATTACAGAATGAAGAATACTTTTTTCAACAAATGGTGCTGGAACAATTGTCTATTAATATGCAAAAATGAACTTGCATTTATACCTCTCTCCATACGAAATCGTAACTAGTGATGAATCATAGATCTAAAGGTAAAATCCAAAACTATAATTCTCCAGAAGGAAATATTTGCAACCTTGGTTATGCAAAGAGTTCTCAGATAAGACACCAAAAGCACAATAAGTTGATAAATTGGACTTCTTCAAAATTAAAAACTTCTGCTCTTCAAAAGACACTGTTAAGAGAATGAAAAGACAAGGCACAGAAGGGACAAAATATTTCCAAATCACACAGGAGATAAAAGGCATGTATCCAGAGTATAAAAACAACTCTTGAAGCTCAATGGTAAGAAAATAAACAATCCAATTTTTAAAATGGGCAAAAGATCAGAACAGACAATTCACCAAAGAAGATACTATATGGATGGCAAATAAGGACATGAAAAAAATTCTCTACTTCATTACTCATTAAGGAAATGCAAATTAAAACCATGGTAAGATACCACTCCACATCTCCTAGAATGGCTAAAATGTTTTCAAAACCTGACCACACCAAGTGTTGGTGAGGATGTAGTGAAACTGGAACTCTTATACACTGTTGGTGGGAATGTAAAATGGTATAACCATGTTCAAAAGCAGTTTGCTCGTTTTGTACAAAGTTAAACATATACTTATCATATGATCCAGCCATTCTACTCCTAGGTATTTACCCAAGAGAAATGAAAGCATATGTCCATACTAGGACTAGTACAGGAAGGTTCATAGTTTTGTAGTATTATTTGTAATAGCCCAAACTGGAAGCAACCCAAATGTCCATAAACAAGTGAATGTATAAATAAATAGTGGTATAATTTTACAATGGAAACTACTTAGCAATTAAAAAGAATGAACTGTTGTTACCCTCTACAGCACAGGTGAATGTAAAAATAATCATGGTGAGTGAAAGAGGTTAAATAAAAAAGAGTACATTCTGTATGATTCCAGTTATATAACATTTTAGAAAATGAAAACTAATCTATAGCAACAGAAAGCAGATCAATGACTGTCTGAGGATGAAGGTGGGGGAGGGCAGGAGGTGAGTAGAGAGGGAGCAGGGAAGGGTGAGAGAAAGGGATTACAGAAGGCCACAACAATCTGTGGTGAGTGATGCATACGCTCAGTGTTTTGACTGTGGTGATGGATTTATGCATGTACACTTACGTCAAAGGCCCCTCCTAATTTGCTCCTGTCCATCACTCCACACTCATGGCAACACCCCCTGTATTATACTTTAAAATTTAGCAAAGCAATATTGAATCCTTGTCTTAATGCTTCCTTCCTTACTTTGGTAATGTGTTTCTTTGCTGAAATTTTCTCTTTTCTTTCTGGCCTCTTATTCTGGTTAGTTACTCATCATCCTAATGATGTGTCACTTTTCCAGGAAGTCCTCTCTGTTTGTGTCTAAGTCTTCACACCCAACCCTCACTTGCCCTAAGGAGTATCTGTAATACCTGTGTACCTCTGCCATTGTACTAACCATTTTGTTTTATAAGTGACTATTCCCTCACTAGAATGTGAGCTCCTTGAGGGTAGGATCTATGCTATTCATCTTTGAATTCTCAAAGCCTCATTACCTCAGAATTATCTGATGTAGTGGAATGAACATGACACTGCAGAGTCAGGAGCCTTGGGCTTGAATTTTCAGTCTGCTAATAAACTGATGTTTTGGACATAGGAAAATAACTAACTCACCCATCAGTAACAGAAAGGAATTGAGCCAGATGCCTCCTAGAGTCACATCAGCCCCAACATCCTGGTATCCTGTGACAATTAGTTCAGGCCCGTGTAACCTGATTGTCCACAGAACACCAGCTGGCTAGGTGCCCACAAACTTAGGGACATTCCTACTGATTCTTTCCTTCACAGACAGGAAGAAGAACCTCTTCTTCCTTCCTCTCCCACTTTCTACCTCTCCAGACTCATACTAAATTGAGTAAGAAAATCTTCTCACCTGGTGAAGATTGTCACTACTTTTGCCACATGCCATAAGGGCCCCAGAGAGAATGCTGCTCCGTTTCCCCTTCCCCTTTTCACTGTTACTGGGCAGTGATTAAGCCTCCCACCCCTTCCAACTACCATCTAGAGGAACCGACACCCCTCCCACAGTCAAAGTCTATGACTCTTAGATGCATGACTCATGGTTCTATGCAAAAAGCCACCAATATCAGTTTCCAGGAAACCTGCGTGACCAAACTGCACTTAACTGTGGCTACCTTCCACAACTCAACATGGAGGTTAGGGATCAACTTTGCTCTTTAGTTTCCTCCAATGGGCTTGAGCTGGTAGAACCTGCGGATTTCTAATTCCATCCCTGTCTTTTTTTTGACCTGTACTAACAGCACCATGTAATCTACTCTTGAATTTAATCAAGCTTAGAAGTGGTTAAGGTTGGATAGAGGCTTCAAGAACCTCGATCAGGCTCGCCATGGTGGCTCACACCTGTAATCCCAGCCATTTGGGAAGCTGAGGTGGGAGAAGCCCTTGAGCCTAGGAGTTTAAGACCAGCCTGAACAACATAGAGAGACCCTGTCTCTATTTTAAAATTTTTTTAAGTTAAAAAAAAAAGAACCTCTATCAGTTCTTCATCTTCAGCCTTATCTGATCCAATATTACAAGCTAGGCTGGAGCCACATAAGACAGCTTTGGTGCTACATAGACCATTACGCTTATGAGATATTAGTAAGTGCTCCTCAAACAAAAGCCAAGATAAAGAAAAAAAAACAGTGTAAGAGAAAAACCTGTTATATGCTAATGTGCACTGTGAGTCTCTAAGACAAAAATATGTTTATATAACTACAAACCTAGTTTTATGTTGCAGATCACTTATTAACAGGTCAAATAACATAGTATTCTGTGGAACACAGTTTGATAAACACTAGCTTTGGAATCAGACAGGTCTAGTTTTGAATTCTGTTAGTGCTACTTATCAGAAGTGTGACCTTGGGCAACTTGCTTAACCTGTCTTTCACTATATCTTTGAAATAGGGTTATTAATACTTACCTCAGAGGTTGTTCTGAGGGCTAAATGAGATACTATTTCCAGGATGGCTCAGTCCCTGTGTATCTGCCTTATTCAGTGAAAACTCACTGAAAGATCAAGTTCAGACCTTACCTACCAGTCCATTCCTAAGGGTAACCCTTAGCTTCTAACAGATTTTTAGGAATAAAACATACACGGGGCAAGAATAATCCCTTGCTTGTTTCATACGTTTTAAAAAGAGGTTTCGTGTGCCATTTGTAAAAAAAATAAAAAAACAAAAAGAAATCAAACAATAAAGAAAAGCACATGTTTTTTTTCCATTTGTACCTATTAGAACAAATTGAAAATGTTAAATTTCAGTAATAAAAGATAAATAAATAAATGCAAGTACAGTTTCTGTAAGACTTCCTTTCAGTGAAGAAAAGCGTTTAATAGAAAAACACCTTTGTATGCTAAGATTGAGAATACGTTATTAGAACACATTTCTTTCTCCACTGAACTCTGTTAAGACATGTTGGAAAATCCCAGCAATAAAAGGCAAATGTAAGCACAGTTTCTTTAAGATGCATAAATTGTTTTCTTTCAGTGAATGGAAGTGTTTGGTAGAGAAACACCTTTGTAAGCTAAGATTGAGAATATATATTATTAGAACACATTTCTTACTCCATTCAAACCTATTAGAAAAAGTTGAAAAATCCAGCAATAGAAAGCAAATGTAAGCATGCTTTCTTTAAAAAAAAATTCTACATTTAAAAAATAAAGAAAAGTATAAAGAAGAAAGCATAAAATCTTCTGAAATCCCACCTCCCAGAGATAACCATCATTAGCATTTTGGCAAACGTCTTTCCAGACACTTCTCCATATACATTTCTCTATATACAGATTGTCAATTTACATACAAGAGCATTCGCAAGGTAATTACGGCTCCCTATCCCTTCCTACACAGAGCCTGTGGCAGTCTTTGTTCCTTAGCAAAGACAATTGAGGCTGTGATTAAGAAAAAGTTTTTCTAAATAGGAGCGAAAATCTGCCCCAGTGAGGGCTCCCAAATGTAGGCCTTGCTCAAACAAACTGAGATACATAATAGATAGTTCACTGAATCCCACAAAATAACTAAGTTCCTCATAAATGTCTTATTTATAATCCTCAAATCGGCCTGACAACTTAGGTGTCATTAGCCCCATTCTGCAAATAGAGAAGCCGAGGACTGGCACAAGGTCACCCAGCTAAGAATCATCAAAGGCAGGGTGAAGG
Source organism: Homo sapiens (assembly GCF_000001405.40). Taxonomy (NCBI): domain Eukaryota; kingdom Metazoa; phylum Chordata; class Mammalia; order Primates; family Hominidae; genus Homo; species Homo sapiens. Next base: position 110,878,050 of record NC_000001.11, on the reverse strand, counting down.
CCAAGTTCTTTCAGCCTCCAAAGCCCATGCTCTTTCCACCGTCCCAGGCTCTGGTTTTGTGCCTATTACTTCCCAACTCATTTGGTGCAATGTGTTGAGCATCCAGGAGAAGACCTTCCATTTTTCATCAGCTCGTTTGAACTCCTGTGAGCAGTGGCTGAGGTGCAATCAAAGTTATCGCTGTACGTCCTTTTGAAGAGTAATAAGCAGTTGTAGAGGAAGAAGTAGGGGTAAAATAAAACGAAGCCAAAGCATCAACTCTCATGTATTCGTGTCCATTCATCTCTCCATCAACTAATCAAGGAATATCTGTTATCTTATTCCTTCCTAAAATTGTAATCTGATAAAAATTTTGTTTCTTCTAGGTCGCTGTTAGGGGAGAGGATTTGGCGATTTATAGAAGAAGAGAGAAATAAGGAAGAAGAAAAGAGGAGAGAAAAAGTGAAGAAAGACAAATCCAGATGATCTTGGAAGCTCACTTCCTCCCATGTGGGAGCTTAGCAAGATACTAATAACAGCTGAGGTGGGACAGGGACTCTTCTAATAAGCTTACTTCGTAAATCAGGAACAGTTACCTAAAACAGTTAGCACTGTTACAGAGTCAAGAGACCAGAGGTTCTCCGTCCTCCTAGGTAGAAATATGCAGAACTTTACATACGGGGTCCCTCGGCTAGAGGCCTGTCCATGGTGTCTGCAGGCTGGCTATGCTCAGATTAAGCAAGACTCTTTGTGGGATAAGAAAAGCCACTTTGTTGGTATTCCTATCAAAAATTTAAATAACCTGAATCTAATCATGAGGAAACATCAGATAAACCCAAATGGAGAAACATTCTAAAAAAGAACTGACCTTACTCTTCAAGAATATCAATGGCAAGAAAAATTCAGGAAGTGTTCCAGACTAAAGGAGACAAAAGTGACAGTTGAAGGCAATGCGTGACTAGAAATTTCCTTTTGCTATAAAGAATATTAAAGAGGTAATTGGTGGAATCTGAATAAAGTACATAGATTGTTAATTATATTGCATAAGTGTTAATTTCCTGGTTTTGATCATTGTAAAGTAGTTATATAAGAGAATGCATTTGTTTGTAGAAATATACACTAACATTCTTAGGGGAAAGGGCATCAATCAAATTACTAATTACTGTCAAATGAGAGAGCCAGAGAATAAACAAATGAAGTAAAATGTTAATATTTTGGAAATCTGGGTGAAAAGGATTTAGAAATTTTTCATAATATTTTTTCAACCTTTTTATCAGTCTGAATTTTGTCATTTTTTTAAAGGGATGGGAAATAAATAAATGATCTAAGGGATTCTCATCTCAAAATCATTACAATTTGTCTTCTATGTTATAAATACTGAGATTCTACAATAGTTATTTTAAGAAGACTAAACTATGGAATAATTCTTGAATGCCTTTATTTGCTCCTGATATAAGGTAAGCCATAAGTTCAAATTTACTTTAACAAGTAAACTTTAACAAGTTTTAAAAGATATGAGGCATTAAAATCATTTCTTACCCCTATTCCTCAATCTAGTTCTCCTGAAATAGAAAAGGCCAAACAAAAAGGTTTGGAAAATAAAATATATGTTAAGTATTTAGTTTGCTAGCATAGTAGCTTAAGATCAATTACATTTACAATTAAGTGGTATTTTTATGTTTGCTTATGTTAAAATGCACTAGGAATTTATGTAAATGAAGAATACAGTCTAATGATGCTTACTTAATAAAAAATCTCTTAGAAAAGGGACTATAGTATAATGTAGAAGAAAGAGCATGCCATAGAGAATCAGAAGACATTCTGAATAACTATTAAGTAATTTTATGATTTTTGGACAAGTCATTTTACCTGAAAAGTAAGCAGATTGGACAGTTGCGACAGCTCCTATTTATTGGCTCTCATTGTGAGTTAAGATACTTTATTTGAATCTAAATAATCTCTAACTTCGCTTGAAGTACCAATATTCTAATTCTTGGAATATAGCACTCTCATTTTAAATGATTATAAAAATGTATGCTTGTGTCATATTTTCTTTTACAATAATTCTTGGTCAGAGCTATGACATATTGATGCTATTGCTTGGGTAGAAATTCTGCTGTGTGCTTATGAAATGGATAATGAAGAGAGAGCACTCACCTCTAACTCTCAGTATAGAGATTCCTGGCCTTTACTCTGAGTGGTCATCCACTGGCTTTGCAAATGCATGTCTTTCTCTTTCCCAAAACCTACCTCCAGACAGCCTTCTCAAACTGACCACCCAACCTCCAGCTCAATCCTTCCCTCCTCTGCCCCAGCAGCCATGCTGGAGTCCTGCTCTGCATAGCTGTCTGTTTTCTCTGGGTTACTTTGCTTCAGTGCCCTGCACCTGCAGTGGCAGATGGGTCCTAGGAGCTTCCTGAGGACAGGTGCCCAGTCTCTAGGGCCCAGGGTGATCTACACACAGTGGATGCTTGCTTGGTACAAGAAGTGCCCTAGGCTGACTAATCTAGGGACGCAGAACAAACCACTATAACTGAATCAATGCAGTACTTCCTGGAACAGAAGCTAAGCTGAAAACAATGGCTGTAACCTCACAAGAAGCTCCACCCTTCCTTCTGCTCTAAGTGAAAATCTAGGTTGAGGAGGCAAAAACCTGCCTCTTCTCCCTCATTTCAAACCCACATCCCATCAATTCTGTCGTGTGAACATGGTGGGCATAGCCCCACCCAGAGCTGGACCTAGGACCTGCCTGGTGAGCGATCTTGCCCTCCACTTTCTGGTGCCAAGTAGGAGAAAGGGCTTTCCACTTCATGTGGCTCTGTAAACATGGTGTGTTACACTGCAGTCTCACTTGCTTTCTCTCATTTCTAACATGCCTGGAGGTACACACTTCTTTGAATTTGAATATACAGCACCCTTGGTCTAGAATGTCTCCATAGCAAACCCATACTTCTGTGAAAGTGAACCCACCAGTCACCTCTCTAGGCAGTTTTTGGCACACTCCTAACTCCTACAGTTTGTGCACGTTCTCCATCTATTATAGAAAAGAGCACATTGCACTGTATTTGTATATTGCTGTGACTGTCATCCATAATAAACTCTACAACTCCTTTCAGATGATAATCTTTTCTGTTATCCTGTATCTCCAGCACCAAGTGCCATATCTGGCCATGGGGTAGGAGTGGGAAAGGAGAACCAGAGTCCGAGGGCCTCTGTGCAGTCAGAGGTCAATCAGAGGGCACAAAAAACCAAGGACCAACAGACTTTGTCCTTTCCAGTTTGTGCCTCTTGTCAGTGAACAAAGGTGAGGTCACTTAGGTGGTGGTAACCATAGCTGTGAAGGCATGAACTTGGAATCATTCCTCATGAATATAAAGGTACCCAATCCTTTCATTTAAAAATTAAGTGTTCTTAACTGGCCCACACAGGAAACATCACAGGAAATAATGTTTCAGTTCAGTCTTTGCTCCCATTCAACCACAATTTCAAAATAGTACAGATTCTCCTCAAGATTGAGAAAGCAAAACCTCTTTGTTTGTCCAGCAGCTGGGAGTTTGCTTTTTCTCAGCTTTCTTCCAAAGCACACGCATAGTATGATATCTCTTATCTCCCATGGGAGTTCCTTAAGAGTAGGACTGTTTGCTAGACAAATATTCTCCTTCTACCTTTTCATCTCCCTCCCCCACAATTCCCAAAGCACAGTGCCTGGCCTCAGGAGGCACCTACCACTTGATTATTAAGTGAATTTATTTAAAAGACTGCTTTTTATTTTTTAATACAAGGCTCAATAAACTCTGAGGTGTTTTGGGAATCCAGAGCCCTCTCCCCGTCCCCACCCCTCTTGGAAATCTAGAGCCCTCTGCCCTGTTCCCAATCCTCATACTTAGATGGGTGGGTGTAATCAAAGAGAACTTTCTCCTTTCTGCTCCAGGGCATAATCAAGTGAAATTCTCACAGGTCTTGGAAGAAGAAAGCTCTTACATAGAGTTTCCGATGGTGGTCACAGAGAGTCAGGACCGAAGCTCTGCTAACACTTTGCTGAGTCCATGCAACCTCAGTCATTAGTTACAGCACATGATTGGAAATTACTGCAGTATCAAGTTTTGGGGATTGCATTTTATACGTGCATTTCATGTGACATTTATCAGTGGTCATGTTTTGTACACCAAGGATAATTTGGGGAAATGCTGAGGATCCCAATGTGCTTCCTGCTCCTTAAAAGCCAACAATCTATGCATCCTTTAGAGATGTCTAGCTTTCACCTTTTAAAATACAGTTACTGAGCACATCCTGGTGTTTTGATTTTTAGCCACCTTTCTATTTAGTGGCTTTGAAGAACCACAGTGGGAGTCACTAAATTTACTTTTGAAATTTTCTCAAATGAAAAAGAACTGTGTCTTCTAGCTGTCTTTCTAAAGACAGCTCTGGCTGTGGGTTCTTTCCTCACTTTAAAATCACAAGACCAATTTTCTGAAGACCAGAGCACATAGGAAATCTCCCCAATGTCATCTCGCATAGAAAGCTCCAGGCATCAGGAATTACTACACAGAGTAATTCAAGCTCTGAAGCAATTAAGGCATGTGAATGCCTCGACTCAGAGATTTAGATAATGGGAACCTGATTAAGTAAAAGTATTTCTGGCCTGATTGCCTTTGGGGATGTTACTAGGATCTTGCTAATCTGTTTTACTTTGTGCACTAAATATTTGTGAAAGAGAAGTTGCCGGAGATTTTATGGTTACTAGAGAGGTATATGGAGACCCCTAAGAATACGCCCTACCCCACATTAGACAGCAAGCCAAGTTAAAACGTCATCAACCTTACCTTTTCCAGGCACCGTTCCTCAGTCCTTTCGGCAGAATTTAGTGATTATCCTTGAGGTGGCCGAGACAAGGCTGGTAACACAGATATCCGGGGCTATTTGTGTAAAAGGAGAAGTGAAGGGTGAAAAAATATGATCATGCTGTGACGACAGGAAGCCCAGATGAGAAGAAGGAGGAAGTGAGGCTGAGTCCGCCCTCTTTAGTCTCAGAGATTTAGTACTTTCCCAGTGGCTTTTTAGAAGCTTCCTCTCACAGCCCACCCTAAACTAGTTTTGTGAAACAAAAGAAAACTTCAAAACCAAGTTGGTTCAGGCACAGATCTGTGAGCAGTGGTGGATTCTAGGGTAATTTGGCAATGATTTTTGCTTAGAAAAGGACAGTGCTTCTCAATCAAGGTGGCATCTCAGAATTAACTGTGTATTTGTTCAAAAAGAAGTATGCCTGGCCCCACCACCAGTTTCCCATTCAGGTAGACAGACTGGAGGGGAACACAGGAACCAATATTTCTAAACATTTTCTAGGCCCGAGACTTTGGAATGTCTTTCTGAAGATTCTCTGCCCCCTCCTCATACTCCCTCTGTCTGGCTTCAGCCAGTCTCTAGACTTGAATTGGACACCATTTGCAGACTTCTCTGTCTCGAGAGCAAGACTGTCTTAAGGTGAGTCCCCAAGGCATAATCCCAGGGGCACTGGTAGAAATGATTTGGTTAGTACAGGAAACACCACATTTGGAGCCAAAGATCTGAGTTTCAGTTCCAGCTTTATCTCTTTTAGCTGTGAGATCTTGAGCAAGTCTCAATCTGTCAGCCTCAGTTTATTAATGGTAACACCTAATAATAATCCTACTGGTTACTGTTACATCCTTATTTATATACAAGAAAACAGGCGCTCAAAGAGGTTAGAAAATTTGCCCAAGCTCATACAACTAAGACATGTCAGAGGTAGGATTAAAATTCAAGGTCACAGAGAAGGCCTTTTGAGAAACACTGTGATCAATATATTTTGAAAAATGTGTTTCTGGTTTCACTATGCTGCATCACTGGAATTTTCTTAGATTGGGTCAAAGGAGTATGTGACAACCCAAATGTATCACTAGCTAACTATGAAACTTGGAAGCAATCACTGGGCCCCAATGTTTTCATCTTATAAATGAACAGATAGATGCACTCTGCGGTGCTGACTTGCGGGCATGCCTCTGGGAAAGCTAGCTGTCTCCCGCTTCCTTCACCCTGAGACATTCAGATCCAGAGTAATCTCCAGCCAGGGCTGTCTTGTGGGGAAAACTGAATTAAATGAAGGTAAAAAGGTCTTTACTGCAGAACTTGTCAGTCCTTAATATTCTCTAAGCAGGGGAAATAATATATAGATTTCTCCAAACTTATCTGAGCATGGAACTGTGTGGTGTGTGTGTGTGTGTGTGTGTGTGTGTGTGTGTAGTTTCTCTTGGGGAACAATTTTTCAGTGTAACTACACTTTAGGGAATGCTATTAAAAAGTCTCTGCACCTCGGCTGGAATCACTGACCCTCACTCAGAGCTGCTGCCATGCTTACAGGTCCCTGAAGTGGTGGGGCTGAGGAGAGGCTTCTGGCTGAACTCATATTTTCCTAATTATCTCACCCATTCTGATGGCTCTAATTACTATCTGTCTGTTCCAAAGATTCACAAATCTATATAGATGCCATGATCTCTCCTTTGAGCTCCACTCTCTCCCAGGCACCTCAAATCCAATATCCAACTTCAGTTTGATTAACTTGGCATCCCCACACTCAAGCCTGCTCCTCCCACCATGTCCACCATCCAGGAAAGGCCTGACTGGCCTTTCAGCCACGTTCATGAGAAACCAGGTGTCCTCTTAAGCTACTCTCTCTCCCACACCACCACCTATTATCAGCCACCAAGTCCTGTCAGTTATGCTTTTGCCTAAATATTTCTCAAACCAGACCACCTCTCTCCAACCCCATAGAAATTACATTAGTCTTTATCTTTTACCTGTGTTACAGGATCCCAGTGTCCTTCAAGACCACCTTGGATGTTTCTTCAGTCTGTCCTCAGGAAGAAGGGAGGAGAGCCTTCTAAAATGCAAATTTAATCACATGACTCCCCAGCTTAAAACTCTCAGCCGGCTATTTCTTCCCCGGCCCCACCCCCAAGATCTCCTCACACTGGGTAACACTGGATATGGAATTCCTTTTAGTTGCTTAAACAAATCAATCTAGTTCTGTCTCACGAGCTCTCTCTAGAATATCCTCTCACCTGTTCACTTAATTCCTTACTCATCCCCCATCATAGCACCAGAAAGCCCTCCAGGCAGGAACAGTTACTCCTGCTCTCTGCTCCCATTGCCCACAGGCATTCCTCCACCCTCTGTCATTCCTTGTTTTTCATTGTTTTCCCCACTAGACTGAAAGCTCTGTAGGTTCTGTGTTACTCTGTGTATGTTGGGTGATCTTGCTCATGACTGTATTTTTAGTGCCTGGTATTGGGTCTGGCACATAAGAGGTGTTCTATAAATATTTGAATAGTTTCAGGTAATGTGAGGCCTGCAAGTTAGGGGAACCAGAAATTTGGGACAGGCAGAGAGAGTAAGGAGAAGAAAGAGATAGGTAGACTGAACATCTGCAGAGAGAGAAGTGATAAATAAGGGGGAATCTTAGGAATATCGGGAAGACTATCTCAAGACAAATTGTTCACAGCAAAATAGGTGACCATTTTAATGCAGAACATTTTTCCTTGAATGTGCCTCTTTCCATCATTTCACTGGGAAGGGTTGTTCCAAGTGCCGGACAACTAGAGGTGGCTGTTTCCTGGGTTTAGGGGTTTGGTAGAGAACAACGTGCCCACTTATACCCATACCTATAAAATTTTATTGAGAATTAATTCTGTTTCTGACCATCAGATATTTAGAATTCATTTGGAGGGACAAGAACAAAAACAAATAGAGAATAAGACAATATCAGGAAACCCCATGTTATTGAATAACCCAAAAGAACGCTCAAAAACTTTGAAAAAACTAAATTAGAAAAGGCATTTAGCAGAAGCTCAGACTCATGGCTTGGTCTTCTCAATACGGGGTATATTGATCACCATCATAGATGATAATAGAATCTGAGAGTTTAGGAAACTTGAACTTGGCCAGACGAATAGCGGGAATACAAATTATGAGTACTCTACTACTGTGCAGTCGTATTTGCCAAAATACATTCTGAATAGACAAATACTCACATAGACATTTTGTATTTAGCCCCCATTTAGGCCTTTTTCAAAAGCCTTCTAAGTGAGTAGTTCTGTTTTATTATTGGAAGATAATCACTGTTGAAATATGAGAATACAGATAGAACTTCCAAGTTTATTTCAGAGTTATTTAAGTATATAAGGATATTAGAGTTTAAGAGGCATAGATTTTGTGAGAATTATAAGATTGGAAACTTCAAATGGGAGATTAAAGTTAACTAGTAGTACATTGGATTTTGCTTATGGGCTCTAAGAGTAAAGTTTTGAAGAAAATGCTGTAGAACATCATTCTTAACTTTCATTTTAGGTTCAAACGTACATATGCAGGCTTATTATATAGGTAAATTGCATGTGACAGGGTTTTGGTGTACAGATTATTTCATCACCCAGGGGGTAAGTATAGTGACCAACAGGTAGTTTTTTAATCCTCTCCCTCCTTCCCCGCTCCACCCTCAAGTAGGCCCTAGTGTCTGTTTTTCCCTTCTTTGCGTCCATGTGTACTCAGTGTTGAGTTCCCACTTATAAGTGAGAATATGCAATATTTGGTTTTCTCTTCCTGCATTAAATTGCTTAGGATAAGGCCCTCCACCTGCATCCATGTTGCTGCAAAGAACATCATCTCATTCTTTCTTATGACTGCATAGTATTCCATGGTGTATATGTACCACATTTTCTTTATCCAGTCTATCATTGATGGGCATTTAGATTGATTCCGTGTCTTTGTTATTGTAAAGAGTGCTATGATGAACATACACATGCGTGTGTCTTTATGATAGAACAATTTGTATTCCTTTAGATATGTACCCAGTAATGGGATTGCTGGGTCAAAAGGCAGTTCTGTTTTATGTTCTTTGAGAAATTTCCAAACTGTTTTCCACACTGGCTAATCTAATTTACATTCCCACCAACAGCGTATAAGCATTCTCTTTACTCTGAAACCTCGCCAACACCTGTTATTTTTTGGCTTTTTAATAATAGGCATTTTGACTGGTGTGAGATGGTATCTCATTGTGGTTTTGATTTGCATTTTTCTAATAATTAGCGATGCTGAGTATTTTTTCATATGCCTGTTGGCTACATGTGTGACTTCCTTTGACAAATGTCTATTCATGTCCTTTGCTCACTTTTTAATGGAGTTGTTTGGTTTTTGCTTGTTAATTAGTTTAACCTTCTTATAGATTTGGATATTAGACCTTTGTCAGATACATAGTTTGCAGATATTTCCTCCCATGCTCCAGGCTGTCTATTTACTCTGTTGATAGTTTCCCTTTCTGTTCAGAAGCTCTTTGGTTTAATTAGGCCTTATTTATCAATTCTTGTTTTTGTCACAATTGCTTTTGGCATCTTCATCATCAAGTCTTTACCAGGGCCTTTGTCCAGAATGGTATTTCCTAGGTTATTTCCCAGGGTTTTTAAAGTTTTAGGTTTCAGATTTAAAATTTAATCCATCTTGAGTTGATTTTGGTATATGGTATAAGGAAGGGGTCCAGTTTCAATCTTCTGCATATGGATAGCCAGTTAGCCCAGTACCATTTATTGAGTATGGAGTCCTTTCCATATTGCTTGTTTTTGTCAGCTTTGTTGAAGATCAGATGGTTGTAGGTGTGCAGCATTATTTCTGGGCTCTCTATTCTGTTCCATTGGTCTATGCATCTGTTTCTGTATCAGTACCATGCTGTTTTGGTTATGATAGCCTTGTAGTATAGTTCAAAGTCAGGTAACATGATGCTTCCAGCTTTGTTCTTTTTGCTTAGGATTATCTTGGCTATTTGTTTTTAGCTCCATATGAATTTTAAAATAGTTTTTTTCTAGTCCTGTGAAGAATAGTGTTGGTAGTTTGATAGGATTAGCATAGTATCTGCAAATTGCTTTGGGCAGTATGGGCATTTTAACAATATTGACTCTTCCAATTTATGAGCATGGAATGTTTCCCATTTGTTTCTGTCATCTCTAATTTCTTTGAGCAATGTTTTGTAATTCTTATTGTAGAGATCTTTCACCTCCCTGGTGAACTGTATTCCTAGGTATTTTATTCATTTTGTGGTGTTCGTGAATAGGGTTGCATTCTTGATTTGGTTCTCAGCTTGGAAGCTGTTGATGTATATAAATGATAGTGATTTTTGTACATTGGTTTTATATATGTTGACACTTTGCTGAAGTTGTTTATCAGATCTAGGAGCTTTTGAGCAGAGACTATGGGGTTTTCTAGATATAGAATCATATTGTTGGCGAACAAGGATAATTTGACTTCCTCTCTTCCTATTTGGATGGGTTTTATTTATTTCTCTTGCCTAATTGCTCTGGCTAGGACTTCCAGTACTATTTGAATAGGAGTGGTGAGAGTGGGCATCCTTGTCTTGTTGCAGTTCACAAGGGGAATGCTTCCAGCTTTTGCCCGTTCGGTATGATGTTGGCTGTGGGTTTGTCATAGATGGCTCTTATTATTTTGAGGTAGGTCCCTTCAATGCCTAGCTTGTTGAGGGTTTGTAACATGAAGGGATGTTGAATTTTATCAAAAGCCTTCTCTGCATCTATTGAGGTAATCATGTGGTATTTGTTTTCAGTTCTGTTTATGCGGTGAATTACATTTATTGATTTGTGTATGTTGAACCAACTTTCCATCCAAGGGTTAAAGCCTATTTAATCATGGTGGATTAGCTCTTTGATGTTCTGCTGCATTCAATTTGCTGGCATTTTGTAGGAGATTTTTGTGTCTATGTTAATTAGGGGTATTGGCTTGAAATTTTCTTTTTTGTTTTTTTTTTTTCTGCCAGGTTTCAGTATTAGGATGATGCTGGTCTCATACAAGTAGTTAGAGTGGAGACCCTCCTCCTGAATTTTTTGGAATGGTTCAGTAGGAATGGTAGCAGCTCTTCTTTATACATCTGGTAGAATTTGGCCGTAAATTCTTCTGGTCTTGTGCTTTTTCTGGTTGGTAGGATTTTTATTACTGATTTAATTTTGGAAACTGTTATTGGTCTGTTCAGGCATTCAATTGCCTCCTGGTTCAAACATAGGAGGTTGTATGTTTCCAAGAATTTATCCATTTCTTCTAGGTTTTCTAGTTTGTGTGCATAGAAGTGTTCATAGTAGTCTCTGAGAGTTTGTGTATTTCTGTGGAGTCATTGGTAATGTCCCTTTTGTCATTTCTGATTGTGTTTATTTGGAACTTCTCTCTTTTTTTATTTATCAGTCTAGCTAGCAGTCTGTCAATCTTATTTATCCTTTCAAATAACCAGCCCTTTGATTTGTTGATCTTTTGTATGGTTTTTGCATCTTAATTTCCTTCAGTTCAAATCTGATTTTGGTTATTCCTTGTCTTCTGCTAGCTTTGGGGTTACTTCACTCTTGTTTTTCTAATTCCTTCAAGTATGATGTTAGGTTGTTAATTGTGATCTTTCTACCTTTTGGATGTGGACATTTAGTGCTATAAGCTTTTCTCTTAATACTGCTTTAGCTGTTTCCTAGAGATTCTAGTACAGTGTATCTTTGTTCTCATTCGTTTCAAAATATTACTTGACTTATGCTTTAATTTCATAATTTACCCAAAAGTCATTTGGCGGCAGGTTGTTTAATTTCCATGTAGTTGTGTGGTTTTGAATGATTTTCTTCATACTGATTTCAATTTTTATTGCACTGTGGTCTGAGTGTGTGTTTGGCATGATTTGGGTCTTTTTTAAATTTGCTGAGGGTTGTTTTATGGCCAACTGTGTGGTTAATTTTAGAGTATGTGCCATGTGCAGATGAGACAAATGTATATTCTTTTGGTTTTGTGTGGAGAGTTCTGTAGATGTTGTTTAGGCCCATTTGGTCAAGTGTCAGGTTCAGGTCCCAAATATCTTTGTTAGTTTTCTATCTCAATGATCTGTCAGTGGGGTGTTGCAGTTTCCCACTAATATTGTGTGGTTACCTAAGTCTCTTTGCAGGTCTCTAAGAACTTGCTATATGAATCTGGGTATCCTGTGTTGGGTGCATATATATTTACGATAGCTATGTCTTCTTGTTTAATTGAACCCTTTACCATTATGTAATGCTCTTCTTTGTTGCTTTTGATCTTTGTTGGTTTAAAGTCTGTTTTGTCTGAAATTAGACTAGTAACTCCTACTTTTTTCTGTTTTCTGTTTGCTTGATAGATTTTTCTCCACTTATTTACTTTGAGTCTGTGGGTGTCATTGCATGTCAGATGGTCCTCTTGAAGACTACATACAGTTGGATCTTGCTTCTTTATCCAACTTGCTACTCTGTGCCTTTTAATTGAGGCATTTTGTCTGTTTACATTCAAGATTAATATTGATATGTGAAGATATGATCCTGTTGTCATGTTGTTAGCTGGTTATACAGACTCGTTTGTGTGGTTGCTTTATAGTGTCAATGGTCTCTGTGCTTAAATGTGTTTTTGTGTTGGGCTGGTAACAGCCTTTCATTTCCATATTTAGCACTCCTTTAAGGGCCCCTTGTAAGGTAGGACTGGTGGTAATGAATTGCCTTAGCATTTGCTTCTCTGAAAATGATCTTATTTCTTCTTTGCTCATGAAGCTTAGTTTAGCTGGATATGAAATTACTGGTTGAAATTTCTCTTCTTTACAGATGCTAAATATAGCCCCCAATGTCTTATGGCTTATAGGGTTTCTGCTGAAAGGTCTGCTATTAGGCTGATGGGGTTCCCTTTGTAGGTGTCTCCTCCCTTCTCTTTAGCTGCCTTTAACATTTTTTCTTTCATTTCATCCTCTGAGAATCTGATTACTATGTGACTTGAGGATGATCATCTTGTATAGTATCCCAGAAGAGTTCTCTGCATTTCCTGAATTTAAATGTTCATCTCTCTAGCAAGGTTGGGGAAACTTTAATGGATGGTGTCCTCAAATATGTTTTTCAACTTGCTTGTCTTCTCTGCCTCCTTTCAGGGATGCCAATGAGTCATAGATTGATCTCTTCACATAAGCCCATATTTCTCAGAGGTTTTGTTCATTCTTCCTTATTGTTTTTTCTTTATTTTTGTCTGACTGAGTTAGTTTGGAGAACTAGTCTTCAAGCTCTGAGACTGTTTCCTCAGCTTGGTTGGTTTTGCTGTTAATACTTGCATTTTATTACGAGATCCTTGAAATGAATTTTTCAGCTTTATCAGATCAATTTGGTTCTTTCTAAAATAGCTATTTCATCTTTCATCGTTTATATCATTGTATTGTATTCCTTAGTTTCCTTGGATTGAGTTTAGACTTTCTCCTGTCAATGATCTTTGTTCCTATCCATATTCTGAATCCTCTTCCTGTCATTTCAGCCATTTCAGCCTGGTTAAAAGCCATTTCTGGGGAACTAGTATGGTCATTTGGAGGTAAGAAGACATTCTGGCTTTTTGAATTGCTGGACTTCTTGCATTGGTTTTTTTTCTCATTTGTGTGGGCTGATGATCCCTCAGTCTTTGAAGATGCTGTACTTTGGATTTTTTTTTTTTTTTGGCTTTTATCTTCTCTGATGCCCTTGGTGGTTTGATTGCAACATGAGGTGGGTTCAGTCAACTGAATTCGTATCTGGAAAGTTTTACAGGGCAAAGGCTCAGCTCAGCACTTCTGATCTGCATGCTGTGACTCTGGGGGGCTGGTACTCAGCTTCTAGCTTTGTTCTCCAGTCCCTGGAGATTAGAAACCTGCTATGCTGGTGGGGCCAAAGTGCTCCTAGTCTACTGGCCACAACACTCCAATGGGTGGTTCTAGCCAAAGTGTTTTATCAGGATCTATGTTCATTCATGTATGCCAGCAGCCATGACAGCACGGTGGAATCAACCAGTACATTTCCCAGCCTCCATATGTTCTGGAGTCTTTTCTATGGATCTCCTCTCAGTACCTGCAGGTCACAGGATGACAGACAGAGGCTGCAGTAGAATCACTCAGGGACTCCTGGAACAGAGAAGATGGAGCAGTGGAGACAGCAACTAAGCTCAGTGCCAGAACATCATCTTTAATAATAAAATGTATCATATAATTTCATTTCTATTATTACTTAGAAATAAGCATAAGTGTTTAAAAATTCTAATATTTGACTTCATATAATCTGGATATTTCTGGAGTTTCAAAAAACCATTCATTTGCTGTGGGACAACAAATGGTTTTTCAAAACTCCAGAAACATTATATTGAATGGGCAAATGCTGGAAGTATTCCCCTTGAAAACCAGCACAAGACAAAGATGCCCTCTCTCGCCACTCTTATTCAACATAGTATTGGAAGTCCTAGCCAAAGCAATCTGGCAAGAGAAATAAATAAATGGCATCCAAATAAGAGGAAAGGAAGTCAAACCATCTCTGCAGATTACATGATTCTATATCTAGAAAACCCCATGGTCTTAGCCCAAAAGCTCCTCCAGCTGATAAACAACTGCAGCAAAGTTGTACAATACAAAAATCACTAGCATTCTTATACACCAACAATAGTGAAACCAAAAGGAAATTCCATTCACAATCACCACAAAATGAATAAAATATCTAGTAATCTAGACTATAACTACCCAGGAAGGTGAAAGATCTCTACAAAGAGAATTACAAAACACTGCTCAGAGAAATCAGAGAAGACACAAACAAATGGAAAAACATCCCATGCTCATAAATAGGAAGAATTAATATCATTAAAATGGCTACACTGCCCAAAGCAATTTACAGATTCAGTGCTATTCCTATCAAATTATTAATGTCATTCTTCATAAAACTAGAAAAATCTATTTTGAAATTCATATAGAACAAAAAAAAGAGCCCAAATAGCCAAGACAATCCTAAGTAAAAAGAACAAAGCTGGAGGCATTACATTGCTCACCTTCAAACTATGCTATAAGGCTATAGTAACCAAAACAGCATGGAACTGGTACAGAAACAGACACGTAGACCAATGGAACAGAATAGAGAGCCCAGAAATAAGGCTGCACATCTATGACCATCTGATCTTCAACAAAGCTGACATAAACAAGCTATGGGGAAAGACCCCATATTCAATAAATGGTAGTGGGCTAACTGGCTATCCATATGCAGAAGATTGAAATTGGACCCCTTCCTTACACCATATACAAAAATCAACTCAAGATCGATGAAATATTTAAATCTAAAACATAAAACTTTATAAAACCGTGGGAGATAACCTGGAAAATACCATCCTGGACGTGGGAATGGGCAAGATTTCATGACAAAGGCACCAAAAGCAATCACAACAAAGGCAAAAATTGACAATTGGGACCTGATTAAGAGCTAAACTTAAGAACTTCTGCACAGCAAAAGAAACAGTCAACAGAGTAAACAGACAACCTACAAAATGGGAAAAAATATCTGCAAACTATGCATCTGACAAAGGTCTAATATCCAGAATCTATAAGGAACTTAAACAAATTTGCAAGAGAAAAACAACCCAATAAAAAAGTGGGCAAAGGACATGAACAAATACTTCTCTAAAGAAGACATACATGTGCCCAACAGGCACATGAAAAAAATCTCAATATCATCGATCGTTAGAGAAATGCAAATCAAAACCACAATGAGATAATATCTCACACCAGTCAGAATGGCTGTTACTAAGAAGTCAAAAAACAATAGATACTGATAAGGCTGCAGAGAAAAAGGTATGCTTATACACTGTTGGTGGGAGAGTAAATTATTAGTTTAACCATTGTGGAAAGCAGTATGGCAATTCCTCAAAGAGCTAAAACCAGAACTACCATTCAACCCAGCAATCCCATTACTGGCTATACACCCAGAGGAATATAAATCATTCTACCATAAAGACATATGCGTGCAAATGTTCATTGCAGCACTATTCATAAGAGCAATGACATGGAATCAACATAAATGCCCATCAATGACAGATTGGATAAAGAAAATGTGTTACATACATACCATGGAATACTATGCAGCCATAAAAAAGAATAAGATTATATCTTTTTTGGGAACATGGATGGAGCTGGAGGCTTTTATCCTAGACAAATTCATGTAGGAACAGAAAACAAAATACTGTATGTTCTCACTTGTAAGTGGGAGCTAAATGATAAGAGCTTATGAACACAAAGAAGGAAACAATAGCCCCTGGGTCTACTGGAGGGTGGAGTCTGGGAGGAGGCAGAGAAGCAGAAAAGATAACTATTGGGTATTGGGCTTAATACCTGGGTGAGGAAATGATATGTACAACAAACCCCAATGACATATGTTTATCTATGTAACAAAACTCCACATATACCCCCAAACCTAAAATAAAAGTTTTAAAAAATCGTATTAAATATGAATTAAAATCTGGATTTCAGAAATTGGGTGTGTATTATCAAAAGCCCATATCATTACTAGTGCCTAATTCAAGTTAAGCATAATATGTCATAGATTATATAAAAAGTACCAAACTATTTGGCAGTATGGCATCTGGGACAGTGGTACCAGCATGCAGCTACCATGGATGCAAGCTTTCCAATCTGTATCACATTGGATTAAGCCCCAAAGATAAGGCAGTATTATGGTTATTGTAACTGTAATTAAATATATATATTTTTATATAGCTATAATTATATATAAATATATATAAAAGTGTGTGTGTGCATATATATATATATATTATATATGAATTATATTTCTTTCTGTCATTTCATCCATTTCAGTCTGGTTAGGAGCCATTGCTGGGAAACTAGTGTGGTTGTTTGGAGGTAAGAAGGCATTCTGGCTCTCTGAGTTGCCAGAGTTCTTGAGCTGGTTCTTTCTCATCTGTGTGGGCTGATGTTCCTTCAGTCTTTGAAGTTGCTGTACTTTGGATGGAGATATATGTATGTATGTATGTATATATATATCTCCAGAAGAAAAACACTGAATTATGAAATCTTAGAGCTAAGAGTGTGATGTAATGGAATGTTGGAAACCTGAAGGCATTCACAGAGACACTTTGTGAAAGTTGTTTAGCATCTTTGAGTCTTAGTTTTTTCATCTGTGCCATGGAGATGGTTTCTACTTTACAACTAAATGAGGAGCAAGTGAGTAACTGTGTGGAAAAGTTTTATAAAGTTTAAAATACAATATAAATATTAGTTATTATTCTTAGTATGTTCCTTAGAAAAAACCTAGCCAATATTCCGGGTTTTTCAGATTTGGAGTCTGAGCCCCAAAGCAGTTAAGAGACTGGCCCAGGTCTGTCAGCTACATAGGAACCATCACAAACTTGACTCACTCAGTGGTTGAGGGACAGGTAGGTCCCAGGAGGATGTACAAGAAGTGGTCTCCTTAACTGTCATTCTGAGCAAACTATCTCAAGGACAGAAAACCAAACACCACATGTTCTCACTCATAGGTGGGAATCGAACAATGAGAACACTTGGACACAGGATGGGGAACATCACACACAGGGGCCTGTCATGGGGTGGGGGGAGGGGGAGGGAAAGCATTAGGAGATATACCTAATGTAAATGACGAGTTAATGGGTGCAGCACACCAACATGGCACATGTATACATATGTAACAAACCTGCACGTTGTGCACATATACCCTATAACTTAAAGTATAAAAAAAAAAGTGGTCTCTTGTGCTGCAGACTCTTGATTTCAGCATGAAGGCTGTGACTCTTTCTTGTTTAGGTTTCATCTTCTTTGAGCTCAGATGGATGTGGATAGTGAGAAACCACCAAGACTGGATGACACCATAGCCCAGACTGAATGGGCTTTCTTGTCCCAACTCAGAGAGAGAAGAATGAGAAGTCTCTCAGGAAACACTGCTACGTCCTGTGATGACTGCAGTGGCTGTGATATCTCCCATGTAGTTCCCCAGTCCAACCTTGACTGTACATCAGTATCCTCTCCCATTTATCACCAAAGGACTGCCAGCTATAAGCCAATAATCAGTAACTTATAGATCATCATGTGGCATTACTCCCTTTTCTTGTCCTCAGAAGTAATTTGACTGTGGATGACAAGACATACCTTTTGAAGGCCATCTCACACCTGAGCTTCAAAGAACAAATATGTCAGGGTATAGCCAGGCTAACTGGTGGTATCCCATGCCATACAGGGATGGGCATTGTTCATAAATTTGGAGAAGATATTGGCAAGTGTTTTTTTTTTTTTTTTTTTGAGACAGAATCTTGCTCTGTCACCGAGCTGGAGTGCAGTGGCGATCTTGGCTCACTGCAACCTCCGCCTCCCGGATTCAAGCCATTCTCGTGGCTCAGCCTCCCGAGCAGCTGGGATTACAGGCGCCCACCACCACGCCCAGCTAATTTTTGTATTTTTGGTAGAGATGGGGTTTCACCATGTTGGCCAGGATGGTCTCCATCTCCTGACCTCGTGATCCGCCCACCTCGGCCTCCCAAAGTGCTGGGATTACAGGCGTGAGCCACCGCGCCTGGCGGCAAGTGTTGTTTTATGACTCAATTTGTAGAAGAAAAGTCAGTTACAGAGATTCAAAAGGCTTAAAAAGGTATAGTGCTTGTAATGGTGATGTACAAAATTATCTATAGAAGCTGGTCATTCTCTGTTAGCTGTAGCCTTCTCCAGATATCTCTCCTTTTTCTCCTCTCAGCAAGGGCACACCAACTGTCTTTGAACTCACAGGATATAAATTAAGCCAAACATGACCCTTGTGTTTTGCATGTTTTCTAGCAGAAAAATAAGGTAAGCTCTAAAGAAAGAAAAGGCCTACCAAAAAGATATATGTGTGAAAGTGTGTGGGCATGCATGTATGGCACCAAAAGTCTTTATTCAAATGAAGTTTTAAACGGAATAGAAGTAAACAGGATAGATAAAAGCAGAATTGCTCAGCGAGCACAGGGGTGGGGCTCAGAGACTGCTCAGCCACTTTCCTCCTTTGGTGGCTTCTTAGGCACCTTTGCCCAACTCTCAGGATGAAAAACCACTGGTCCAGGGGGTCAGACTTCTGGGTTCCTTGCCAGTGTTGGAATTTATTTTCAGTTGTGAGACCAGGGGTGTGGCTCCTCCAATCCTACATCCCTCAGTGACCTGGAAGGAGAGTCCCCAGTCTTTGTGCTTCATTGTCATGTCACAATGAAAATAAGCCAGTTCTATACCCAACATTTCCCCTTCCCTATTTAGAAGGCTGGGAGTTGTGGCTTTTTTGCAGAAAGAATAATGGGAATATCTCCCATCTGATAGGGGTTTGCTCACCACAAAAATCTGAGGCCGTGTTACCTAATTCAAGGCTGTGACTTTGTAGAAGGTACAACGTGGAGCTCAGTGCTGGCAGGGGATGTCAATGGCACTGGCATGTGCTGTGATACACTGCACTCTATCCCTGCCGAGCGTAACCTAACAGTGACCCTAGAGGCAAATCTGGCATATGCAGTAGTCTCCTCTTATCTGCAAGGGATACTACATTTCAAGACCCCTGGTGGATGCCTGAAACCACAGATATCACCAAACCCTATATACACTATGTTTTTTAC
Source organism: Homo sapiens (assembly GCF_000001405.40). Taxonomy (NCBI): domain Eukaryota; kingdom Metazoa; phylum Chordata; class Mammalia; order Primates; family Hominidae; genus Homo; species Homo sapiens. The sequence goes on along the minus strand of NC_000001.11, from coordinate 110,858,619 downwards.
CTATACATACACGCCCCTGCTAAAATTTAATTTATAAATTAGGCACAGTAAGATTCACAGCAATAACTAATAATAACATAAAACAACAATAACAACATACCAACCTCACTACTCTTGCACTTAGGGGCCATTATTCAGCAAAATAAGGGTTACTTGAACACAAGCTCTGTGATACTAGGACAATTGCTGTGACACTCAAGAGGGCTAGTGAGTGACTAATGGGGCAGGTCGCCTACACAGTGTGGATACACTGGGTAAAGAGATGATTCACTTCTGTGCAGGACAGAGTGGGACAGTGAAAGATTTTTAACATGCTACTCAGGAGAACAGGCAAGTTAAAACTTATACATTTCTTACTTCTAGAATTTTCCACTTAATATTTTTGGAGCATAGTTTACTGAGGGCAACTGACACCATGGAAAGCAAAACCTCAGATAAGGGGAGCACTACTATAAAAGGGAAGTTTCTTAGGTGCCTCTGGACAGAGACAGAAGCCACTTAGTTGGTAGGTGGTGTGTCGTTGGGGAAGAGGCCTAGATTTGGAAACAGAAGCACTGGATTCTAGCCTTTGTTATATAATTACCCAGGAAAAGTCCACCTAAAGTAGGAGATCACTTTTCTATCTGTGAAATAATATATAGACTAGGTAAGCCATATATTCTCTCTGCACCTTAAAAATTCTGAGCATTGGTCGGGCACGGTGGCTCATGCTTGTAATTCCAGCACTTTGGGAGGCCAAGGCGGGCAGATCACCTGAGGTTGGGAGTTCAAGACCAGCCTGACCAACATGGTGAAACCCCATCTCTACTAATAATACAAAAATTAGCCTGGCTTAGTGGCACATGCCTGTAATCCCAGCTACTCAGGAGGCTGAGGCAGGAGAATCGCTTGAACCCCAGAGGCAGAGGTTGTGGTGAGCCGAGATTGTACCATTGCACTCCAGCCTGGGCAGCAGAGTGAAATTCCGTCTCAAAAAAAAAAAAAATTCTGAGCATTTATCACTTTATAATATCAAAAATAATTCTTAGTAGAGCATAGTTTTGACTAGGATTTGGTGCAGAAGGTGGAACCTAGAAGAATTACAAGAGCTCTTCATTTACTGAGCTTTTCCTGTGGGCCAGACCGTGAACTGGACATGTTCTTAGCAGTATGAGATAGACATGACAGGCAGGGCACGGTGGCTCATACCTGTAATCCCAGCACTTTGAAAGACCGAGGTGGGCAGATCATTTGAGGTCAGGAGTTCAAGACCAGCCTGACCAACATGGTAAAACCCTGTCTCTACTAAAAATACAAAAAAAAAAAAAAAAAAAGCCAGGTGTGGTGGTGCATGCCTATAGTCCCACCTACTCGGGAGGCTGAGGCAGGAGAATTGCCTGAACCCGGGAGGTGGAAGTTGAAGTGAGCCGAGATCGTGCCACTGCGCTCCAGACTGGGTGACAGAGCAAGACTCTGTCTCAAAAAAAAAAAAAAAAAAGAAAAAAAAAAAGACATGGCATTTTCTCCTTTACAGATAGGAAATCCTAAGATTCTTGATGTTGGATAACTTAACCAAAGCCACACTGCTAGAAAGTGGCAGTGCTTGAATTCAAACTTACCCTTGATGCAGATCTTGCTCTCGTATCCAGCCATCCATCTTCCTTTAAATTTAGTCTGGCTTTGAAACTTGCTGCAGATGAGCCACCTGCAGATAATTGAAAGCTGACAACTTTTACTTTTGCTGAAACTACTCTAAGATGATTTCAACAATATTCTTCTAGTTTACAAGAAGAGGGCAATTAATTATCTTTTCATAAGCAAAGCCTGAGAATGTCTTCAGATACTTATGAACTGTTTCCCAGCCGGAGTTTTGAGTAACCTCCATGAATGGTGAATATAATCTCTTGGCTTAACTCAAAAAAAGAGAAAAGTTTGGATAAGAAAGACTCCTGTTCCCAGCACTGGGGGAACATACTTTGTAGGAACCAGAGAAGGAGGCAGGTAGCATCCGTGTGCAATGCTGACCTCAGCTTTTCTACTCTGAAGTCAATTCTGCTCTTTAGAATTGCATAGAGCCAAGAACAAACACAAGCTCAACACACCCTGTGTTCTAACTGCTGAGAGTATGTGCCAACAGGAAGAGGACCAAGTACAGACAACAGCCTGGTAGGAAGAGGTGGCACTCAATAAATATATAAATCCCTAACTTCCAACTGAGCCTACCACTGTGGCAGCGGAGGAGATGGAGTACTGGAGATATTGTCATAGGTCCTTTGTCTAGCTTATTTCCCCAAATCTTCATTTTCCCACTTCTAATTTCAAGAGTCCAAAGGACTAGAAAATGCTTTTCCTAGGCAAAATCTACTCCAAAGAGACTGAAGTTTTGCATTATTAATATACACTTAACATCTATAATAATAGTTATTCTTTTTAAATTGATTTTTTAGAGCAGTTTTAGGTTCACAGCAAAACTGAGCAGAAAATACAGATGGTTTCCACATATTCTTCACCCTCACACATGCACAGCCTTCCCCACTACTGACATCTCACACCTGAGTGGTACATTTTTTATAATCAATGAACCCACAATGACACATCATCAGCAAAGTCCGTAATTTACATTAGGGTTCATGCTTAGTGTTGTACATTGGATAGGTTTGGACAAATGTATAATGGCATGTATCTACCCCTGTATTATCATACAGAGTAGCTTCACAGCTGTAAAATTTCTCTGCTCTCCGCTTTGTGCTCTTATTCCTCCCTCCCTCCTACCTCTTGGCAACTACTAATCTTTTCACTTATTTCCATAATTTTGCCTTTTCAGATTGGTTTTTTTTTTTTTACTTAGTAATATGCATTTAAGGTTGCTTCATGTCTTTTCATAGCTTGATAGTTCATTTCTTTTTAGCACCAAATAGTATTCTATTGTCTGGATGTACCACAGTTTATTTATTCATTCACTTACTGAAGGACATCTTGTTTGCTTCCAAATGTCAGCAATTATGAATAAAGCTGCTATGAACATCCATGTACAGGTTTTTGTATGGACATACGTTTTCAACCAATTTGGGTAAATAGCAATGAATGTGATTATTGAATTTTGTTGTAAAAGTATATTCAGTGTTGTGAGAAACTGCAAGAGTATACTCCAAAGTGGGTGTACCATTTTGTATTCCCACCAGGAGTGAATGAAAGTTCCTGTTGCTCCACATCCTCACCAGCATTTGGTGTTGTCAGTGTTTTGGGTTTTGGCCGTTCTAATAGGTATGTGCTGGTCATCTTCTTATTTTCAATTTTGAATTACAAGTACAGTTTTATATCATATATGTAGTTTTATATTCATTACTTGATTAATGTTTTTCTCCCCATAGACTGTGAGTTCAGTGAAAGCAGGAACTGCCTCTGTTTTTGCCCATCACTTTATCACTTATGTCCAACACAATGCCTTGAGCATTAACAAACCCTTGATGAATATTTTAATGAACGAGTGAACACACTTACTGGCTCATTTTGAATATGGGCTTCTACATAAGAATCCAAGTCTACTGGAGATGATGGAGCACAGTCTGACCTGCATAGATCGTATCCTGGGACAGCAGTTTACCTGGGGCTGTCATAACTCAGTAGAGGTATCTGGTCATCTGTTTTAGGTAGCTCCTCATTTAGGCAATTGCCTTTTATGTAGAATTTAAATGACTCAGCCCAGTTCATCAACATTTAGACAAATACAACTTTTTTCCTTTTCGTATTATCTAAGGCAAACACCTGACTTCTTCCTCAAGCACTTCTTCAGAGCTTCATGGATGTCTCTATTTCTCAGGCTATAAATGATGGGGTTAAACATGGGTGTCAGGATGATGTAGAGCAGAGAGGACCCTTTGCACAAGAGTTGGGATGAGTTGGCTGAGGGCACAAGGTATGTGGCAATCAGTGTCCCATAAAACACTATGACCACAGTGAGGTGGGAAGAGCAGGTGGAGAAGGCCTTTTTCTGGCCTGTGCAAGATGGGATTCTTAGGATAGCAGAAAGGACGCAGGAGTAGGAGGCTACAATGAGGAGAAATGGGATCAGAGTTACTGCAGAAGAGGTGGCAAAGGCAATGGTCTCAGTCACTGAGGTATCCATGCAGGAGAGATGAACCAGAGGGGTGAAGTCACAAAAGAAGTGATCAGTTTCATAGGGTCCACAGAAGGTTAGTCTACATAGCAAGACCATGGTGATTGCTGTAAGGAGGAAGCAGCAGAACCAAGAGCCAGCAGCTAGCCTGATGCAAAGGGGGCCAGTCATGAGGACACGGTAGCAAAGAGGCTGGCAGATGGCTAGGTAGCGATCATAGGACATCACAGTGAGCAAGAGGCACTCCGTGGCAGCCAGGGATCCGAAGAAGTAGAATTGTGCCAGCCAGCCAGCCACAGAGATAGTCTTCTATTCAGCTATGATAATCAGCAACATTTTGGGGATGATGTTAGAGGTATACCAGATCTCCAGACAGGACAAGTTCACCAGGAGGAAGTACATAGGGGTGTGGAGATGATGTCTGACTAAAACTAGAAGGACAATGAGGATGTTTCCAGAAACAGTTAAGATGTAGAAAACTAAAATTATCATAAAGAGGAAAATATTTAACTGTCTGATGGAAGAGAATCCTTGAAGCACGAATTCCACTCTCATCGTTTGGTTTTCCCAGGACAGGATCACCATGCCTCAGCTTCACTAGAAACAGAACACCCAGTGATAAAACAAGAAAATGTAGAAAGTTCTAGCTTACACAAAGAACATGGACAGTGAATGGTTTTCAATCCCCACTCAGGTTTTTGGAAGGTTTCTTATTTGAGTGGAGAGAGATCATCTTTTCATTTCAAGGTCTAAAATGGGAAAGAAAAAAATTTGGACTAAGACCCTATGCCTTCAATCTCCCCTTTTCTCTTATCTTGTATCTTCACTTCCTCAGGAGCAATGTCAGTCTTTGAGGAAAACGGAAACAGAGGAATGCAGAGAAAAATGGAAGCAGGAATGCAAAGGGGAAGGAGGACAAAGAAAGAGAGGAAGAATCACCTACTATATGCCCTTCCTGCATGTACTGTGTTCATCTGGTGAGTTATGAAAAGGAAGGAAGAAGATCTGAAGGGAGGTAGGACTGAGAGGAGGATGAGGAGCACATTCCAGAGGATTCGAGAACTCTCACAGAGGACCTAAGAGAGTCACAGATCCAAGACAAAGAACCCCTCCCCTCCCACCTCAAGCATAGTTTGTCTTTAGTGAAATGGCCCTGTCCTATCAATCATGTATCCTTTTCTTTTCAGTTTCTTCCTGAGCTGGGAAGGAAGTTTTTTATTTCTGTTTCGGTTTCCGTGGCACTATCAAGAGAAAATCATGTGAATGTGAGGTTTGAGATTCTCTGATTCTTTTTGTTGTTGTTTTTTCTGAGACAAAGTCTCACTCTGTCACCCAGGCTGGAGTGCATTGGTATGATCTTGACTCACTGCAACCTCTGCCTCCTGGGTTCAAGCAATTCTCCTGCCTCAGCCTCCCAAGTAGCTGGGATTACAGGTGCGCACCACCATGCCTGGCTAATTTTTGTATTCCTAGTAGGGACAGGGTTTTACCTTGTTGGCCAGGCTGGTCTTGAACTCCTGACCTCAAGTGATCTGCCCGCCTCAGCCTCCCAAAGCTCTGGGATTACAGGCGTGAGCCACCGTGCCCAGCTGAGATTCTCTGATTCTGAGGTCAGCGTGCATGCTGGTATAACCCAGGAATGCCTTATCTCACAGTTTTAAATAGATAAAATCAGATCATTGAAAATATTTTATCTAGGACTGCAGTAAATGGAAAAGAAGATTCAGAACTAACTGGCCTAACACACTGTGTGCAACCAACCAATTGAGTGTAAGATAGCCTTGGGTTATTTTAAATGAGTTAAGGAAGCCCAAGTCTCATCTTCAGTACCATATTGGTTAAAGCCCACCACGCACCCAACCAAAACGCTCGGGGTGGTTAGACAATCTCCCCCAACCCCCACAAAAAAACTGCTAAGGCCATAGGCAAGGTCTGAAGCTGAACCCACTTTAGTATCCTCAACTCCCTTGTGCTGGATCTGCACCTACTTGAGGTAGTTTTAGAGGGACTGGTTGGCTGCAGGAAAGCAAGTGGAATTGGGAAAGTCTACACACAGGCACAGAAAGCACTGTGTGGCTATAATAATGAGGTAGCTACCATGAGTAGCCAGAGAGTCCCAAACAAAGCAGGAGCTCTGTTTATGCATCAGACTTTGAGCAAGTTGTTTAACAGTTTGCCATAAACTATAAAACGGCATTTAGGACCGGAGAATGTCACATGTGCTAAGTAGGTACAAAAAGCATATAACTGAAAAGACTGGGAAATCACTGGTTATTCAGAGCTGCAGACATTACTTAAATTTACCAAGGAATTGCTTTACTTTGAAGGGAGCATTGGAAACAAAGCTCAGTCTCCTTTGCAGTATCCTGTAGTGTGTGTGTGTGTGTGTGTGTGTGTGTGTGTGTGCAACTGCATGAATAATTAAGCTGTTCCTGCTATCTGTTCTCATACCAATAGCCTTTGGCAATACACTGATCGCATGTTTAAGCTGAGCCAATGTCCTGGGAACCATCTTGTGGAGCATCAGTTCTAGCTTTCCAGGTGGCTTATAGAAATAACCTGGAATCTGTGCTGCCTGGCAGTCCTGGCGCCTAGAGGATGCCCTGGTGCTCAGAGGATGCCCAGCAACTGGTGATTCAGACCCTGAACACATTGAGTGGAGTATGGGGAAGGCGCAAAGAGAAAACTTCTCTCCAGCCCCTGCAAATCACAAATGATGGTCTGAGATCTCAAAGAGAGGGCGTCAGTTCTGACAGAACACAGCCAAACTCCTGGCTGGGGCTGCAGCACTGTTCTAAGTGCTGAAAATATAGAACTAAATTTCATCATCACAACAACCCTATGTAGTGAGTACTCTTATTACAGATGGAGGCACAGAGACGTGAAGTAACTTATCCATGATAATCATCTAAAAAGTGGAAGAGATGAAATTTAGACTCACTCTAGATCTCTCGTACCTGACCGCGAACACTGCCTGTCATGGAGCCTGAGTACATAGGCTCATGTGCATCATCTCATAGAGGCAGGAAGATAAAAGTTTTCACAGGGCAGCCTTTCATCCTGGTTTTAACTTCAGGGAAAGTGAGGCCTGCTTTGTTGCTTGGTGAGGGTGCAATCCCATAAAGAGTCACACTCTCTGACAACTTTCTATATCATCTCCTGAACTTGCCTTCACGCTGCTACTTTTATGTGCACAGGGCATTACCTCTTACTCTCTACCAGGCAGTTACATTTCTGCTGCAGGACTGCCTCACCACCTGGATGCAGGGCAGAGCCCCATGATGGAGAATGGAAAGCCAGGTGAAAGTAGGAGAGAATTAACTAGAAAGACAGTGAAGCCTGTTAGAGCATGGGCTGTAAAACTAAATAGGCTGGCTTCAATTGCTGCTCAGCCACAAAGACATTTAGCAAAGGCAAGTTGGACAATCTTTAAGGGAAAAACAATTCTACCATCTCCAGGTCTGTGCAGAAAGAGGCCTTCAAGGGCAGCAGAGAAGCCACTGATACTGACCTCCCACCCTAGCATGCAGCCACTATCTCCTCCCTTATCTCCTCAGCAGAAGAGAGCAAATTTTAAAAGGGTATTAATGAAAAAGCTAGAGGTGTGAACTCTGCTAACATGCTCTTATGTTAGCTCTGCTCACATAAGGCAGCTTGACTCTAGAGCCACAGCCCAGCAAATTGCACAATATATCTATAAATGATGTTGACACAGGGCTGAGCCCAGGGAATGTGCTCAGTAAGTGGCAGTGCTTTCTCCTCATCCTCTCCTCTCCAGCTCTTTCTCATCTACTCCCTCCTTTCCTTCCAAATATGCCCAGCACAGTTAGTATTGTCTATAGGTAAATGGAAGGAATCTGCTCCCCATCACGGGAGATGTTCAATGAGAAAAACATGTGAAGACAACTAAAGGAGACTAAATCAGTAGAGAATTATTTGGATCTGATGATTTTAAACATTCCTTTCAAACTTAAGATTTTTTTTCCTAATTGAGAAGCATTTCATTCCCCCAGGACACACACATAAAGCAAATTCAGGCAAAAGACAAGAGGCTTATCACAAAGCCAAGAAAAAACACAAGTACTCGGTGAATTATCCTGGGCTTTGTAACTTCCACTAACAACAACAAAAAGCAGAGGAGGATTCAGGGGCTATCTGAATAGGATCTACCCTCTTAGCTGAATTAAGTGGTCAGTGAACTAACCAATCCATTTAGCCAGCATCTAGCTGATGATAAGGACAGTTAACTCATGCCAGGTGCTGGTCAGTTCAAGTGAACAACTGGGCAACCAGATAGGCAAATAATTTGATTTTGCCACCAAACCAACATGGAATAGTTTATTTAATATAGTAGGCAATTGTACACACGGACTCATCTAGCAAATTAAGGACTCAAAACAGGAAAAATTCAAGTGTACACCATCAGAATAGATGAGCTTTACCTGTCAGTGCCTTACAGGAACCCACTCCCAATTTGGGGAGCCAGGCCACAAAGACTATGGTGTGTCCGCCTCCCCTGGATTTGTAGAACTGGGCTAGATCTCTGGAATCCAGCTTTTATCCAGAAATACGCCACGTGGTGCACTTGACAAAAACCATGTCAGAGCTGTCTCTCCGCATGAACGTAGGAGGACACTTGAGTTTGGGCCTCATTTCTCAACCTTCTTTTTTCCGTATAAACTTGAGTCCCTCTGTGGGCAAAGCCATCATCTCCCCTGATACTGGTGCTCGTGGGCGTTTCCCAGATGACTCTGGCGGGAAATTGTTGTTTACCTTACAAATTCTATGAAACCAAGGTACCTTCACCTTAAAGAAAATGTCTTTTTCCTCCTTGTTTTGCATTAAGCTTTTACTTTGATAATGACTCTTTTTACTTATATGACCTTTATAAAGAGATTTAATTGAAAATGAGTGATTATGCTGTGCTTTAGGGGAATGGATTAAAAGAATATTTTGAAGGAAGTATTCAATTTGTTTCTACCTCCTGAAAGAAAAATTACTGTGTATCTCCTTATTGTCACACGTTTGGTAGGGAACTGAAACAATTATCTGCAATAGTACACATTTATCATCAAAGCCATCAATTAAGATTCTAAAGAACTTGTGTCCTCCTGGATTCCTGTCATTGATTAAAAATAGTGACTGAAGGGCCTGGCACAGTGGCTCACGCCTGTAATCCCAGGACTTTGGGAGGCCAAGGCAGGTGGATCACGAGGTCAGGAGTTCAAGACCAGCCTGACTAACATGGTGAAACCTCATCTCTACTAAAAATACAAAAACAATTAGCCGGGCGCGGTGGCAGGTTCCTGTAATCCAAGCTACTCGGGAGGCTAAGGCAGGAGAATTGTTTGAACTCGGGCAGCAAGGTTGCAGTGAGCCGAGATCATGCCACTGCACTCTGGCCTGGGTGACAGACTAAGACTCTGTCTCAAAAAAAAAAAAAAAAAAAAGGCCTACCGCTGGTTCTTGGGGTGCAGAGAGGGGCCGCAGTCTTCGTGGCTGCGTCGCACTCCCTTGCAGTCCCCTCCATGTTCCCCAGCGCCACTACTCCCCTTCCTAAGGCCACTGCTTACCCCGGGGTCTATGAAAGTAATGGAAGGACCCCTCAACCTGGCTCATTAACAGAGCAGACGAGCAGACCATTTATTAGCTGCAGGCAAATACGAAGAGGCTATTTCTTGTCACAAAAAGGCTGCAGTGTATCTTTCTGAAGCCATGAAGCTGACACAGTCTAAGCAGGCTCATCTTTCACTGGAATTGCAAATGGATAGCCATATGAAATAGCTCCTCCTCATCCAAGAGAGATGGAAAAGGGCCCAGCGTGAAGAAAGATTGAAAGCCCAGCAGAACACAGACAAGGATGTAGCTGCCCATTTTCAGGCATCTCACAAACCCTCTGCAGAGGATGCAGAGGGCCAGAGTCCCCTTTCTCAGAAGTACAGCCCTTCCACAGAGAAATGCCTGCCTGAGATTCAGGGGATCTTTGACAGGGATCCAGACACACTACTTTATTTACTTCAGCAAAAGAGTGAGCCAGAAGAGCCATGTATTGGAAGCAAAGCCCCCAAAGATGATAAAACAATTATAGAGGAGCAGGCAACCAAAATTGCAGATTTGAAGAGGCATGTGGAATTCCTTGTGGCTGAGAATAAAAGATTAAGGAAAGAAAATAAACAACTGAAGGCTGAAAAGGCCAGACTTCTAAAAGGTCCAATAGAAAAGGAGCTGGATGTAGATGCTGATTTTGTAGAAACGTCAGAGTTATGGAGCTTGCCACCACATTCAGAAACTGCTACAGCCTCCTCAACCTGGAAGAAGTTTGCAGCAAACACCGGGAAAGCCAAGGACATTCCAATCCCCAATCTTCCTCCCTTGGATTTTCCATCTCCAGAACTTCCTCTTATGGAGCTCTCTGAGGATATTCTGAAAGGATTTATGAATAATTAAAATGGAGGCCACAGAAAAGGGGAAAAGAGGAAATAATACAGTAATCGTTAATCCAGCAAAAAAAAAAAAAAAAATGAAAAGGGAAAACCACATAGAAGGGTCATCCCGGAAATGCTTCATCTGGTGGACTGTGGGAGCAGAGGCATTGCCAGGACTTGGGAAGCAGTCACTGTGAAATGCGCCCCGTATCTCATTCACTCACTTGAGCTAATGATTCCAACTTGGCAGACGCTAAACTCATGGAGGTTCAGTTTCTCCTGATACAAACCAAATGGCTACCTGGAATAATTTCTTTCAAGCAACAGTTATTTTTCTTATCTTCAGGGTTAAAATGTATAAAAGTTATGTGTAATTAATCTATAATGCCATAAATGATAATGCAAAACCTAAATAATATCGTGGCCAGACCTTTGTTTTTAATGATGCAAGAGTGGAAGTAATGCTAGTTGGCAGTATTTGATTGTAAGAAATCAATAAAGTAATTGTGTTTTATAAAAAAAAAAAGTGACTGAAGCTAGTTCTGTTCTAGGAAATGTAAGTTTGTGATGGAAACCTTATGGAATTAAAGTTCTTATTTACTGACAGGCATTAGCAAACTGGAGAGACATTTGATCAAACTAACAAATTAACACAGCTCTCCAATAAGTGAAACAAATGAAACAATGATGAAATAAACACTAAATTGAAACTATCTCATTTGTTCTTTAGAACTAAAGGTTTTTTTTGTCTATGATATAGTACCCAGACTTCCTGCAATCTTGTCCTTATTGATATCTATTTACTACATATCTAATGTATGCCAGCATATCTTTCTATCATCCTCACAACCCCTCTGCATGTTGCCAATTTGACAAATGAGGACATCCAGGCTCTGAGAGAGTTCCTCATAAGAATTGTCCAGGCAGAAGACTGTGAGGGAGCTGGGAGCAAACTGCATGTCTCACGAAGACAGAGTGTGTCTGTCTCATTACTACTCCGTACTTAGGTCCTATCTTGGAGCCTGTCACATAGCAGGGGCTTAAGATTAATCACTTAGAGGAATGAACAAATATGGAGCAAATGTCTGACTACTTCAAATCTAGCGTCCTTTCAATTTTAGCAAACTGCACAAATGGTATTGTCAGCGAGTCAGTTTAGAGGAAGGACCCTAGAGCCTGAATTGAAGCTGAATAGGTGTTAGAAGCAGTAATGATGCTAAAAAGATTTTAAATGGCAAAAGATACTTTTTAAAAGTCAAAGACCACTGATCAAAACACAAAGATTATTTTATTTAGAGCAAGACCATTTCAGAGAAGCCTGTTTCAAGCATTTCAGCTATTTAGTTATTTGCAGAAAGGATATTTTTCAATTTCTAAGAGAACATTCTACTTTTATAAATAAGAGATATTTATTTTTTGAAACCAAGCCACTAATACACGTTTATTCAGGAATAAAAACTTCAAATATATTCTGCAGAGGGTACAGATTCAGGTAAATACTTGACTCTTAACCCATATAGCATAATACAAGAAGCAATTATTACTGATCCTTTGACTTCAGAAAAGATTACAATTATAATCTTTACATACTGTTTGTCTTTAAAAGGTGAAAAAAATCTAATAAGAAAATATAATTGCCATTCTAACTGGTGTGAGATGATATCTCATTGTGGTTTTGATTTGCATTTCTCTGATGGCCAGTGATGATGAGCATTTTTTCATGTGTTTTTTGGCTGCATAAATGTCTTCTTTTGAGAAGTGTCTGTTCATTAAAAAGTCAGGAAACAACAGGTGCTGGAGAGGATGTGGAGAAATAGGAACACTTTTACACTGTTGGTGGGACTGTAAACTAGTTCAACCATTGTGGAAGTCAGTGTGGCGATTCCTCAGGGATCTAGAACTAGAAATACCATTTGACCCAGCCATGCCATTACTGGGTATATACCCAAAGGACTATAAATCATGCTGCTATAAAGACACATGCACACGTATGTTTATTGCAGCATTATTCACAATAGCAAAGACTTGGAACCAACCCAAATGTCCAACAATGATAGACTGGATTAAGAAAATGTGGCACATATACACCATGGAATACTATGCAGCCATAAAAAATGATGAGTTCATGTCCTTTGTAGGGACATGGATGAAATTGGAAATCATCATTCTCAGTAAACTATCGCAAGAACAAAAAACCAAACACTGCATATTCTCACTCATAGGTGGGAATTGAACAATGAGATCACATGGACACAGGAAGGGGAATATCACACTCTGGGGACTGTTGTGGGGTGGGGGGAGGGGGGAGGGATAGCATTGGGAGATATACCTAATGCTAGATGACGAGTTAGTGGGTGCAGTGCACCAGCATGGCACATGTATACATATGTAACTAACCTGCACATTGTGCACATGTACCCTAAAACTTAAAGTATAATAAAAATAAAAATAAAAAAAAGAAAGAAAATATAAAGGGCTGAAATAAAAGGATTTTTGAGCCTAATGTGTCAACTTCAGATATTCACATGATTGTGAATGTGACTATGTGGATATAATGAAAAGTTAACTATTTTTGGCTGCCTGTTACTTTTTTTTTCTCTTTTGCCTCATCCTGTAAGAGCACCAAGTCCTGTTTTATCTCAGAAAACCTGTAATTGTTGACTCTGCCTAGAACATGCCCTGCTTTTTTTTCTGCATGATGTGTATCATTATTTCCCTGCATTTTTTTTATTTCCTTGGTAATTGACTGCATCTACTACTAGACTATAATCCCACAAGAGCAGGGAACTCTTCTACCTTGTCTGATACTGTATCCCAGTGCCAAGAACAGTATCTATCACATAGTAGATAATAATTATTTGCAGGAAATAATGAGAACAAAAAATCAATGATATTACCTTGAAGTTTGCAGTTGTTCTTAAGAATTGGGTTCCCAAGGCCAGCTGTTAGAGGTTGGTTATCTTCCTCAGGGACTTTGCCTTCAGGGGAAAAATTATGCTTCTGTGCCTAACCAGCCAAGTTGTCCTCATGTGCATATCACAGACAGAGGCAGTGTGTACCACACAACCCTGCTTCTTAGCTTTTCTAGAAAGCATTACTTTAAAATAGACATGCGAATATTAAATAAATATATTACTCACATTGTACAAATTTTAGGTAAAGATAAATATTTTAAAATAGTGTATACAAACACCAGCTACAGATTAGTTTCTCAAAGATTATTTTAGTTGTTGTCTGGGCCTCAATAGCAAAGTGAACCTGAATCTTTGCTTAGAGCCAGGGCACTGTGGGGAATGTGGACTGTTCTAGCACTTGGGCTTCAGGCTCCCTTGATAAGTGGTTCTAGTTCAATCTCACTTTGCTGTTTATATCCTGTGACAGAGAGTTACTAGTTAACTGTTAATTGACTTGTGAGCATTGCCATACCCAAAAGTTAACAGATGGAGAAAGGAAGGTGAATTTCTTTTCGCTTTGTAAGACTTCAATCTCTTTTTGCTTTGTAAGGCTTCATTGCAAAATTTGTCTTAATCTTTATTTCTTGCTATTTTCTTGTGAAAAGGAAGAGGACACCGAACTATTTCTCAAGGTGACTCCTTGCACCTACATGAATTGGTGGATCCTTTCCAATCAGGAAAGACTTTCCTGGCAACCATGGCTGTAATTCATTTGCTCCAAATTTATCTTTCTAAACCCATTCTCCAGACATTGTACTTAAGAGTTCTGAGGGAAAGGACCTGCTTGCCTACATAATTATTAGGGTTCCATTTGGATTGTATCTTCATTCTTTTATTGACTGTGTACACTGTGCTAATTTGATACTGCAGACAGAAAATTATGAAGGTACACTGCTTGTCATCCTGTTATTTGTAGTCCGATTAGGGAAGTTGATGTAAAAACATCTAGATAATAATAAAAGGAGAGGTTAGTACAACCATTTTAAAAAGAAAACTGAAACACAAGTAAGTTAGGAAAAAAAATTGTCTGAGTTCACCTATTTCATCATCAATAGAGCTATAGAACCCAGTTCTGACTCCAGCTTCTGTATACTGGACACAAGATTACAAATAAACAAGGTATTGACTAGTCTTCTTATAGACCCTTTGCCACTGGTTTCCTTTCCTAGAAGTTGTAGAAATCTTTGCCAGAGGGAAATTGTAAAACACTCTCCCCCAGTTTCTTGCTCCTGTTTGGTAGCCAGATCCAGGAAGCAGAGTGGAAGTAGACAGAGCTCCAGAAGGTCCTCACACAATCACCACCTCTAGGTCCCCCTTCCTGACTGCTGTGCCCTGACAGGACGATGGGGCTACAGTGCACATGATTGCCTTAGCCAGGTTGGTCTTTTACCTCCAAGTTACCACCAGATAACAAGGATTTCACCATAGAAGCAAATCAGATTTCTCTATTATATTTTTACAAAAATAAAAAGTCCATACTACCCAAAGTGATCTACAGATTCAATTCAATCCCTATCAAAATATCAATGACATTTTTTACAGAAATAGAAAAAAAGCAATCCTAAAACGCATATTAAACCACAAAATACCCTAAATAGCTAAAGCTATCTTGAGAAAAGAGAACAAAAGCAGAGGCATCACACTACCTGACTTTAAGGTATGCTACAAAGCAATAGTAACCAAACAGCATGCTGCTGGTATAAAAACAGACATAGACAAATGGAACAGAATAGAGTGCTCAGAATAAATTAACACATTTACAGCCAACTCATTTTTGACAAAGGTACCAAGAGCACACCTTGGAGAAAGGACCCTCTCTCCAATAAATGGTGCTGGGAAAACTGGATATCCATGTGCAGAAGGATGAAACTAGACCCCTCTCTCTCACCACTTACAAAAATCAACTTGAAACTGAATAAAGACTTAAATGTAAGACCCAAAGCTATGAAACTACTGGAAGAAAACATGACATTGGTTTGGGCAAGAATATTTTTAATAAGACCTCAGAAACAGAGAAGAACAAAAATAGACAAATGGAGTGACATCAAACTGAAAAGCTGCACAGCAAAGGAAACAATCAGCAGGGTGAAGAGACAGCCTGTGAAATGGGAGAAAATATTCTCAAACTATGCATCTTACAAGCTGTTAATATCCAGAGTATATAAACAATTCAAATAACTCATAGCAAAAGAACAAATAATTTTTAAAATGAGCAAAAGATCTGAATAGACATTTCAGATATTTGACCCAAGACAAACAGCCAACATTACATGAAGAAAATGCTCGACATCACTAATCACTGGGGAAATGCAAATCAAAACCACCATATCACCTCACTCCAGTTAGAATGGCTATTATCAAAAAGATAAAAATAACAAATGCTGGCGAGGATATGGGGAAAGAGGAACTCTTACACACTGTTGGTGGAAAGGTAAATTTGTACAGCTATTATGAAAAACAGTATGGAGGTTTCTCAAAAAAATTGAAAATAGAACTACCATAGGATCCAACAATCCTACTATTGGTATTTATTCAAAAGAAATAAAAGCAATGTATTGAAGAGATATCTGCACCCTCATGCTTATTACAGCACTATTCACAATGGCCAATATATGACATCAGCCTAAGGGTCTATTGATGGATGAATGGATAAGGAAAATGTGACATATATACACAATGGAATACTATTCAGCCATAAAAAAGAATGAAATCCTGTCATTTGCAACAAAATGAATTAACCTAGAGGACATTATGTTAAGTGAAATAAGCCAAGCACAGGACAAACACTGCATGATATCACTCATATGTGAGATCTAATAAGTTAATCTCATAGAAGTAGAGAGTAGAATAGTGGTAACCAGAGACTGGGAAGAGTAGGAAAGAGGGAGGATGAAAAGAGATTGGTCAATGTATACAAAGTTACGGTTAGATAGGAGGAATAAGTTCTGGTGTTCTATTGTATAGTGGGGTGACTATAGTCAACAACAATCTATTGTATACTTCAAAATAGCTAGAAGAAATGATTTGGAGTACTCTCACCATGAAGAAATGACAAGTGTTTGAGGTTATGGATATGCTATTTACCCTGATTTGATCATTACACTATATATACACATATATACTATATATATGTATATGTATATGATCATTACACTATATATACACACATATACTATATATATGAAAATATCACACTGTACCCCATAAATACAATTATGTATTTGTACTTATGTATACATAAGTACAATTATTATGCATCAATTAAAAAAATAAAACTTATAAAAATAACTTCATACATTATTTGATGAATGAAAATATTTTTGTTATATTGGATGAAATAAAATATATTATTGAAATTTTTAAAAGTTTATTTGTCTGAAGAAAATTGTAGATTACATGGAGTTTAAAAAAATAATAGAGAGCCCACGTACCTTTTCTGCAATTTCCTCTCAATGAACACATCTTGCAAAACTATATCACAATATCATAACTATGGCATTGATACAGTTAAGATAAAGAATATTTACATCACCCCCAAATTCCTCATGTGGCCTTTACATACCCACCCCCATATCCCTCATCACCACCTCTCATTAATTCCTAGCAAACACCAACTTGCTCTACAATTTTATAACTTTGTATGCATTTCTATAATTTCAAGAATGTTTTGTGTATGGAATCATACAGTACCTAATCTTTTGGGACTGAATTTATTCACTAAGCATAGGTTTCTGGAGATTCACCCAAAGAGTAATTTATCTAGAGATGATGCATGTATCAATAGTTGATTCCATTTTATTGCTGAGAAGTAATCTATGGTATGGATGTAGTAGTTTGTTCAACCATTTATGAGTTTAAAGACATCTGAGTTTTTTTCAGTTTTTGGCTATTTCTATAAAGGTGCTATAAACATTTGTGTACAGGTTTTTGTGTGTAAATGTAAGTTTTTTCTTTTTCTAGAGTGCCCAGGAGCACAATTGCTGGGTTGAATGATGGCTGCATGCTTAGTGTTTTAAGAAACTGTAAAACCGGTTTTCTGGAGTAGTTGTACCATTTTATATTTTCACCAGTAATGTATGAATAACTCAGTTTCTCTGAATCTTTGCCAGCATTTGATGTTATCACTATTTTTGAATTTTTTTATTGAAGTAAAATTCACATTAAAAAAGTTCACCACTGTAACCATTTCAAAGTAAATTAAGTAACCTTTAATACATTCACTATATTGTGCAACCATCACTACTATCTAACCCCAGCACATTTGCATTACTCCAAAAAGAAATCCTATACCTATTCAGCAGTCACCGTTCATTCTCTTTCTACTTCTAGCCTCTGGGAACCACTGATCTACTTTTTGTTTCTATGGATTTGCCTATTTTGGGCATTTCACATACATGGAATTATGTAATATATGACTTTTGGGTCTCGCTTCTTTCACATTATATAATGTTTTCAAGGTTCATCAAGTAGTTGTAACATGTATCGGTACTTCATTATTTTTATGGTTGAATAATATTCCACTGTATGGATATATCATGATTTGGAAATGCCACAATTTATTTATCCATTCATCAATTGTTGTAAATTTGGGTTGCTTTAATTTTTTGACTATTATGAATAATGTTGCTGTGAGTATTCATGTACAAGTTTTTGTTCAAACACCTGTTTTCAATTATCCGAAATTGCTGGATAATATAATAATTATATGTTTAACATATTGAGAAACTGCTTATTTCTTTTTGACAGCAACTGTACCATTTTGCATTATCAGTATGAGGATTCCAACTTCTCTACATTCTCACCAACATTTATTTTCCTTTTTAAAATTATTATTATAGCCATCCTAGTGGGTGTAAAGTAGTATAAAACTGTGGTTTTGATTTGCAATCCCTGTGACTGGTGATATTGAATATATTTTCATGTGCTTATTGGCCTTTTATATATCTTCTTTGGAGAAATGTCTATTCAAGTCCTTTGCCCAGCTTTAAATTAGGTTGTCTTTTTGTTGTTGACTTGTAAGAGTTCTTTACATATTCTGATTACCAGACCTTATCAGATATATGGCTGCAAATATTTTCTCCTATTTTGTGAGTTGTCTTTTCACTTTCTTGATGATATGCCTTGATGCAGGAAAGTTTTAAATTTTCATTAATTTCAACTTATCATTTTCTCTTTTGTGTCTTGGGCTTTTGGTGTCAAATCTAAGAATCCATAGCAAAATCCAAGATCATGAAGATGTATCACTACGCTTTCTTCTTTGAAAGATTCTGAGTTATATTCTGTATATGATGTGAGCCTACATTCTTTTACATGTCAACATCAAGTTGTCCCAGCATAATTTATTGAAAAGATGATTTTTTTCCACATTGAATTGTCTTGGTATCTTTGTCACAAATGAATTGTCTGTGAATGTGAGAGTTTATAATTGCACTCTGAATTCTGTTCTATCAGCCTGTGTGTCTATCCTTATGCCAGTACCATACTACGTTTGGTTTCTGTGGCTTTGAAATATATATTAATATCAGAAAATGTAAATTCTTCAACTTATTCTTTTTCAAAATTGTTTGACTAGAATCTATTGTAATTCTATATGAATGTTAAGATCAGATTTTCCATTTGTGCAAAAAATGACATTAAGATATTGATAATTATTTTTATGTATCTGTATATCTCTTTGGGGAGTATTGTCTTCTTAATATGAAGTCCTCTAATCCATGAACATGAATATCTTTTTCTTTATTTAGGTCTTTAATTCCTTTCAGCAATGTTTTTGTAGTTTTCAGTATACAAGTCTTGTCTTGGTTAAATTTATTCTTAATTTTTTTATGGTATTGTGAATGAAATTTTTTTAAACTTTCATTTTCAGATTATTCATTGTTAGGATGTGGAAATAAAACCGATTTTTTGTATGTTTACCTGGTAATCTGCAACTTTGCTTAATTCATTTATCAACTCTAGTAGTTTTTTTGTGTGTAGATTCTTTGGGATTTTCTTTATATGCGATTATATCATTTGAAAATGGAAATATATTTACTTTCTCCTTTGCAGTTTTGATACAATGCCTTTTATTCTTTTTCTTATCTAATTTTCCTGCTTAGAATTTCCATAACAATGTTGAATGGAAGTGACAGAGATGGACATCCTTGTCTTGTTCCTGATCTTAGGGCAAACCTTTCAGACTTTAATCATCAAATATAGTGTTAACTCTGGGTTTTTTTTATATAAGGCTTTTATCATGTTGAGGAAGTTCTCCCCTATTTCTAGTTTGTTGAATATTTTTATTATTATAAGGTGCTGGATTTTCTCAAATTCTTTTTCAGCATCAGTTGAGACAATCATATGATATTGTCCTTTATTCTATTACTGTAGTGTATTATATTGATTGATTTTTTTATATGAAACCATACTTGCATTCTTGGGATAGACCCCATTTGGTCGTGGTGTGTAATCCTTTTAATATGTTGCTGAACAAACTCCTGGGCTCAAGCAATTCTCTGCTCCAGCTACCCAGGAGGTTTTTAGTATACATATCTTTCACCTCCTTGATTAAATTTATTCTTGACTATTTTGATTTTTTGTATATATTATAAATGGTATTGTTTTCTTCATTTCTTGTTCAGATAGTTTGTTGTTAGTGTATAGAAATGCTACTGATTTTTGTATGTTGATTTTGTACCCTGCTACTTTATTGAATTTGTTTATTAGTTCTATTTTTTGCTGGAATCTAAATTTTTCTAAATATAAGGTCCTGTCATATGCAAACAGACAATTTAACTTTTTCCTTTCCCATTTGGATGGCTTTTAATTCTTCCTCTTGCCTGATTACTCTCTCTAGGGCTTCTAGTACTGTGTTGAATATACACGCAATGGAATACTATTCAGCCTTTAAAAAAGAAAATCCTGTCATTTGCAGCAACATGGAAGAAGCTGGAGGACATTATGTTCAGTGAAATAAGCAAGGCACAGAAAGAAAAATACCACATGGATTCTAAAAAGGTTAAACTCATAGGAACAGAGAGTAGAATAGTGGTTACCAGTCTGGGAAACGGGGTTAATAGAGAGATGTTGGTCAAAGGATATAAAATTTTAGTTGGACAGGAGGAATAAATTCAGGAAATCTATTATACATCAAGGTGAATACAGTTAATAACAATGTATTGTATACTTGAAAATTACTAAAATAGTAGATTTTAAATGTTTTCACCACAAATATAATAAGTATGTGAGGTAATCATATATTAATTAGATTGATTAGGCATTTCACAATATATACATATATCAAAACATCATGCTATACAAAACTAATATATATAATTTTTATTCAGTAAAAATAATTAGTTTTGAAAAGAGTTTAATGTAATATTTTAACAGTTTAAATTACTGTAAAAATCAATGATGAATAAAATATTTAAAAGTTTAAATCATTTACCTGCCACTTATACGTGAGAACATGTGGTATTTGGCTTTCTGAATGCAAAGAAGGGAACAACAGATACTGGGGCCTACTTGAAAGTGAAGGGTGGGAGGAGGTAGAGGAACAACAACAAAAATAACAATTAGGTACTAGGCTTAGTACCTGGTTATGAAATAATCTCACAGCAAACCCCCATGACACAAGTTTACCTATAGAATAAATCCACACATGTATCCCAAAATCTAAAGTAAAAGCTAAATAAATTTCCATACAAAATTTGCAAAGTGCATATATGACAAAGAACTAGTAATCAGAATATATAAAGAACGGTCAAAACTCACCAGAAAATAATCTAGTTAGAAAATGGCAAAAGACATAAAAAGACATTTCACTAAAGAGGATATACAGATGGCAAATGAGCACATCAAAATATGTTCAACATCATTAGCCATTATGGAACCACAAATTAAAACAGCAATAAAATATCACTATACACCTATCAGAATGGCTAAAATAAAAACAAAGACATCAAAATCTGGCAAGGATGCAGAGAAATTGGATCCCTCATATCTTTGTAGAAATGTAAAACAGCATAGCTGCCATGAAATACAGTTTGGCAGGTTCTTTCAAAACTTAACCTGCAATTACCATACAACCCAGCAATTGAACTATTAGGCATTTAATCCAGAGAAATAAAAACTTATGCTCACAAAAAATGTGTACAAATGTTTATAGCAGCTTTATAGTAATAGCCAAAAACTGGAAACAATCCTTATGTCCTTCAGTAACTGGTTTTAAGCAAACTGTGGCATATTCATACCATGGAATATTAATCAGCAATAAAAAAGAATAAACAATTGCTACATGCAGCAACCCGGACAAATCTCTATAGAATTATGCTAAATGGGGGGAAGAAAGCTGATTTCAAAGGGGTTACCTTCTCATGATTCCATTTATACAACATTCTTTTTTTCTTGAGTGGAAACAAACCAAACTTTAATTTTTATAATCTTTTGAGTGACCGGATTACAAGGAGTTTTTACTTTCTGTTTCATACTTGAATTTTTTCTAATTCTGTTACAATAAACATGCTACAAAGTAAGCACTAAAATAAGTAAGCAACGTACTTCATTACTGAGGCCTCAATTCAAATGCTACTTCTTCCAAGCAGAATCCAATGTCTACTATCCTGAACATTTCTGTCATTACTAGTACCTTCTGCAAGCACTTATCACATTTCACCTTTTATGATAATTATCTATGTCTCCCATCCATTCTAGATGCTATGCTCTCTGACAGCAGGGAGTGAGCCCTATTTTTATGATACTGTAATTAGTATATTCAACATACATATTCAATAAATGTTTGTTGATTTGATAAGCCCTTACACAAACTGAAGTAAAGATAAAAGAGCAGTGAAAATGTAAATTACTTAACCCCCAGTTGACCATCATGGTTATAAGAGAAAGGATTCAGATTTCTTTCTAAAGATCATATCAGTTACATAAAAATATAATAATATACTATTGCTGTTCTATATTTTATAGTTTTTCACCTAGATGTTTCATGTTCATTTGGTTGGCTAATATTAAAGCCATTATTAAATCACTTATATTTTCTTCACAAATTCACTAACATGTTTGTCTCATTTAGAAAACCTCTGGTGTCCCCAAATCCTGATATTTGCAAACAACTCACTCCAATGCATCCATCTTGGCCCCCACTAGCATCTGAAGTCCGAAAACCCAAAGACTCCAGTAGGATTATAAAGGAAGATCATAAACCCCTGGTTAATAATGTCCTCACATCCTAGGGATGAAGCCAACTTGATCATGGTGGATAAGCTTTTTGATGTGCTGCTGGATTTGGTTTGCCAGTATTTTATTGAGGATTTTTGCATCCATGTTCATCAGGGATATTGGTCTAAAATTCTCTTTTTTTGTTGTGTCTCTGCCAGGCTTTGGTATCAGGATGATACTGGCCTCATAAAATGAGTTAGGGAGGATTCCCTCTTTTTCTATTGATTCGAATAGTTTCAGAAGGAATGGTACCAGCTCTTCTTTGTACCTCTGGTTTTATTCGGCTGTGAATCCGTCTGGTCCTGGACTTTTTTTGGTTGGTAGGCTATTAAATATTGCCTCAATTTCAGAGCCTATTATTGGTCTATTCAGGGATTCGACTTCTTCCTGGTTTAGTCTTGGGAGGGTGTATGTGTCCAGGAATTTATCAATTTCTTCTAGATTTTCTAGTTTATTTGCGTAGAGGTGTTTGTAGTATTTTCTGATGGTAGTTTGTATTTCTGTGGGATTGGTGGTGATCTCCCCTTTATCATTTTTTATTGCATCTATTTGATTCTTCTCTCTCTTCTTTTTTATTAGTCTTGCTAGCGATCTATCAATTTTGTTGATCTTTTCAAAAAACCAGCTCCTGGATTCATTGATTTTTTGAAGGATTTTTTGTGTCTGTATCTCCTTCAGTTCTGCCCTGATCTTAGTTATTTCTTGCCTTCTGCTAGCTTTCGAATTTGTTTGCTCTTGCTTCTTTAGTTCTTTTAATTGTGATGTTAGGATGTCAATTTTAGATCTTTCCTGCTTTCTCTTGTGGGCATTTAGTGCTATAAATTTCCCTCTACATACTGCTTTAAACATGTCCCAGAGATTCTGGTATGTTGTGTCTTTGTTCTCATTGGTTTCAAAGAACATCTTTATTTCTGCCTTCATTTCGTTATGTACCCAGTAGTCATTCAGGAGCAGGTTGTTCAGTTTCCATGTAGTTGAGTGATTTTGAACTTGACAAAAACAAGAAATGGGGAAAGGATTCCCTATTTAATAAATGGTGCTGGGAAAACTGGCTAGCTACATGTAGAAAGCTGAAACTGGATCCCTTCTTTACACCTCATACAAAAATTAATTCAAGATGGAATAAAGACTTAAATATTAGACCTAAAACCATAAAAACCTTAGAAGAAAACCTAGGCATTACCATTCAATACATAGGCATGGGCAAGGACTTCATGACTAAAACACCAAAAGCAATGGCAACAAAAGGGAAAATTGACAAATGGGATCTAATTAAACTAAAGAGCTTCTGCACAGCAAAATAAACTACCATCAGAGTGAACAGGCAACCTACAGAATGGGAGAAAATTTTTACAATCTACCCATCTGACAAAGGGCTAATATCCAGAACCTACAAAGAACTTAAACAAATTTACAAGAAAAAGTCAAACAACCCCATCAAAAAGTGGGTGAAGGATACAAACAGACACTTCTCAAAAGAAGACATTTATGCAGCCAACAGACACATGAAAAATGCTCATCATCACTGGCCGTCAGAGAAATGCAGATCGAAACCACAATGAGATTCCATCTCATACCAGTTAGAATGGCGATCATTAAAAAGTCAGGAAACAACAGGTGCTGGAGAGGATGTGGAGAAATAGGAACACTTTTACACTGTTGGTGGGACTGTTAACTAGTTCAACCATTGTGGAAGACAGTGTGGCGATTCCTCAAGGATCTAGAACTAGAAATACCATTTGACCCAGCCATCCCATTACTGGGTATATACCCAAAGGATTATAAATCATGCTGCTATAAAGACACATGCACACGTATGTTTATTATGGCACTATTCACAATAGCAAAGACTTGGAACCAACCCAAATGTCCATCAGTGATAAACTGGATTAAGAAAATATGGTACATATACACCATGGAATACTATGCAGCCATAAAAAAGGATACGTTCATGTCCTTTGCAGGGACATGGATGAAGCTGGAAACCATCATTCTGAGCAAACTATTGCAAGGACAGAAAACCAAACACCACATGTTCTCACTCATAGGTGGGAATTGAACAATGAGAACATTTGGACACAGGAAGGGGAACATCACACACGGAGGCCTGTCATGGGGTGGGGTGAGGGGGGAGGGATAGCATTAGGAGAAATACCTAATGTAAACGAGAAGCTAATGGGTGCAGCACACCAACATGGCACATGTATACATATGTAACAAACCTGCACGTTGTGCACATGTACCCTAGAACTTAAAGTACAATAATAAAAAAAGTCCTCACAAATTTCCTAAGCACTATTAAACATGTGGATAAATGTCATTCTAGGTTGACAGAAATAGCTGGCATTTCCATCATTTTTTATCAAAGCAATGAAGTGGTATGCTCAAGTATGTTCGTAACCCAAACTGCCAAATGGTCTATTCCAAGCAGATGCCCTGCAAAACTAGCTTAAAAGGAGGCAAAATTCATATAGACTCAGCTGCATTAGATTTAAAACACATCAAACATATAAAGTCCTTATAAAGTGTTAATCTCTTACAGTGATTTGGCATGACACTAAGCCATTTTTCACATAATTAACAGGTAGAAACCAGTTTTCTCACAGATGACAATAAATTTCAGAGAAAATATGAAGTCTTCTAATGATATAACATTCTTTAAATGGCAGAGTTATAGACTAGAGAATGAATTAGTGGTTGCCAGGGGTTAAGGCCAAAGAAAAGGGTTGAGAGTTGCAGGGAAGAGAGTGTAGCTATAAAAAGGGCAGCATGAGGAATTCTTGCCTTGATAAAAAATAATTTTTATCTTGACTGTATCAAAGCCAATATTTTGGTTGTGATATTGCACTATAGTTTTACAAAATGTTACCATTGGAGGGAACTATATAAAGTGTACAGGGAATCTCTCTGTGTAATTTTTTACAACTGCATGTGAATCTACAATGATCTCAAAATTAAAATTTAATTGAAAAAACGAATCTAAGTTACTGAAAGAGTGCCTTAAATCATCCCACTGTCAGTGTGGAATATTCTATTTCCTCTAATTCTCTCATTTTTGTCTTTGTTTTTGTTTTGTTTTATTCAGATTTAGGCTATACTATTCCATTCATACAAATTTACAAATTTCCTAACTGGTGAATTTTGTTATTATGATATAACTCTCCTTTTCTCTAGTAATATTTATTTCTATTTTTCTTATACATTCATGTGTTGTTTAACACTGAGGACATATTCTGAAAAATGCACCATTATACAATTTTGTCATTGTGTAAACATCAGCATATGTATACAAACCTAGATCGTATAGCCTACTACGTACCTAGGAAATATGGTATATAGCCTATTGTTGTAGGCTACAAACCTGTACAGCCTGTTACTATACTGAATACTGTAGGCAACTGTAACACAAAGGTAAGTATTTGTGTACCTAAATGTATCTAAGCACATATTAATTAGACTGATTAACCATTTTACAATATATACCTATATCAAAACATGCTAGATATCATAAGTACATATGATTTTTATTAAGCAAAAAGAATTTTAAAACTTTTAAGATAATTTAATGTAATATTTTAAGAGTTAAAGGCACAGTAAAAATCAATGATAAATACAATAGTAATATTTTAAAATAAAAAATTTGCAAAGTGTGTGTTTTGCAAATACCTTGAAATACTTTGCAAATACTCTGAAAAATATTTTGTATTCAAAGTACAAAAGTATTTTATACTTTGGAAATGTATAGCAAAAATATGGCATTATCATCTTGTGGGGTCACCATCACATATGTGGTTTGTTGTTGACTAAAACATTACGTGCCACATGATTTTATTAATATGGCCGTATCTCCTTGATTTGGTTAGTGTTCAAAGGTTACATAGTTTTTCATCCTTTAACTTTTGATCTTTTAAAATTTTTTAAATTTTATTTATGACTTTAAAACAACATATAGTTCCGTTTTGTTCTTCTATCAAGCCTGAAAATATCTCAAATTGGAAAATTTAATTTATTTTCATTGAATATATATGTTTAGGATGTAATTTTTATTTTTCCCATCTATTCCATGTTTTTACTCCTGATTTTGTTTTTTCTTCTGATTTTGTTTTTGCTTAGATTCATTTTTAAGTTTTATCTAGATACAATTTACATACCATATGTTTATTCATATAAAGTGTACAATTCAATGGCTTTTAGTACATTCATAGAGTCGTGTATATGTTGCCACAGTCATTTGTAGAACATTTTTATTACCCCAAAAATAAACCCCACACATTGTAGCCATTACTTCATCCTCTATACCTGACTCCCTCCAAGCCCTAGGCAATCATTAATCTATTTTCTGTGTCTATAGATTTGCCTATTCTGGACATTTGAAATTAATGGAATGACACAATATCTGGTGACTGATTTTTTTACTTAGCATAATGTTTTAAAGGTTTATCTGTGTTGAATCACCTTCGAATACTTCCTTTTTTAATGGATGAATAATATTCCACCATATAGACATACCACATTTTGTTTATCCACTCGGGGAATTTGGGTTGTTTCACTTTTCGGCTATTTTGACTAAGGCTGCTATGAATATTTGTGTATTTTTTTGGTGTGGAAATATATGCTTTCAATCTTCTTGGGTATATACCTAACAGAGGAATTGCTGGATCCTATAGTAACTCTACGTTTACCTGTGTGTGGAACTGTAAGACTGTTTTCCAAAGCAGCTGAACCAAATGCATTCCTTTCAGCAGTGTTTGAGGGCTCTCATTTCTGTACATCTTTGCAAACACTTATTACCTGTATTTTAAAATATAGCCATTCTAGTGGGTATGAGGTGACGTTTCATTTTTTAAATGATTTCATTTCTGCCATATATTAGCTGTGACATTTTTTATTCTTTTAGAGGCAAACCTAGTCATATGGTTTGGATGTTTTGTCCCTTCCAAATCCCATGATGAAATGTGACCTCTAATGTTGGAGGTGGGCCTAGTGGGAGGTGTTTGGATCATGGAGGCAGATTCCACATGAATGGCTTAATGCTGTCCTTGCAGTAATGAGTGAGTTCCCACTCTGTTTGTTCATGTGAGAGTTGGTTGATAAAGGAGCCTGGCATCTCTCTTGTTCTCTCTCTCTTGCTCCCTCTCTCTCCATGTGATATGCCAGCTCTCCCTTCACTGTCCACCATGATTGTAAGCTTCCTGAGGCCTCCCCATAAGCTGAGCAGATGCTGTCGCCATGCTTGTACAGCCTGCAGAACAGTGAGCCAAATAAATCTATTTTCTTTATAAATTACCCAGTCCCAGGTATTTCTTTATAGCAATGCAAAAGGGACTAACGCACCTAGAAATTACAACGTTCTTGAATTATCCATTTCTAACATGGATCATTTCCTTTACCGTCCTCTTCAGACAACTAAAGGGACGCAGAACTACTTTTTTCCTCTGTTTTTAAGTTTCTATTTCCTATTTAAAATATATTTTCTTTCGATTTTCTCTATCCTTTCTGAAATGCCAGTGAAACATTCAATATACCTCTCCATTATATGCATGTCTTTTACCTTCTCCTATATTTTCCAATTTTTGACTCTGTGCTTGTGGCATAATAAGAAACATATTTAGTCTTTGTCCCCAGTTCCTGGCACAGTGCTTTTAAAACCTTGGGATTTCCTGAGTGTTAAGAGTGTTGTTTGTTATTCAGAACAAGCCCCTATCTATCATACCTGAGTTTATACTATTGAGGTGACTTAGGGTAGTACCCCTAGATAGCCTCTAGATGGCACTGGTCACCAGAAAGGTCAAGTGACTTGAGGGTTGGAATTTTCAGCCTCACCTATCAACCTCTAGGGAGGGAAAGGGAGTGGGGAGCTGAAGATTGAGCTCTACTAAAGGCTTTTGAACGATGAGATTTGGTTAGTGAACACATCGAAGTGCTGGGACAATGGCCTACCCAGAAAGATCATGGATGCTCCACACACCCCTCTCCCTATACCTTGCCCTATGTATCCATTTGGTGTTCCTGCGTTGTATCTTTTATGGTAAACTGGTAAACATAAGTAAAATACCTTTTTGAGTTCTGTGAACTGTTCCAGCAGATTATCAAACACAGGGGCAGACAGTGGGGAGCAGATCATGGGAATCCTAAATTTATAGCCAGTTGTTTAGAAGTATGGGTGTCCTGGAATTTGCAATTAGCATCTGAAGTGAGAAACAGTTTTGTGAGACTAAGTACTTAAGCTGTGGGGTCTGCACTAACTCTGGGTGGTGTCAGAATTGAACTGAGTTGTTGAACACCAGCCAGCTGGTGTCTAAAGAATCAGAGAATGGGTTGTTGGCTTTGGGAAATATTCCAGTGCTTGGCCCAAGTTTCAATGTTCTTATTCCCCTTTTAGTTCTATTGTTAAACCAGTCCTTTTAAATTTTAAATTTTGATTACTGTACTTTTAATCTACAGTTTTCTTATTTTTCAATCCTTCTGTGTAACATATCACGGTTTTTACTACACTGCCAAATTTTCAATCTTAGCTTTTATTTCCTTGAACATAAGTGTAATCTTTTTAGACTATGTCCATTAATTTCAGTATCTGGAGTCTCTGCATATGTTTTGAGTGTTGTTTTGACTACCGACAATGCTCTTTATCCTCAAAGATAACCACTATCTAGGATGTTATAGCAAACAACTAATTACCTTTCTCTATATATAGTTTTATCATAAAAGCATCCCTGAACACTATAGTTTATTTTTACAAATGTTTTGTCAATTTATGCACACACAAAACTTTTGGGATTTTCATTGAGATTGCATCAAAATCTGTTGATCAGTTTGAAAAGAATGTACATTTTTGATAATACCCGGATTTTCAATCCATAAACATAAATGAATACTTTCATTTATTTAGAACTTTTTCATATTCTCTCAATTGTGTGCTTAAGTTTTTAATGTAAAGTTTCTGGTCCATAATTCTTTACTAACTCGTTAGCTCTTTGGCACATCTAATCTTATTTTTTACAACTTTTTTAGTTGCTAGTAGTAGGAGGGTTTGGTTTATCTGAATCACCTAGCTCACCATTATTTGCATCAAAGGTCTCTATTTTTAAGTTTAGCTCTCCTCTTTCTTTCCTTTATTCTATTCTATTTGCTTTTTTCATTTTTATCTCAATCTTTTTTATTTGAACACCTAGCTCATTAACTCACACCTCATTCTGTGACATGAACATTGAGAACTATGCTATTTTTTCTGTAAATACAAGGTTAGCTGCAGTCCACAGTTTTGAAATGTATTTTCATTATTGTTTAGTTCTGCTTTTGTAATTTCCATTTTGTTATTTTTCTTTGACATTTACATTTCTCAGATGTAGGGTTTACATTTTGGATTCATGTTTTATTTGTTTGGAATTATCATTTTGTTATTGATTTCTGGTCTAATTAACTTTTACTCAGAGATTGTACTCTCTTCGTCATTCATTCTTCAAAATTTGTTGAGCATTGTTTCATGGCTTAGCATATATGGCCAATTTTCAAAAAGTTCTATGTATACTTGTTAAGAATATATACTCTGTACTTTTGGATAAGGTTAACATTTGTAGCTATAGATATAAGTATAAATATAGCTATAAATATATTCATAAGATCAAGCTCACTAATTTGGATGTCTGATTAATCTTTTTGCTAATTTTTGTTGTATATGAATGAGTAATTACTAAAGAATTATGTTTACTGTATTTGTTGTGTCAGTTTCTTCCTGTAATTCTAATAATTTTTGCTTTATGTAATTTTGAGTCTACATTTTAAAAATACTTCAAATGATATACATGCCTTTTGAATTTAACACACTGCATAGTCAATTAAGTAAAGCATTTTCACTTTATACAGGTATTCTCTTTATCCCTAATCATGGGTTTTGCTTTAAAGTTTATTTGTCTGGTATTAACATGGCTAAACTAGTTTGCTTCTGATTAGTATTTTCTTAGAATTTTTTCACCACTTTATTTGTAACCTTATTGTATCTTGGGAATTTAAGCATGTGTCTGTAAATAGTATGTATCTGGCTTTTTAAAAAAGCAACAGTCTCCATCTTTTAGTTGTAAAGTTTATTTTATCTATGTTTACTATAATTATTAATATGCACAGATGATTCTTTAAATAATAACTTATTGAGGTGAAATTAACGCAACATAAAATTAACCATTTTCATCATGCCAAAGTAAGGTCCCTTACTCATTATTGTGAGTTGAACTGTGTCACCCAAAAAGACATGTTTAAATCCCAACCCCTACCTGTGATACCTGTGAATGTGGCCTTATTTAGAAA
Organism: Homo sapiens; assembly: GCF_000001405.40. Classification (NCBI taxonomy): domain Eukaryota; kingdom Metazoa; phylum Chordata; class Mammalia; order Primates; family Hominidae; genus Homo; species Homo sapiens. Next base: position 110,827,630 of record NC_000001.11, on the reverse strand, counting down.
TAGCGTCTTTGCAGATGTAACAAAGTTAAGATGAGGTTGTAGGGTTTCCTACTATAATATGACTGGTGTCCTTATAAGAAGAGGAAAATGCTGTGTGAAGGGAAAGACATACAGGGAGAGCGCCATGTGACAACAGCAGCAAAAACTGAAGTGATGCAGCTGCAAGCCAAGGAGTTCCAAGGATTGCTGATCACCACGAGAAGCTAGGAAGAAGCAATAAAAGATTCTACCCAGAGTTTCAGAGGGATCATGGGCCTTGTGATTGCTTGACCTCCTTTTTAATGAAATGTATTATAAATAGGCAATTAATTGTTATATGTATTTATGGGTACAAAGTGATGTTATGATTTATGAATACAATATGGAATAATTAAATCAATCAAATTAACATATCCATCTCCTCATATACTTATTATTTTTGTAGTGAAAATGCTTGAAATTTACTCAGCAGTGTTGAAAAGTACAATATGCTGTTATTAACTATATTCACCACATTGTGTGATAGTTCTCAAAAATTTTATTTCTCCTGTCTACTTGAAATTTTGTACCCTTTGATCATCATCTTTCCATTCCCCTTACCTCCCATCCTTTGTAGTCACCATTCTACTCTCTACTTCTATTTTGATTGTTTCAGATTTCACATATAAGTGAGAACATGAAATATCTGTCTTCCTGTGCCTGGCTTATTTCACTTAGTATAATATTCTCCAATTCAATCCATGCTGTCACAAATGACAGAATTTCCTTTTATAAAAAAGCTGAATAGTATCCATTGTTAATATCCATTGCATATTTATATACCACATTTTTCTTTATTCACTCATTGATTGACATTTAAGTTGATTCAGTAACTTGGCTATTGTGAATAGTGGTTCACTGAACATGGGAATGCAGACATTTCTTTGACAAATTAATTTTATATAAGCAATGTACACTAACTGATTGCACCCCTGGAGCTCCTGAAAAATTAATTTTAAATATTTTGGCCAGATATCTAGAAGTAGGATTGCTGGATCATGTAGTAATTCTGTTTTTATTTTTTTTTAGGAACCTCCATGCAGTTTTCCATAATGGTTGTACTAATTTACATTCCCACCAATGTACAAGGGCTCTCTTTTCTCCACATCCTTGCCAACACTTGTTACCTTTTGTCTTTTTGATAATGGCTGTTTTGTCTGACAGGTATGAAATGATATCTCATTGTGGTTTTAATTTGCATTTCCCTAATGCAAATGAATTAGCAGTGTTGAACATTTTAGATACATCTGTTGGCCATTTGTATGTTTTCTCTTGAGAAATGTCTATTCAAGTCCCTTGCCCATTTGTAAATTGAGTTATTTGTTTTGTTGCTTTGAATTGTTTCAGTTCCTTGTATATTTTGAATATTAACCCCTTATTGAATGTATGGCTTATAATATTTTCACCCAATCGATAAATTGCCTCTTCACGTTGTTGTTTTCTGTGCTGTGCAGAAGCTTTTTAGTTTGATACAATACCATTTTTGCATTTTTCCTTTTGCTGTCTGTGCTTTGGGTAAGTTGAAAAAAAAAATTGCCCAGGCCAATGTTGTTTAGTTTTTCCCCTTTGTTTTCTTCTTGTAGTTTTAGGGTTTCTGGTCTTACATTTAAGTCTTCAGTCCATTTTGAGTTGATTTTTTTATATGCTGTGAGATGAACAGCTATGGTTAGAATATTTAGACTGCTTTCCTACTCAGGTGGTCTTTGCTTTCTCTCTTTGACAGAATGTATCTGTTTTCTAGTCCATTTTTCCATTGAGTATATAGGACATATAGGATTGGCTTTATGCACAGGCCTATGTTCAAACTCTGTGTCACATTTGGGTCCCAAACTGTATTTCCTGGCTTCATGTAGTCATCAAAAAACAAGACTCTTGTTTACTGAGATTGATTAATGTGCCAATAGTAGCTGTGACTTTAGCATCTACTCAATACTCTATTTTTGCCTGCTCTGTTTTTTATTTTTTTCTCTCTTTGAAGTGAGCCATGCACCTGAAAGATGTTATGCTTTTCTGAATCTAGAATGTAGGCATTTCTAGGAATTTTTAGGTGGAAAATCTTCTATATTATCTACTCCACTACATTATCCCTTCTTTAATGTGTTATTATAAGTAGATATTTGAGTTAGATTTTTCTGATAATTACAATCAAATGCATCCTAACTTAATCACCATGTCCTATCGTGATACTATCTTTCTTTGTAAGTGTTTCATCTCAGCTGCTTTAAAATTAACGTCTCCACTAATTAGTGAACTCTAGAGAGGATAGTGACGCCAGACAAGTTTGTTTCTCCTATACCTAACTTCCCAGGAATAACTGACGTAGAGATAACCTAAGTTACCACCTCCCTTTCCACATAAACAAAAGTCTTATTCCTAGGGGAAGAGCCAAGATGGTCTACTAGATGCAGCCAGGAGGAGGAGCTTCTTCCACAGAGACAGACCAGACCATTGAGGAGACCAGCATACTCAGAACAGATCGTTGGAAATAAGGCATTGAGAGTGGATACAGGGAGGACTCAGACTCTGGGGCTGAAAGCGGAGGAAGCTGGGAACCCTGCACAGGGTTGCTGACCACCAGCACTCGTTTTTAGCCCCAAGCCGCACTTAGGGAAGGGGTGAATGAAATAGGCATGGAGTGACCTACTTTCACCATGGACCTCAGTGTTTCTAGCTGCAGGAGACCCCATGACCCTCATGGATATTTGGGTTGGCAAAGAAAACTTCCTGGGAAGTTGGAAGAGACAGAACTTCAGTCTGAGTGGAGCCCAAGCATTTGGCATGGGAAGGGCTGTAGTGTGGCATGGCCATGGACGCCCATCCCCCAAGGCTCGCCATGCTCTTGTAGGTGGATTTAGCCTTTGTTAGCAGCCAGACCTGAAGACAGCAGGGCTGTCCTGACCACAGACTGGGGCCAGTCTGACGTAAATGCCCCAGTCTGCCAGGCTTTCCCATCATCCTGGCATGACAGGACACACTTACAGTGCAGCCATAGCTGCCCTGCTGAAATGCTTACCAGCGGTCACCACCATAGCTCTTTCACCAGTAGCCCCTGCCTTTCTGTCCCAGAGAATTTGCAGATGGACATCCGCTGCCATACATCCACCTGCAGCCTTCCTCCATGGGCGTACCTGCCTGCATTACTGCCCCCACCCGCCTTGCTGCCTTGCCAGAGGATATGTACCAGGACCCACTGCTACCCCACCAGTGTGCACTCACCTGCAGCACCCCCACTGCCCTGTTGATACATACCTGCTGGCATCCCCCACACCACCCCAGTAGGGCACACTCACTTGCACCCCCCACCCCACCACAGCACAGTATCCTGTGGCCCTCCAGCCCCCCTGCTGCAGCACTTTTGCCAACAGCACCCATCAGAGTGTTGTTCCCAGTAGTCTGTGAACACCGTGCCCCCTCCAGTGCAGCAGGTGCTGGACCTTGAGTGGACAGAGAATGAAGTTGTGGGCTGGATTCCAGCTCTCCAGTGTTAGAATATATAGCCCAGGAGTGCTGAGCTGAGCTGTGGCCCCCTGAAAGAATCCAGAAATGAGGCCAATTGATGGTATTCAACATGTACAACAATCAAACCCTCAAAGACATACAAAAAAAAAAAAAAAGCAAAAAGCCCCATCCAAAGGACAGTAACTTTAAAGATTGGAGGAACTTCAAACCACACAGATGAGAAAGAACCAGCACAAGAACTCTGGCAATTCTAACACCCAGAGTGTCTATTTATCTCCAAATGCCCATGCTAGCTCCTGAGCAATGCTTCTTAACCAGATTGAAGTGGCTGACATAATAGATATAGAATTCAGAATCTAGAGGACAAGGCAGTTCAACAAGATATAGGAAGAGGCTTAAACCAATATAAGGACAGCAGTAAACAACCAAAGAGTTGAAATGTGACAAAGCCATTTCAAGAAAAAACCAAATAGAACTTCTGGAAGTGAAAAATTAACTATAGGAATTTCATAATGTAATTTGAACCATTAATAACAGAATAGAGCAAGCTGAGGAAAGAATCTCAGAGCTTGAAGACTGCTCCTTCAAATTAAGACAGGCAGACAAATATAAATAAAAAATAATTTTAAAAAATGAGCAAAACCTCTGAGAAATATGGGATTATGTCAAGAGATCAAACAGATGTCTCATTGGCATTCCTGAAAGAGATGGAGAGACAGCAATTAACTTGGAAAACATATTTGAGGTTATTGTCCATGAAAATTTCCCCAACCTTGCTAGAGAGGCCAACATGTAAATTTAGAAAATTCAGAGGACTCCTGCAAGATACTCTACAAGGTGACCATCCCCAAGACACATAGTAATCACATTCCCAAAGGTCAATGTGAAAGAAAAAACCTTAAAGGAAGCTAAAGAGAAGGAGAAAGTCGTTTACAAAGGGAACCCCATCGGGCTAACAGTGAAACTGTCAGCAGAAACCTTACAAGCCAGAAGAGATTGGGGGCCTATATTCAGCATCCTGAAAGAAAAGAAATTTCAACCAAGAATTTGATATTCAGCCAAACTCAACTTCATATGCAAAGGAGAAATAAAATCCTTTTCAGGCAAGGAAATGCTAAAAGAATTCATTACCACCAGACCTACTTTACAAGAGGTCCTTAAGGGAGTGGTAAACTTGCCTGATCCATACCTGCTCCCACAAAGCACATCATGCTTTTGTACATAGCCCACTAAGTACATAGCCCACCGACACTATAAAGCAACTGTATAATCAGGTATACATAACAACCAGCTAACAACATAGTGATAGGATCAGATCCTCACAAATCAATACTGATCTTTAATGTAAATGGACTAAACACCCCCACTGAAAAGGCATAGAGCAGTAAGTTTGATAAAGAAGCAAGACCTAACTATATGCTGTCTTCAAGAGATGCATCTCATATGCAATGACACCCATAGGCTCAAAATGAAAGGATGGAGAAAGATCTATCAAGGAAACAGAAAACAAAAAAGAGCAGGAGTTCCTATGCTTATATCAGACAAAAGAGATTTTACACAAACTATGATCAGTAATGACAAAGAAGGACATCATATAATGATAAAGCATTTAATTAAACAATAAGACTTAACTCTTCTAAATATGTATGTACCCAACATTGGAGTACGTAGATTCATAAAACAAGTTCTTAGAGACCTATGAAGAGATTTAGATAACCACACAATAATAGTGGGAGACATCAACACTCCACTGACAGTGTTAGACAGATCATTGAGGCAGAAAAGTAACAGTAATATCCAGAACCCAAACTCAACATTTGACCAAATGAACATAGAGAAGTTTACAGAATACCCCACTCAACAACAACAGAATATCCATTCTTTTCATCTGCATGCAGCACATACTCTATGATCAACCACACACTTGGCCTTAAAGCAATTCTGAAAAAAATTTAAAAAAACAAAATCATACTAATCACACTCTTGAATCACCACACAATCAAATAGAAATCAATATCAAGATGATCTCTCAAAACCAGACAATTACATGGAAATTAAACAACCTGCTCCTGAATGACTTTTGAGTAAAGATAGAAATTAAGGCAAAAACACCAAAAGCAATGGCAACAAAAGACAAAATTGACAAATGGGATCTAATTAAACTAAAGAGCTTCTGTATAGCAAAAGAAACTACCATCAGAATGAACAGGCAACCTACAAAATGGGAGAAAATTTTTGCAACCTACTCATCTGACAAAGGGCTAATATCCAGAATCTACAATGAACTCAAACAAATTTACAAGAAAAAAACAAACAACCCCATCAAAAAGTGGGCAAAGGACATGAACAGACACTTCTCAAAAGAAGACATTTATGCAGCCAAAAAACACATGAAAAAATGCTCATCATCACTGGCCATCAGAGAAATGCAAATCAAAACCACAATGAGATACCATCTCACACCAGTTAGAATGGCGATCATTAAAAAGTCAGGAAACAACAGGTGCTGGAGAGGATGTGGAGAAACAGGAACACTTTTACACTGTTGGTGGGATTGTAAACTAGTTCAACCATTGTGGAAGTCAGTGTGGCGATTCCTCAGGGATCTAGAACTAGAAATACCATTTGACCCAGCCATGCCATTACTGGGTATATACCCAAAGGACTATAAATCATGCTGCTATAAAGACACATGCACACATATGTTTATTGCGGCACTATTCACAATAGCAAAGACTTGGAACCAAGCCAAATGTCCAACAATGATAGACTGGATTAAGAAAATATGGCACATATACACCATGGAATACTATGCAGCCATAAAAAATGATGAGTTCATGTCCTTTGTAGGGACATGGATGAAATTGGAAATCATCATTCTCAGTAAACTATCGCAAGAACAAAAAACCAAACACTGCATATTCTCACTCATAGGTGGGAATTGAACAATGAGATCACATGGACACAGGAAGGGGAATATCACACTCTGGGGACTGTTGTGGGGTGGGGGGAGGGGGGAGGGATAGCATTGGGAGATATACCTAATGCTAGATGACGAGTTAGTGGGTGCAGTGCACCAGCATGGCACATGTATACATATGTAACTAACCTGCACAATGTGCACATGTACCCTAAAACTTAAAGTATAATAATAAAAAAAAAGCAGATCAAGAAAAAAAAAAGAAATTAAGGCAAAAACAAAAAAAATTTGAAATGAGTAAAAACGAAGATATAACAGAATCTCCGGGACACAGCTAAAGCAGTGTTAATAGGAACATTAAACACCTACATCAAGAAATTAGAAAGATCTCAAATTAACAACATAATATCACATCTAGAGGAACTGGGGGAAAAAGTGCAAACCAATCCTCAGACCAGCAGAAGAAAATAAATAACCAAAATCAGAGCTGAACTGAACAAAACTGAGCATGCAAAAGATGAACAAAAACAAAATTCAGTTCATCAAAAGATGAACAAAATTGATAAATCACTAGCTAGATTAACAAAGAAAAAAGAGAAAAAGAGAGAAGATCCCAATAAACACAATCAGAAATGACAAAGGTGACATAAGCCTCAGCCCCACAGAAATACAAAAAATCCTCAGAGACTATTATGAACACCTCTATGTATACAAACTAGAAATCCCAGAAGAAATGGATGAATTCCTGGAAACATACAACCTCCCAAGATTGAACCAGAAAAAAACTGAAATCCTGAACAGACCAATTAATGAGTTCCAAAATTGAACAGTAATGTAAAAAGAAAAAAAAACCCTATCAACCAGAAAAAGCCCTAGAACAGATGGATTCATAGCAAAATTCTACCAGATGTACAAAGAAGAGTTGGCACCAATCTCACTAAAATTGGTCTGAAAAAATCAAGGAGGAGAGACTCCTTCCTAATTCATTCTGATACCACAACCTGGCAAAGACACATTGAAAAAAAGAAAGCTTCAGACCAATATCCTCAAATATCCTCAAAGCTTCAGACCAATATACACAAAAATCCTCAACAAAATACTAGCAAACCAAATCCAGCAGCACATCAAATAGCTAATTCGCCATGATCAAGTAGGCTTTATTCTTGAGATGCAAAGTTGGTTCAACATATGCAAATCAAGAAATGTGATTCATCACATAAAGAGAACTAAAAATAAAAATCCACATGATTACCTCAATAGATGCAGAAAGGTTTTGGATAAAATTCACCATTGCTTCATGTTGAAAACTCTCAACAAACTAGGCATTGAAGGAACATATCTGAAAATAATAAGAGCCTTCTATGGCAGATGCACAATGAACATCATACTGAATGGGCAAAAGCTGGAAGCATTCCCCTGGAGAACTGCAACAAGACAAGGATACCCACTCTCACCACTCCTATTCAAATAGTACTGAAAGACTGGACATGGTGGCTCATGCCTGTAATCCCAGCACTTTGGGAGGCTGAGGTGGGCAGATCACCTGGGGTCAGGAGTTCAAGACCAGCCTGGCCAACATCGTGAAACCTCATCTCTACTAAAAATACAGAAATTAGCTGGGTGTGGTGGCAGGTACCTATAATCCCAGCTACTCGGGAGGCTGAGGCAGGAGAATTGCTTGAACCCAGGAGGCAGAGGTTACAGTAAGCCAAGATTGCCATTGCACTCCATCCTGGGGGACAAGAGTGAGACTTCGTCTCAAAAAAAAAAAAATAGTACTGAAAGTCCTAGCCAAAGCAATTAGGCAAGAGAAATGAATAAAAGGCATTCAAATAGGAAGGGAGAAAGTCAAATTACCTTGCTTTCCAGATGGTTTGATTCTACACCTAGAAAATTCCATAGTCTTTGCCAAAGGCTCCAAGTACTGATAAACAACTTCAGTAAAGTTTCAGGATACAAAATCAATGTAAAAAATCATCAGCATTTCTATACACCAACAATATCCACACTGAAAGCCAAATTAAGAACACAATCTCATTCACACTAGCCACAAAAAGAATAAAATATCTAGGAATACAGCCAACCAGGGAAGTGAAAGATCTCTACAACAGAATGACAAAACACTGCTGAATATAATCAGAGATGAAACAAACAAATGGAAAAACATTTCATGGTCATGGATTAGAAGAATCAATATTATTAAAATGGCTGTACTACATACAGTAATTTACAATGTTATTCATATCAAATTACCAATATCATTTTTCACAGATTAAAAAAAAAAAAACTATTCTAAAATTCACAAGGAACCCCAAAATAGCCCCAATAGCCAAAGCAATCCTAAGCAAAAAGAACAAACTGGATGAATCACATTCCCCAACTTCAAACCATACCACAAGGCTATAGTAACCAAAACAGTGTGGTACTGGTACAAAAACAGACACAGAGACCAATGGAACAGAATAGAAAGCCTAGAAATAAAGCCACACACCTACAACCACCTGATCTTTGACAAAGTCAACAATAACAAGCAATGGGGAAAGGACTCCCTATTCAATAAAAGGTGCTGGGCTACCTAGCTAACCATGTGCAGAAGATTGAACCTAGACCCCTTCCTTATACCATATACAAAAATTAAATCAAGATAAATTAAAGACTTAAATTTAAGACCTAAAGCTATAAAAATCTCTTTAAAAAAAACCTAGGGAATACCATTTAGGATATAGGCCTTGGCAAAGATTTCATGATGGAGTCTCCAAAAGAAATTGCAACAAAACAAAAATAGACAAGTGGAACCTAATTAAACTAAACAGCTTCTGCACAGCAAAAGAAACTATCAACCTACAGAATTGGAGTAAATATTCATAAACTATGCATCTGACAAAGTTATAACATCCAGAATCTATAAGCAATTTAAACAAATTAACAAACACAACACAAACGACCCCATTAAAAATGGGCAAATGACATGAATAGACATTTCTCAAAAGAAGACATACATGTAGCCAATAAGCATGTTAAAAAATATTCAACATCACTAATCATTAGAGAAATGCAAATCAAAACCACAGTGAGATATCATCTTACACCAGTCAGAATAGCTATTAGTAAAAAGTCAAAAAATAACAGATGTTGGTGAGGTTGTGGAGAAAGAGGAATACATACACTCCCAGTGGGAATATAAATTAGTTTCCACTGGGGAAAGCAGTTTGGAGATTTCTCCAAGAACTTAAAACCAAGCTACCATTTGACCCAGCAATCTCATTACTGGGTGAATAACCAAATGAATATAAACCATTCTATCAAAAAGACACGTGCATCTGTACATTCATTGAAGCACTATTCACAATAGCAAAGACATGGAATCAATCTAGGTGCCCAACAGTGGTAACTGGATAAAGAAAATGGTACACATACACCATGGTTTGCTACACAACCATGAAAAGAATAAAATCATGTGATTTGCAGCAACATGGATGGAGCTAGAGGACTTTATCCTAGCAAAGTAATGCAAGATTAGAAAACCACACACCACATGTTCTCACTTATAAGTGGGAGCTAAACATTGAGTATACATGAGCATAAAGATGGGAACAAAAGACACTGGGGCCTACTTGTAAGAGGAGGGTTGGAGGAGGGTGAGGGTCAAAAAACTACCTATCAGGTACTATGCTCACTACCTGAGTGACGAAATCATTTGTACACTAAACCATAGTGATACACAATTTACCCATGTAACAAACCTGCACATGTACCCCCTGAACCTAAAATAAAAGTTGAAAAAAAAAGAAAGAAACTTTGGGAAAGGAGGGAAGGAATAAAGGAAGGAAGGAAGGAAGAAAGGAGGAAGCTTTACCCAACACAGTGATATATTTTGTGTCCTGACTCTTTATTGAACCCCTTGAATCTGTGCCTCGCCATGTGATTTGCTTGGGCTCATGAGTTGTTAGCAAACATAATACAAGCAGAGACTTGACAAGTGCTTAAGTAATTGGATTTGTCCTTGCTGTTTTATCTCTGCCATCAACATGAGAACATCTCAGGACAATTATGCTGAAGGTTGAGAAACAGGTGGAGCAGAAATGATTCATCTGCTAGCTCATATAAAGCATCCTAGATCAGCTAACAGACAGCTTACCCTTGGACATGTGAGCGAGCCAAACCAAGATTAGCAGAGTCACCTAACCAACTTCCAATAGGCTCCAGACGTATGAGCAATAAATGTTTCCTATTTAATGTCACCAAGGCTTTATTGTTATTTCTTTTACAGTACACTTTTGACACATTTGTGGCAACAGATAACCAATAAGCAGAAAAATATTGAGGGAAGTTTATCTTGTCTCTTTTTCCTCCATGAGGGTTTCCTTCTCTTTGCTCTCTCATAAATCGATCAGTAACAATTTTTAGTTATGAGTTACAGAAAAGTTATCTACATTGTGGTTAAACACATTTTCAATGTTTTTGTTTGTTTGTTTGTTTTTTGAGACGGAGTCTCTCTCTGTCGCCCAGGCTGGAGTGCAGTGGCGCGATCTCGGCTCACTGCAAGCTCCACCTCCCGGGTTCATGCCATTCTCCTGCCTCAGCCTCCTGAGTAGCTGGGACTACAGGCGCCCACCACCACGCCTGGCTAATTTTTTGTATTTTTAGTAGAGACATCATATACCAAAATATGTTTAGTTAAGTAGTTGCTGGCATAGGTTCAATGGCCTAACATGGTAGGACTGAGATCTCTACGATCTCTACTTTTCCTTCAAGATTACAAGAATATTCTACTTTAAATCCTCATATTTATGTTCTTGAAAGAAGGAAATTGGAAAAGAGAAGGAGGAGGAGGGGATAATATCAGGAAAGCAAGGTTTTACCAGAAATCCTCATCCAATTTTCACATATGATACATTGGATAGAACTGGGTCACATGATCATACTAGCTGCCATGGAGTCTAGAAAGAGAAGTTTTTAATATTTCAGCCCTTATCAGAGGAAAGCAAGATAAAATGTTATTGGAATTATGTGTTAAGTGAGCTGTAACATCTGTCCATAAAGGCATCAATCTGTTTGTATCCCATGTCTATTATCCTTTGTTTCTCCAGAAGTCTCATGTGCTTCCCTGAAGCAAACAAGGCACTTGTATGAGTTTGCATACAGGCTAAGCTCCTATAGTAAAAAGATTCCCAAATACAGTGATTGTAACAAGGTAGAACTTCATCTTTATCTACCACAACAGAGGCAGGTACATGGTCCAAGCTTTGTAGCTGGCATTGGTCCCTGATGTTCCCTCTGTGTTATTCTACATACTCCCTGGAGCGTTGTCCTCAACCACATGACTGGAAATAGCTCAACAGAAGCATACGTACACACCATCCAAAAAGAAGTGAGGAAAGGAGAAAGCGGAAGGCAAGCAGTGTCCTTTTAAATATTCCACATGGAAATCGCACACACACTGAGCTTACACACCACACTGTATTCACATGGGTGTGAACGCAATGCAAGGAGGGCTGGAAAATGTCATCTCTAACTTGTTAGCCATATTCCCTGGAAAATTTTTTTTGGGGGGGAAAGGTTCTGTTACTACTTGGAAGAATGGGAGAATGGCTGCTAGGGGACTTGAATTTAATACAGCAAAGCAACTAGTTCAGCTGTTTAATTTTGTCTTTTATTCTGAGTATCCTACGAAGTAGTTCCAACTGTTAATTTGCCTTCTCAATCATGAGTCATTCTTGCTTTTATTCTTCTTCCCAATAGGGTTTATTAACATTGGGAGATAATTTTGAAAAGTTATCTGCTCAAGTTGAAAGACTGGAGAGAAAGCAGATAATTTTTTGAGAACATAGGTGAACAAACTACATAAAAGATATTCTGAATAGGGTGTTTACGCATCCTATTCATAACATAACACTGAGCAACTAGATAATAGCAATCAAGACTACCATCCTCACAAACAGAAATCAACCTCATTCAAAATCAGTACCAGTAATCAAGCACATCAAACTACAGCATTCAAAACAAACATTTTTTGAGTATCTGCTATGTGTCTGGTTCAAAAGAAAATCAAACACCATGTACATATTCCTGTTATTACCCTTCCACACAGCTTTATAAATCTATTTAAAAGTCCATCTACCCAATTAGATCTTGAGCAACTTTTAGGCAGGGATTGGATCTTCTTCACCATCATGCTATCTCCGATACCTAGCACAGTGCCGAACACACAGCAGGGGCTCATTGTACATTTGCTAAATTAAGATGTAAATGAATGAACACACTGAGGATTCATTGAACAGGTATGATGGTTCTATTTTCACTGAGGGATTCTTATATACAAAGAAATATCAAAAAGCATATCCCCCAAATAGAAAAGTATGGATTAAAGAAAAGCATGAAGACATACGTAGTTGTCTATAGGAGCTAAAATTCTGATACACTCATGCTGTGTATACAGTTAAGCTTCACCGTGTAAATTTTATCAAGTCATTAAATATTTAGGAGTCTTTGTTTTCTCAATGGGGAAAGGAAATAATAATACAGATGAAAAGCTTTGTAAACTATAAAGCAATACAAATGTGGATTATTATTTTCATTATTGATAATTGTGTTATGCAAAATTAGGTGACAGTAGAAAGTCAGGACTGAAGCTAGAGGAATTCAGAACTTCAGCACTGGATTGACCTGTGCAACACAAAGTTTCACTCCAACCTTTTTGCAAATAAAAAATTGACTTATGACGTTATAGATTGACTGAAATTAGAGACTATGCTTTTTAAAAGCCCTCTCTAAAGTAGAAAATAAGATTACCACATCCCATCACCTAATGATAAGCACAATTAATATTTTGATGTATATCCTTTCATATCCTACTCTCTCTCACTCTCACTCTATTCTTTTCCCTCTGTTAGTGTGCACACACACATTCATACATACACCACATATATTCTTACAAAACTAAGATAATACTGTTCAATCTGATTCAGTGGTCTGATTCAGTGGTCAGTGGTTCTATGAGGGCATCAAAGACCCGTAGGAATTTTGCCCATAATTCTACTTGCCACAGTATCAATGTCATGTTTAGACTGGCTTTCTTCACAGGCTGCTGTGATGGCTGCAGCAGTGATTAAAGCCTTGTACTTCCCTGTGCATAGCCAACAGGCAGAGAAAAAGTAACCCCATCTAAATCAGAGAATGAGAGTTCTCTTTAATCTGGACCAACTGAAGTCCCAAGCCCGTTTAATGTTGTATAATTTGGGAATTTGTATTTATTAAAGAGATTATAATATTGGTTGCTGTTGGAAAGTCTTGTGGGATTATAAAATTTCTTTAAAAATCGGATTTCAATCTTATGAATATGAGTACACAAACTGACAAACACAAAAGGATTTTATAAACTTTATTTTCATTGAAGACTAATCTATTTGTTTCTGGAAACCGATGGTTTCTTGTCAATTACTCCACCTACATTTTTTCGTAATCTTCCCTGGAACGTAAGTGTCATCCCTAGCTTTACCTTAGGGAAAGTATTGGCCAGGTGCAGTGGCTCATACCTGTAATCCCAGCACTTTGGGAGGTCAAGGAGGGAGGATCACTTGAGGCCAGGAGTTCAAGACCAGCCTGGGCAACATAGTGAGACCCTTGTTTCTACAAAAATATTAATAATAGCATGGTAGCACACACCTGAAGTCCTAGTTATTCAGGACACTGAGGCAGGGGATTGCTTGAGCCCAGGAGATTGAGGCTGCAGTGAGCTATGATCATGCAACTGCACTCCAGCCTGGCCAACAGAGCAAGACCCTCTCTAAGGTAGAAGGAAAAGTAGAAATAGTTCTTTCTCAAAACTCTAGAGCCTGCTTTCAATCACTGGATTTGTTTAACCAAAATATGATTATACACAATCTGCATGTTTATTGCAGTGCAACTTTCATTTAGCTTATTATGAAGGTATTTTTCTCTCTCTAAACGTCCATCCAACCCCAGTTCCATGTGTGCTTGTCCGTTGAGTCTGTATTCATATTTGTCTTGGGAGCATGTACTAGATTTCCTGTTGATTCAAGCATTTGGTTCTTTTGAATTTGGGCAAATGTCTTGCATAGAGAGAAAGAATAAATATATTTCTCCTGGGAGAAGTGAAAACAATAGAGTCCTTCAAAAGAAGGGCCATACCTCTCTCCCTCTTACGACATTCTCTAGAAATAATTAATTGAGGACTCCCTTACTCTTACCATTAAGTCCTTTCAGTTTTACATCCAAAATATCTTATAAAAAAAGCTCCTTTCTCCCACCTGGGTTATTACTTTAGTACAAGACACTAGCCTTGGGCATTACAGCAGGTTCCTAGCTAGTGTCTCCACTTAAACTCTTGTTCACTGCAATTCTTTGTTTGGTAGTCAGAAAACAAAAATATTCTCTGATGAAGAACTGTCTATGACTTCTGATTATTAGGATAGAGTCTCAAATCTCCACAATATGACTCCACTGTAAGTCCCTCACCAGATGCATCATACCTATGCTCTTTGGCTCATTAGACTTCAACCAAACTGGCATCCTATATGTTCTTAAATGCACTATATTACTTTAAGCTTTAGGACCTTTTTATAGACCATTTTTCTGCCTTCAGTGGTCTTATCCCAAATTATTATTTGCTTCATGGTGTGAGTGTGTGCTTGTGTGTTTTTTTATGGAATATCTTTTCCTATCCTTGCATTTTCAAACTTTCTGCTTTGAAAGTGTTTTTGTAAGCCTGGCCAACATGGTGAAACCCCATCTCTACTAAAAATACAAAAATAGCCCGGTGCGGTGGTGGGTGCCTATAATCCCAGCTACCAGGGAGGCTGAGGCAGGAGAAACTATTGAACCCGGGAGGCGGAGGTTGCAGTGAGCCGAGATCAAGCCACTGCACTCCAGCCTGGGTGACAGAGTGAGACCCTGTCTCAGAAAAAAAAAAAGAAAATGTTTTGTAAATAGAATCTCATTAAATTTCTTTAGTATAGCTTCCTTCTCCTAAAGGCAACCACTGTTTTGACAGTTTGTGTAATTATTTCCTCGCTATGTTTTAAAGTTTTACTACCTAAATATGCATCCCGAAACACAATAGTTTCATGTTCGAGATTTATATAAATAAAATAGTACAATATGTACTTTTTATACTTAATGTTTTTTTCCCTCAGCATCTACAATTCTTACATGTTACTGTGTATAGCAGTACTGTTTTTAAAAAATATTTATTGTGTATATTTAAGATATACAGCATGCTATATGGGATGATATATAGATAGTATAATGATTACTATAGTGAAGCAAATTAACATATCCATCATCAAAAAAATCCATACCACTTTTTCTGGTTTTGTTTTTGTGGCAAGAACAGCTGAAATCTACTTATTTAGCAATAATCCTAAATACAGTACAATTTTTAGTAACTATAGCCCTTATGTTGTTTATTAGATCTCTAGACTTGTTCATCCCACATATATGCTACTTTGCATCCTCTGACCTAATTTCTGCATTTCCTCTCTACCCCCAACCGTGCCCCTGGTAATTACTCTTTTACTCCCTATCTTTGTATATTTGACTTCTAAAAACAGACTCCACATGTAAGTGAGATCATGCAACATTTTTTTCTTTCTGTGCCTGGCTTATTTCCACTAGAATAATGTCTTCCAGGTTTATCCATGTTATAGCTAATGGCAGGATCTTTTTCTTTTTAAGGATGAATAATATTCTTTGTGTGTGTGTGTGTGTGTGTGTGTGTGTGTGTACATATATTTGTTTATCTATTTGTCCACTGACAGACACTTAGGTTTCCCTATCTTGGCTATTATGAATAATGCTGCAATGAACATGGAAGCACACATTTATTTTTGAGGAGGTGCCTTTATTTCCTTTGAGTACATGCCGAGAAGAGGGATTGTTGGATCATATGGTACCTCTGTTTTTAATTTCTGTAAGAACCTCTATATTGTTTTTCATAATGGCTGCACCAATCTACATTCCTACAGTGATTTCCTCGCACCTTCACCAACACTTGTTCTCTTGAATTTTTGATAATAGTCAACTTAACAAGTATAAGAAGATATCTCAAAATGGTTTTCATTTGCATTTCCCTGATGATTAATTATGTTAAGCATCTTTTTCTATACCTATTGGCCATTTTTATGTCTTCTCTGGCAAAAATGTCTATTCAGATCCTTTGCCCACTTTTAATTGAAAACACACACAATAGTAGAAAGCAAATAATTCAAAACAAATACATTTTAGATATTAACCCTTATCAGATATATGACTTGAAAATATTTTCTTCCATTCCATAGGTTGTCTCTTCACTCTGTTGATAGTTTCCTTTGCTGTGCAGAAGCTTTTTATTTTACGTATTTATTTATTTACTGAGATGGGAGTCTTGCTATATAGCCCAGGCTGGTCTCAGACTCCTAGGCTCAAGGGATCCTCCCACCTCAGCCACACAAGTAGCTGGAATTACAGATGCATGCCACTGTGCCCAGTTAGCTTTTCATTTTTAAATAGTATCATGTATTTATCTTTGCTTTTGTAGCCTTTCTGGTGTGATGTTGAAATAAGTCACTGACAAGGCCAATGTCAAGGAGCTTTTTCACTGTGTTCTTTTCTAGGAGTTTTATGGTCTTAGGTCTTACATTCAGATTTCTTATCCATTTTGAGTTGATTTTGTGTGTATGGTGTAAGATAAAGGTCCAGTTCCATTCTTTGCATGCAGAAATCCAGTTTTTCCAGCACCATTTATTGAAGAAACTGTTTTTTCCCATTGTGTCATTGTAGTGCCCCTGTCAAAAGTTAGTTAACTATGTAAGTTTAAATTTACGTCTTCACTCTCTATTCTGTTCCACTGGTCTATGTGTCTGTTTTTCTACCAGTACCAAACTGTTTCGATTACTATCATTTTGTAACATAATTTAAAATCAGGAAGTGTGATGTTTCCAACTTTATTCTTTTTTCTCAGAATTGCTTTGGCTATTCAGAAACTTTTATGGTTTCATATAAACTTTTGGATTGTTTTTTCTATTTCTGTGAAGAATGTAATTGGGATTTTGACAGAGATTACATTGAATGTGTACACTTTGGGTAGTATGTACATTTTAATAATATTAATTCTTTTTATCTCAGAGCATAAGGTATCTTTCTGTTTATTTGTACCTTCTTCAATTTCTTTCATCAATGTTTTATAGTTTTCAGTGTACAGATCTGTCATCCCCTTGGTTAAATTTATTCCTAATTATTTTTTATGCTACTGTAAATATGTTTTCTTGATTTTGTTTTCATATAGGCTATTGCATTAGTCAGGGTTCTCTAAAGGGACAGAACTAATAGGATAGATTAATATATGAAGGGGAGTTTATTAGGAGAATTGACTCACACAATCACAAGGTCCAGCCATCTGCAAGCTGAGAAGCCAGGAAGCCAGTCTGAGTCCCAAAGCCTCAAAAGTAGAGAAGCCAACAGTGCAGCCTTGAGTCTACGGCCAAAGGCCTGAGAGCCCCTGGCAAACCACTGGTGATATTGGTGATATTGGTGATAAGTGATATTGGCCTATAGTCTTTTTTTTGTTGTTGCGTCTGTGACTGGTTTTGGTATTAGGATAATGCTGGCCTCGTAGAATGAGTTTGGAAGTATTTTTTCCTCTTTAATTTTTTTGAAGTCTTTCAGTAGAATTGGTATTAGTTTTTATTTAAATGTTTGCTAGAATTTAGCAGTGAAGCCATCAGATCCTAAGCTTTTCTTTGATGGAAGACGTTTTATTACAGTTTTGATTTCATTACTCCATATTGTTGAGGTTTTCTATTTCTTCATGGTTCAATCTTTGATGGGAGCTGTTTTATTACAGCTTTGATTTCATAACTTCTTATTGGTTTGTTGAAGTTTTCTATTTCTTCATGGTTCAATCATGGTAGGTATGTGTCCAAGAATTTGTCCATTTCCTCTAGGTTTCCCAATCTATTGGTGTATAGTTGTTCATAATAGTCTCTAATGATTCCTGTATTTCTGTGGTATCAGTTGTTATGTCTCCTTTTTTGTTTCTAATTTCATTTATTTGCATCTTCTTTTTCTCTTAGTCTAGGTAAAGGTCTGTCAGTTTTGTTTATCCTTTCAAAAAACCAATTTTTCATTTTGGTTATCTTTTGTTTTTTTTTATTATTATACTTTAAGTTTTAGGGTACATGTGCACAATGTGCAGGTTAGTTACATATGTATACATGTGACATGCTGGTGCGCTGCACCCCCTAACTCATCATCTAGCATTAGGTATATCTCCCAATGCTATCCCTCCCCCCTCCCCCCACCCCACAACAGTCCCCAGAGTGTGATGTTCCCTCTCCTGTGTCCATGTGTTCCCGTTGTTCAATTCCCACCTATGAGTGAGAATATGCAGTGTTTGGTTTTTTGTTCTTGCAATAGTTTACTGAGAATGATGATTTCCAATTTCATCCATGTCCCTACAAAGGACATGAACTCATCATTTTTTATGGCTGCATAGTATTCCATGGTGTATATGTGCCACATTTTCTTAATCCAGTCTATCATTGTTGGACATTTGGGTTGGTTCCAAGTCTTTGCTATTGTGAATAGTGCCACAATAAACATACGTGTGCATGTGTCTTTATAGCAGCATGATTTATAGTCCTTTGGGTATATACCCAGTAATGGCATGGCTGGGTCAAATGGTATTTCTAGTTCTAGATCCCTGAGGAATCACCACACTGACTTCCACAATGGTTGAACTAGTTTACAGTCCCACCAACAGTGTAAAAGTGTTCCTATTTCTCCACATCCTCTCCAGCACCTGTTGTTTCCTGACTTTTTAATGATCGCCATTCTAACTGGTGTGAGATGGTATCTCATTGTGGTTTTGATTTGCATTTCTCTGATGGCCAGTGATGATGAGCATTTTTTCATGTGTTTTTTGGCTGCATAAATGTCTTCTTTTGAGAAGTGTCTGTTCCTGTCCTTTGCCCACTTTTTCATGGGGTTGTTTGTTTTTTTCTTGTAAATTTGTTTGAGTTCATTGTAGATTCTGGATATTAGCCCTTTGTCAGATAAGTAGGTTGCGAAAATTTTCTCCAATTTTGTGGGTTGCCTGTTCACTCTGATGGTAGTTTCTTTTGCTGTGCAGAAGTTCTTTAGTTTAATTAGATCCCATTTGTCAATTTTGGCTTTTGTTGCCATTGCTTTGGTGTTTTAGACACGAAGTCCTTGCCCGTGCCTATGTCCTGAATGGTAATGCCTAGGTTTTCTTCTAGGGTTTTTATGGTTTTAGGTCTAACGTTTAAGTCTTTAATCCATCTTGAATTGATTTTTGTATAAGGTGTAAGGAAGGGTTCCAGATGATTGTATATCTAGAAAACCCCATTGTCTCAGCCCAAAATCTCCTTAAGCTGATAAGCAACTTCAGCAAAGTCTCAGGATACAAAATCAATGTACAAAATCACAAGCATTCTTATACACCAATAACAGACAAACAGAGAGCCAAATCATGAGTGAATTCCCATTCACAATTGCTTCAAAGAGAATAAAATACCTAGGAATCCACCTTACAAGGGACGTGAAGGACCTCTTCAAGGAGAACTACAAACCACTGCTCAATGAAATTAAAGAGGATACAAACAAATGGAAGAACATTCCACGCTCATGGATAGGAAGAATCAATATCGTGAAAATGGCCATACTGCCCAAGGTAATTTACAGATTCAATGCCATCCCCATCAAGCTACCAATGACTTTCTTCACAGAATTGGAAAAAACTACTTTAAAGTTCATATGGAACCAAAAAAGAGCCCACATCGCCAAGTCAATCCTAAGCCAAAAGAACAAAGCTGGAGGCATCACACTACCTGACTTCAAACTATACTACAAGGCTACAATAACCAAAACAGCATGGTACTGGTACCAAAACAGAGATATAGATCAATGGAACAGAACAGAGCCCTCAGAAATAATGCCACATATCTACAACTATCTGATCTTTGACAAACCTGAGAAAAACAAGCAATGGGGAAAGGATTCCCTATTTAATAAATGGTGCTGGGAAAACTGGCTAGCCATATGTAGAAATCTTTTGTATTTTTTTAGTCTCAATTTTATTTATTTCTGCTCTGATCTTTATTATTTCTTTTCTTCTACTAATTTTGGGTTTGGTTTGTTCTTGCTTCTCTAGTTCCGTGAAGTGCATCATTAGGTTATTTATTTGAGGTTGTTCTACTTTTTAAATATACATATTTATTGCTATAAACTGTCTTCATAATACTGCTTTGCTGTATCTCATAGATTTTGGTATGTTGTAGTCCCATTTTCATTTGATTCAAAAAATGTTTTATTTCCTTCTTAATTTCTTCATGACCCATTGATTATTCAGGAGCATGTTGTTTAATTTCCATGTGTTTGTGTGGCTTCTGAGGCTCCTCTTGTTATTGATTTTCTAGCATTATTCAGTTGAAGTCAGAAAATATACTTGATATGATTTCTACCTTTTTGAATTTTTTGAGACTTGTTTTTTGGCCTAAGATATGATCTATTCTGGAGATGTTCCACAAGCTAATGAAAAAAATGTGTGTTCTGGAATAGTTGGGTGATATGTTCTGTAAATGTCAGTTAGACCAATTTGTTCTAGTGTACAGTTTAACTCTGATTTTTTTGCTGATTTTTTTGTCCAGATGATCTGTTCATTGCTGAGAGTGGAGTGTTAAAGTTCCCTATTATTACTGTATTGCAGTCTATCTCCCCCTTTAGATTTGTTAATGTTTGTTTTATATACTTGGGTGCTCTGGTGTGGGGTGCCTTGATAGTTATAGTTGTTATATCCTCTTGCGGAATTGACCCATTTATCTTTATATAGTGACCTTCTTTGTCTCATTTTATAGTGTTTAACTTGCAGTCTGTTCTATCTAAGTATAGCTACTCCTGTTTTTTTTTTTTTTTTTTTTTGGTTTCCACTTGCAAGGAATAACTTTTTCTCTTCACTTTCAGTCTATGATGTCTTTACAAGTGAAGTGGGTTTCTTACAGGTAATACATACTTGGGTCTTGTTTCTTTATCCATTCGCCCACTCTGTGCCTTTTAATAGGAGAACTGAGTTCATTTAACTTCAGTGTTATTATTAAGTAAAAACTTATTTCTGCAATTTTGTTTGTTTTCTGGTTGTATTGTAACTCCTCTGTTTCCTTCTTCCTTTCTTAATGTCTCTCTAGGTGGATAAGTATTTTTCACTGATGTATGTTTTAATTTATTACTTTTTTAGTGGAGCTATTATACGTTTTGGCATTGTGGTTACCATGAGGCTTACAAACAAACATCTTATAGATATAACAAGTTATTTTAAAGAGATAACAACTTATCTTAGATCACAAAGAAAAGAATAGAAACGAAGAAAAAATGAAAAAAAAAACCCTCTACATTTTAACTTCACCAACCCAACATTCTCACATTTTATTGTCTCGATTTACATATTATTATATTGCCTATCCCTTGACAGGTTGTTGTAGCTATTATTGTCTTTAATAAATTTGTTTTTTTTAGGCTTCATCCTGGAGTTATTGGTGGAATACACACCAAAATCACAATAGTAGGTTATTCTAGGTTTACCTCTACTTAATTTTACCAGTGGGTTTTATGCCTTCAAATGTTTTTCTTTTGCATGTTAGTGTTTTTTCTTTCAGACTAAAGAACTCCCTTTAGCACTTCTTGTAAGACAGGTCTGGTGGTGGTGAATTCCCTCAGGTTTTGTTTGTCTGGTAAAGACTTTATTTCCTGGTATTTTTTATAGTTTTAGGTTTTACATTGAAGTCTTTAATCCATCTTGAGTTGACTGCTGTATGTGGTGAAAGGAAGGGGTCTGGTTTCAATCTTCTACACATGGCCAGCCAGTTATTCCAGCACCATTTATTGAATAAGGGGTTCTTTCTACATTACTTGTTTTTGTGGGCTTTGTTGAAGATCAGATAGTCTTATTCCATAGGTCTCTGTGCCTGTTTTTGTACTGGTACCACGCTGTTTTAGTTACTGTAGCCTTGTAGTACAGTTTGAAGTCAGGTAGTATGATGCCTCCAGCTTTGTTCTTTTTGCTTAGGATTGCTTTGGCTATTCAGGCTGGGGTTTTTTTTGTTCCAAATGAATTTTAGAATTTTTTTTCTAATCCTGTGAAAAATGTCATTGGTAGTTTGATAGAAATAACATTGAATCTGCAAATAGCCTTGGGCAGTAAGGCCATTTTAACAATACTGATTCTTCCTAAAATCTAGAAAATACTATTCTGGACATTGGCCCAGGCAAGGACTTCATGATGAAGACTCTGAAAGCAAGTGCAACAAAAACAAAAATTGATAAATGGAGGCAAAGAGCTTCTGCACAGCAAAAGAAACTATCAACAGAGTAAATGGACAATCTACAGAATGGGAGAAAATACTTGCAAACTATGCATCCAACAAAGGTCTGATATACAGAATCTACAGGGAACTCAAACAAATCAACAAGTACAAAACAAAGAACCACATTAAAAAATTGGCAAAGGACACGAACAGACACTTCTCAGAAAATGACATATACATGGCCAACAAGCATATGAAAAAAAGGCTCAATGTCACTAATCATTAGAGAAATGCAAATCAAAACCACAATGTGATACCACCTCACACCAGTCAGAATGGATATTATTAAAAAGTCAAAAAATAACAGATGCTGATGATGTTGTAGAGAAAAGGGAATGCTTATACACTGCTGGCAGAAATGTAAATTAGTTCAGCTACTGTGGAAAGCAGTTTGGAGATTTCTCAAAGAATTTAAAACAGAACTACCATTTGACCCAGCATTTCCATTACTGGTTACATACATAAAGGAAAACAAATCATTATACAGAAAAAAAAAAAAAAACATGCACTTGTATGTTCATCGCAGCACTATTCACAATAGCAAAGACATAGAGTCAAGCTATATGACCACCAATAGTGGACTGGATAAAGAAAATATAGTACATATATACCATGGAATACTATGCAGCTATAAAAAATAAGATTATATCTTCTGCAGCAACATGGATGGAGCTAGAGGCCATTATCCTAAGCAAATTACCACAGAAACAGAAAACCAAATACTACATATTCTCACTTATTAGTGGAAGCTCAACATTGAGCAGACATGGACATAAAGGAGGGAACGAAAGACACTCAGGCCTACTTGAGGGTGGAGGCTGGGAGGAAGGTGAAGATAGACAACCTACACATATGGTATTATGCTGATTATCCGAGTGACAAAATTATCTGTACACCAAATCCTTATGACATGCAACTTACCAATGTAACAAACCTGCACATGTGCCTCTTGAACCTAAAATAAAAGTTGGGAAACAAAGACTATCTCTTCTTCATATTTGAAGACTAGCTTTGCTGGGTACAGTATTCTTAAAAAGAAGGGTTTTTCCCCCGCTTTCAGCACTTTGAAAATGCCATTCAATTCCCTTACGGCCTGTATTGTTTCCATTGAAGAGTCTGCGGCCTGAAAAATTGGAGCTCCTTTATATGCTATTTGCTTATATTCTCTTGCTGACTTAAGGATCCTCTCTTAGTCCTTTCCCTTTGAGAGTTTTATTATTATATGCCTTGGGATAGTCTTATTTGGGTCAAATCTGTTTTGTATTCTCTGGCTTTTCTGTACCTGGATATTTATATCTTTCTCAAATTTTGAAATTTTTTTCTGTCATTATTTCTTTCAATAAGATTTTTATCCTTTGTTTTTGCTCAACTCTCTTTTGAACACCAATAATTCTTATATATAGTGTTTTGTGGTAGTTTTCTATATTTTATAGGTGACCTTTGGTCCTTTTTATTCTTTTTTCTTTTTCTCCTCTGTGTATTTTCAAATAGCCTGTTTTTAAGCTCACAGATCCTTTCTTTTGCTTGATCCATTCTGCTGTTGAGAGCTTCTGGTGTTTTTTCTAGTCCAGCAAATGTATTTCTCAGTCCCAGTATTTCTGTTTGATTTATGTATTATTGTTTCAAGTTTTGTTAAATTTCTCTGATAATTTTTTTTTGTTTTTTTGAGACAGAGTCTCTTTCTGTCATCCAGGCTGGAGTGCAGTGGTGCAATCTTGGCTCACTGCAAACTCTGCCTCCCAGGTTCAAGTGATTCTTTTCTTCTGCCTCCTGAGTATCTGAGATTTCAGGCACCTGCCACTGTGCCTGGCTAATTTTTGTATTTTCAGTAGAGACGGGGTTTCACCATCTTGGCCAGGCTGGTCTCAAACTCCTGACCTTGTGATCCACCCTCCTCAGCCTCCCAAAGTGCTGGGATTACAGGTGTGAGGCACCACGCCTGGCCTTTCTGATAAATTTTTGAACTGCTTTCCTGTGTTATCTTGGAGATAACTGAGTTGGCTTTAAATTACTATTTTGGATTATTGGTCAGAGAGCTCAGATATCACTGTCTCATTTGTTCCTTGCTTTGTCAGTCTGGGGAGACCATGGTTCCCTGTTTGCAGCTGTTTCTTGTGAATGTACATCTATGTCTTTGCATTGAATGATTAGTTATTTATTCTAATCTAATTTATTCTTCTTTATCTGGTTTGTTTTTGTTTTTATTGAACATGTTTTCTTAGAGTTTCCTTGTAATTTCCTTGTTGGATATCTTTCTTTTTGCCTCCTAGGTCACTGCCTCCTTTTTGGCACTGCATGGGACTTTAAGCCCAGGCTTACCTCAGCTCTAATAAATGGAACACTGCTTGTCCAGAATGAGGGAGGTCCCAAAGGGGACATCCTGGCAGTGTGGGAAGGTTGTCTAGGGGTTCGTGCCCAGGGGACCTGTGAAACAAACCTATAGCATGCTGCTGCTGACTATCCACTCTTCTTTGACATCTAGTTTGACCGAGTTACAGATCAGAGTTTTTAGGCCTAAGGTAGTCCTGTCTCTTCCATTTGTCTCTGGCTGTCCTCAGGGAGATTTCTCCCTTTAGGCACTCCTGATGCTTCCTGTAGGTGGAGGCAGGAAAAAGGTTTCTTGCCAAGGAAACTTGATGATGGGGAGTCTGGTTGTTCACCTCAAACTCACGTATTTGTGAAAAAACGGTGAGTTGGAGTAAAGTTTTTGGTAAACTTGGTGTCAAGCAGATTGGGGAGAGGGGTGTCATGAATATGGAAGTCTTGTTCTCTTATTGTCTGCTTAAAGTTTTTTCACTTCTCTATTGCCCTGGGAATGGTCTCATCTTCATATTTGAGTTCTGAGATACTGCGGATTGTAATCTCAGCAGTGTATCTTTGTTTTTAGTTTTCTAGGGGGCAGGAGGAAAGTAAAGCCAGCTTGTTTCTGCATCATGTTGGAACCAGAAGTCATTTTATGCTATTTCAAAGTCATTTTTTGTTTGATACTAGTATATAAAATCACAGTTGATTTTGTATGTTGTCTGTATCCAGAAATCTTGATAAGCTCATTTTTAATTCTAATAATTTATCTGTAGATTATTTTGGATGTTCTACATAATCATGTCATTGATGAATAATGATATATATTTCATTTTCCAAATGTATATTTTATCTCTTTGTGATGGCTAGGACTTCTGTTACAATATAGAAAATACTGATGTTAGTACTTATCTGTTGTGCTTTAAATATCAAAGGGAGAAATTTTAATATTTTGCCACTAAAGATGATTGCAGTAGATATTTGAGGCTACATTTTGCAGAGTAAGAAAATTCTTTTCTTTTTTTAAAATTTGCTAAAAGTTGTCATTATAAATGCGGTTTGAATTTTGGCAAATGCTTTTTCTACATCTATTGAGATATTCACATAGTTTTTCTCCTTTAAACTGTTAATGTGATAAATTTATTGATTTTCTAATGTTAATGAAATAATGCAACTTGATTGTGACCTAATAAACTTTTTTTGTGATTGTGACCTAATATCCTCTTTTATATTACTAGATTTTGTTTGCTAATATTTTTAAAAGATGTGTTTGCATCTATATTTATGAACAAGATTGCCCTTTCATTTTCTTTTATTTTCTGAAGGAAATACATTAATAGAAACTAGCACAATGTCTATCATTCCTCTAGATGTTTCAAAATTTACCCTGTATTGAAACATACCAGTAAAGCATTGTTTATCAAGAAGATATTATATTGAATCTTCTGCCATCCTTCTATTGGTTTTAGTGTGGTGTCATTGACCTCTCAGAAATAATAACCCTTTGAAATATATCACTGTTTGCTATAATGATGTTATCAAGAGCATGGTTTGTTATGTTAATTTTTAGTCTCTTTTTGAGGAGCTTCAGGAAAAAGTTTATCTATTCTTTAACACTAGAATAGTGTTGTTTTCTTGAGCTTTCTGTTTGTTTTCTTTCTAAACTCAGAGTGAATTATGTAATTTATCAAATTTTCGTCAAGTTTAGATTTGTCATTTCCTTTAGCAAGTGACTACATGGAATGCATTTTCAGCATTTTTTCTTAAAGAAATCATTTTGAATGTTGAATATTGAAAAAATTATCAGAAGACAATTTACTATCTTGTTATAAATATTTAAAATAAAAAGACTATTCAATTACATAAGCATTTTTAGGTCAATTATGGAACAGGATATGTTACGCATCTACTTCAAAAGTGTATTCAAAGAGTATCTAATATGAATAATGCATGTACCACTATGAAAAAGAGAAATGTACAAAATTGCATTGCATATTCCGCATGATCTCAAATATTTGAAAATATGTATTTAAAAAAGACTAGAGAGTTATGAACCTACGTCTTATTTATACTTGCTTGGAGATAATGGGTTTATGGGTAATTTGCTTCTTGTATGCTTATAATCAGAAGATAATACTTTTTAAAAAATTGAATTCAATACTATATTCACAGTATGACTAGGGCAGGCCCAAGGATGGAAGTTTGAACTACTGGATCAAAGAGAATTGAAGGCAGAGGACGATCAGTACCAAGGATAGCTGCCAAAAGCAGATGTTCTGGTTGTGGCAAAAAGCTGTCATCTTGAAAATGAGAGATTTATGTAG
Source organism: Homo sapiens (assembly GCF_000001405.40). Taxonomy (NCBI): domain Eukaryota; kingdom Metazoa; phylum Chordata; class Mammalia; order Primates; family Hominidae; genus Homo; species Homo sapiens. The sequence goes on along the minus strand of NC_000001.11, from coordinate 110,800,232 downwards.
TTGGCTATATATCACTAAAGCAATCTTATTATCAAAGCTTCCTTGCCTAGTTTTTGTGAGCTTTTTCCTTTGAATCCATGAAATAAACCTTATATCGTCAAGGTTTTTTTTTTAAAAAAAAAAAACAGGGAACCACATTTTGTAGTCTAAAAGTCAGTGGCAGGGAGATTAAACCAAAGGAAAATGTTGATAAACATCAATCAACATCTTGGGGAGTAGGGTAATTGTTGCAGAAACTTATCCCTCCTGCCACAGCTCAAACGCAAGGCTCAGATTTGCTATTTTAACCAGAGGCTATTCTAGAAGTCATTAGCTAGTCAGTTTAACTCCTTAATACATATGGTCTTCTTAGAATGTTATACAGGCCTCAATAACAACACCTTCATAGCTATTTTATTCTGACCCCTTGATAGCTATTTTCTTCCTTCTTTCCTTTCCTTTTTTCTTTTATAGTTACTTTCCTCCCTCTGGGGTCACTATGAGAAAAATATTAATGAAGCAGAGGAAACAAATATTTATGGGCTTGAAATGGAACTGCTGTAATGCTGATGTCATATAAAATGAGGCCAAAATTATACAAAAAGAGGCCAAGGTAAGCAAGAATTAAGTTTTATATTAACTAGACTTTTAAAAGAGTAAAATCTTATGAGAACCAGAAGGCCATCCGAATAGTTTCTCCTTCTAAAATAGGTTAGATAATCATAATTAACAAGGAAGAAATACTCAGGAAATCTAAAAAAATAAAATAAAATTTAAAATAGCTTAGACATCCCCTATGTCATCTCTCAACTAGGAGAACAACCTCAGGCTAAGTTTAGTGGATCAGAAAGAAACAAAGGAGCCTGGGGCTTTGTGCCATCTTTGATATATGGTATCACTTCTGGACTTCTTATTTCTAGACCTCTCATTATTCTAGAAAAAAATAAGCCCAGAAACGTTTAAAGAAACTTTAGAGAGTTTCTTCAACTCACCAATAAATGTGTTTATTTTAAGAATCTGGGGGTGGTCACTACTGTAAAGCATTGCTCTTTCTTAGTGAGCTTGGTTCATTAAGTACACAATGTTTATTTATTTTGTATTAATACTTGCTGTTTGGCAGGTACTGTGTGACATACTATGGACACAAACAAGATTGTGCTGAGCTTCTGGAAGTGCGCCTGCCCTGCCTCTTTAACTTTTATGAGTACTACGGTTTGGATGTGGTTTGCCCCACAAAACAAGAAAACCTGATAGCCACATTCTGCTCTATTCATCCACCAAGTTATTGGCTGTAGTGAGTGATGCATGTCCTGGGGAACTGGAGACCAGTGCTGAGTGAATCTGGTGACTTCACTGCCATCTGGCATGAGTATCAGAGGAATTATCTGGCCTGCTGCCACATGTCTAAGTGGATGGTATGTATCCATTTGAAATAAGAGTAATAGACTTTTCAAAGAAGGAAATGTCCTTACCTGGAACTGCTCGATCACTCACACTCCCTCAGGGACCAATATTCTTGTGATTTAAAGAAATTGCCCATAGAGGATTATATTTATTAACTCTCACGGTGTATAGGGAAGCAAATGAAATCTTAATTACATATACATTATCATTGGGTCATTTTCTCATTAAAACCAGGTAAGTCTAAACAAATCCACACTCCCTTGTTGTTTAACACTCAACTTTTAATGATGTCCTTCAGGTTTTCAGGTCAATTTAAACAAAGATTAAAGTACAAAATTTTTAAACAATGATTCATGAAACTTATTATAATTAATTGTCTAATTTCCCCCACCTTTATCAGCATATTCTAAGATTATCAATTGTTGAGAGCTGTCGAGTCTGCTGTCTCTTCAGACCATGCTATCCCAGGTTGAGGGGCGGAGATGTCTGGAAAAGATTGCCGCTTCTGTGCTCCCTTTACCAAACTTCCCTTTCTCATTCATAAAAATGGGGTAGAAAGGATCCAGGTAATTACCCTTAAGGGTTAGGTAGGCAGTTGCAAGTTTTCTTCAGCAGTTCAACCATATCAGTGCTCTGAGATGTCTTCTCAGAAATTCTTTGGATCTTTCTACGTTGGTTACAAGATTGCTGCCGAATCTCTAATAATAATAATAACCCCTTGAACAACTATACACAAAAGCAGAAATATACAGTCAAAGATTTCTCCACATACCTTATCAAAAACAAAAGTCTCCTAGAATTCCCACAGGAGACTACTCATGTGTCAGCCAAGATTAGGCCTATCTCTCATAAAACTTTTTATTTGGTGCCAGCATTGGAGTCTGGGGGCGGCAAGGCCCCAGGCTGCCACAGGACAGAATCTTCCACAGTTGGTATCACACAACAGTGGAAACTCTTACCCCTGGATTTAATGAAGCATTACATATTGGTAACTTTTGGGACCACCTTTGAAAACTCAAAGTTACAAAGCTTCTTCTCATATGAGGACCCATTTGTATACACCACAAAATTTGCCCTTAATTTCCAAAGATTCATTGACCTCCTACAAATTTGATAATCTCTGTTCTGGGGTTGTTGGCAAGTGTTCAAGGGAGTGAAAATACAAATTAAATAGAAGATAAAGTGTTAAGAAAGATCAGGCATAATTCTGTACATTCTTTCAAAGAGTACCTTATATAAAATTTGTCATTATGAGTCAGTAAAATTTAGTTGTTTCTCAAAGATATTTTAAAGTCACATTTACTGATATAATTTTTACACAGTGAAATTCACTGTTTGTAAGTTTACATGTTGATAACTTTTTAAACATTTCAACTTTTATTTCAGATTCAAGGAGTACACGTGCAGGTTTGTTACAAGGGTACATTGCCTCATGCTGAGGTTTGGAGTCTGAATGATCCCCTCACCCAAGTAGTGAGCACAGAACCCATTATGTAGTTTTTCAGCCCTTTCCCTCCTCCCCTTCTCTCTCCTCTTGCTGTCCTCAGTGTCTGTTGTTCCCATCTGTGTACCCTGTGCTTAGCTCCCACTTAAAAGTAAGAACATACAGCTTTTGGTTTTCTGTTCTTATGTTAATTAACGTAGGATAATGACCTCCTAATAATGTATCCAGGTTGCTGCAGTGCAGATGTTTTCATTCTTCCTTATGGCTACATAGTATTTCATGGTGCATATGTGCCACATTTTCTTTATCCAGTCTAGCATTTATGGGCACCTATGTTAATTCCATTATCTTTGCTATTGTGAACAGTGCTGCAATGAACATCCAAGTGCATATGTCTTTTTGGTAGAATAATTTGTTTTCAAATGAGATCTAATTAAACTTAAGAGCTTCTGCACCACAAAAGAAGCTACTGACAGGGTAAATAGACAATCTACAGAATGGGAGAGAGTATTTACAATGTTTGCATCTGACAAAGGTTCAGAATTTATAAAAAATTCAAATTTACAAGAAAAAAAACAAACCACCACATTAAAAAGTGGGCAAAGGACATGAACAGACACTTTTCAAAAGAAGACATACATGCAGCCGACAAGCATATGAAAAAAACTCAATATCACTGATTATTAGAGAAACACAAATCAAAACCACAATGAGACATCATCTCACAGCAGGCAGAATGGCTATTGATAAAAAAGTCAAAAATAACTGATGCTGGCAAGGTTGCAGAGAAAAGGGAACACTTATACACTGCTGGTGGGAGAGTAAATTAGTTCAACCATTGTGGAAAGCAGTGTGGTGATTCCTCAAAGACCTGAAAACAGAACTATCATTAGGCCCAACAGTCCCATTACTGAGTATATACCCAAAGGAATGTAAATCATTCTACCACAAAGACATATACACCTGTATGTTTATCACAGCACCATTCACAATAGGAAGACATACAATCAACCTAAATGCCCATCAGTGGTAGACTGGATAAAGAAAATGTTGTACAAATACATTGGACTACTACACAGCCATAAAAAAGAATGAGATCATGTCCTTTGCAGGAACATGAGTGGAGATGATGGCCATCATCCTTAGCAAACTAATGCAGGAACAGAAAACCAAATACCGATATTCTCACTTATAAAGTGGGAGCTAACTGATGAGAACACATGGACACAAAGAGGAAAACAACCAACAGTGGGGCCTACTGGAGGGTGGAAGTTGGGAAGAGGGAGAGGAGCAGAAAAAACAACTATTGGGTAGTAGGCTTACTACCTGAGTGATTAAATAATCTGTGCAAAAAACCTTCATGACATGAGTTTACCTGTACAACAAACATGCACATGTACCCCTGAATCTAAAACAAAAGTTAAAAAAGAAAAAGAAAATAATACTCTCTTAATTATTTTTTAAAGGAATAGTTTGTTTTCCTTTAGCTATATACCCAGTAATGGTATTGCAGGGTCAAATAGTAGTTCTGTTTTATGTTCTTTGAGAAATTTCCAAACTTTTCCACAGTGGCTGAACTAATCTACATTCCCACCAACTATGTATAAATGTTTCCTTTTCTCTGCAGCTTCACCAGCATCTGTTATTTTTTGACTTTTTTTTTTTTTTGTCACCCAGGCTGGAGTGCAGTGGCACAATCTCGGCTCACTGCAACCTCCACCTCCTGGGTTCAAGTGATTCTCCTGCCTCAGCCTCCCAAGTAGCTGGGGAGATTACAAGCACCTGCCACCACACCCGGCTAATTTTTTTTTTTTTTTTGTATTTTTAGTAGAGACAGGGTTTCACCATCTTGGCCAGGCTGGTCTTGAACTCCTGACCTCGTGATCCACCCACCTCGGCCTCCCAAAGTGCTGGGATTACAGGCGTGAGCCACTGCACCTGTCCCTTTGACTGTTTATTAATAGCTATTCCAACAGGTGTGAGATGGTATCTAATTGTGGTTTTGATTTGCATTTCTCTAATGATTAGTATTTAGCATTTTTTCATATGTTTGTTGTCTGTGTGTATGTCTTCTTTTGAGCAATGTCTGTTCATGTCTTTTGTCCACTTTTTAATGGGTCTATTTGTTTTTGATTCATTGAATTGTTTAGGTTTCTTATAGATTCTGTATATTAAACCTTTGTGAATCGCACAGTTTGTGAATATTTTCTTCCATTCTGTAGGCTGCTGTTTAATATGCTGACAGTTTCTTTTGTTGTGCAGAAGCTCTTTAGTTTAATTAGGTTCCACTTGGCAATTTTTGTTTTTGTTGCAATTGCTTTTGAAGACTTACTCAAATTTTTTCTTAAGGCTGATGTCCAGAATGATATTTTCTAGGATTCTTATAGTTTGAGGTCTTACACTTAAATCTTTAATCTATCTTGAGTTAATTTTTATATATGGTGAAATGTAGGTGTCTAGTTTCATTCTTCTGCATATGGCTAGCTAGCTATCCCAGCACCATTTATTGAATAGGGAATCCTTTCCCCATTGCTGATTTTTGTCAACTTGTTGAAGATTAGATGGCTGTAGGTGTGCAGCTTTATTTCTGGGTTCTTGATTCTTCTGTTCCATTAGTCTATGTGTCTGCATTTGTACCAGTGTTATGCTGTTTTGGTTACCTTAGCTTTATAGTATAATTCACAGTTGGGTAATGTGATGCCTACTGCTTTGTTCATTTAGCTTAGGATTGTTTTGGCTATTTGGGCTCTTGTTTGGTTCCAGATGACTTTTAGAATTTTTTTCTAATTGATAGTAAAAATGACAGTAAAATGCCAGTAGTTTGATAGGGATAGCATTGACTCTGTAGAATGCTTTAAGCAGCAGGGTCATTTTAATAATATTGATTCTTCCAATCCATGAGCATGGAATGTTTTTCCATTCGTTTGTGTCATCTGTGATTTCTTTCAGCAGTGTTTTGTAGTCTTCTCATAGAGATCTTTCACCTTCTTGGTTAGATGTATTTATAGGTATTTTATTTTTGTATGTGTGTCTATTGTAAATGGATTGTGTTCTTGATTTGGCTCTCAGCTTGAGCATTATTGGTCTATAAAAATGCTACAGATCTGGGGGAGCTGAGGGGTGGAGTTGGGGTCTTGCTATTTTGCCCAGGCTAGTCTTTGAACTCCTGGGCTTATGCCATCCTCCCACCTCAGCCTTCCAAATTTCTGGGAATACAGGTGTGAGCCACCATGCCCAGCCACTACTGATTTTTGTACATATGATTTTATAACCTGAAACTTTACTGAAGTGGTTTATCAGTTCCATGAGCCTTTTGGTGGAGTCTTTAATGTTTTCTAGGAGTAGATTATATGTTCAGTAAAGACAGAAAATTTTACTTCTTTTTTTCCTATTGGATCCCTTTTATTTCTTTTTCTTCTCTAATTGCTCTGGCTAGGACTTACAGTACTATGTTGAATAAAAGCAGTGAGAATGGGCATCCTTGGTTTGTTCCTGTTCTTAAAAGGAATTCTTCCAGCTTTTGCCCATTCCATCTGATATTGACTATGGGTTTGTCATAGATAACTCTTATTATTTTGAGGTATGTTCTTTTGATGCCTAGTTTGTTGAGGATTTTTGTCATAAAGGGGTTTGGGTTTTATTGAAAGTTTTTTTGGGTGTCTATTGAGATAATCATATGGTTTTTGTTTTTGATTCTACTTATATGGTGAATCACATTTGTTGATTTGCATATGTTGAACCAACCTTGCATCCCAGGAATAAAGCCTATTTGATTACGTGAATTAACTTTTTGATACGTTGCTGGATTTAATTTGCTATTACTTTGTTGAGGATTTTTGTGCCTATGTTCATCAGGGATATTGGTCTGCAGTCTTCTTTTCTTGTATCTTTGCCAGGTTTTGGTATCAGAATGATGCAATGATGCTGGCTTCATAGAGTGAGGGAAGATTGCCACTTCCTTGATATTTTGAAATAGTTTTGGTAGAATTTGTACCTGCTCTACTTTGTACATCTAGTAGAGTTCCACTATGAATCCATCTGGTCGGGGGCATTTTTTGATGAGTAAGAATTTTTTATTACTAATTCAATTTCAGAACTCGATATTGCTCTTTTCAGGGTTTCAATTTGTTCCTTATTCAATCTTTGGAGGTTGTATGTTTCCAGGAATTTAACCATTTTTTCTAGATTTTCTAGTTTGTGTAATAAAGGTGTTCACAATAGTGCCTGAGAACCTTTTGTACTTCTGTGAGATCAGTTGTAATGTTACCTTTGTTGTTTCTGATTGTGTTTATTTGGATCTTCTCTTTTTTCCTTTTGTTTTGTGTTGTTGTTGTTAAGACACAGTCTCACTCTGCTATCCAGGCTGGAGTGCAGTGATGCAATCTTGGCTCACTGCAAACTCTGCCTACTAGGTTCAAGTGATTCTTGTGCCTCAGCCTCCAGAGTAGCTGCAACTACAGGTGCATGCCACCATACTTAGCTAATTTTTGTATTTTTAGTACAGATGGGGTTTCACCATGTTGGCCAGGCTGGTCTTGAACTCCTGACTTAAGTGATCTGTCGGCCTCGGCCTCCCAAATTGCTGGGATTCCAGGCATGAGCCAATGCACCTAGCCTTTTTTCTTTGTTAATCTAGCTAGTGGTCTATCAACCTTGTTTATCCTTTTAATATCAACTTTTGGTTTTGTTGACTTTTTGTATGGATTTTTTGGTTTCAATTTCATTCTGTTCTGTTCTGATTTTAGCCATTTCTTTTCTTCTTCTAGCTTTAGGGTTAGTTTGTTCTTGTTTTTCTAGTTCCTCTTGGTGTGATGTTAGATTGTTAATTTGAGAGCTTTCTAATTTTTTCATATAGGTGTTTAATGCTATACACTTTACTGTTAACCCTACTATTGCTCCATCCCAGAAATTTTAGTATGTCATGTCTCTGTTTTTATTTATTTCAAAGGTTTTTTTTTTCTGCCTTTATTGTTTATCCGAAAGTGAATCAGGAGCCAGTTGTTTAATTTTCATGTAATTGTTTGGTTTTGGTATTGATTTCCATTTTTATTCCACTGTGGTCTGACAGTACAGTTGGTTTGATTTCAATTTTTCTGAATTTATTGAGGCTTGCTTAATGGCTGAGCATGTCGTCAATCTTAGAGTACGTTCCAAGTGCAGATGAGATGAATATATATTCTGTGGTTGCTGGGTGCAGTATTCCATAGATGTCTATTAAGTACAATTGGTCAGGTGTTGAATTTAAGTCCATAATTTCTTTGTCAGTTTTCTGCCTCGGTGATCTAATGCTTTCAGAGGGGTGTTGAAATCCCCCACTATTATTGTGACTGTCTAAGTCTTTTCATAGGTCTAAAAGTAGGTCTTTTATGAATGTGGGTGCTCCAATGTTGGGTGCATATATATTTAGGATCGTTAAGTCTTCTTATTGAATTGAACCCTTTATCATTATTTAATGCCCTTCTTTGTCCTTTTTGACTCTTGTTGGTTTAAAGTCCGTTTTATCTGATATAAAAGCGACCTCTGCTCTTGTTTTCTACTTGCATGACAGATCTTTCTAGAATGTATAGGTTTAAGGGCAGAAGGCCAAGAATTTTTGGCAGCCAAAAATGAGGATATGATACAGTCAAAGATCCATCCATTTATTCGTTGAACAAATATTTATTGAATATCTCTTATGTAGGTCAGAAAGTTGCTGGATAAATAAGTAACTGAATGAATTTTGGGCCTGGAAGCGAATAACCAACTCTGGCTTCATGAGCACAATTCATATGTGAAGACCAGGAAGAGATGACCTCAGAATTTCATGAGTGGCATCCTCAAACTGACCAGGAAAATCCCAAGCAGCTAATGTTCTGCTGCTTCTCCTTCTGCTGCACCTGTCTACTGCAATGCCTACTGTTTTGGTGGCATCTAGGGGATATCAAACCCTATCTGATAAGGATTTTAGGGAAGTCCAGGGAGTTGAAGTCTGGAGGATGCATTGAAGAAGTTTGGAGAATAGATGTGGCTTAGACCATCAAGAACTGTGGACTGTGAGTTAACCATCAGCCACTGCCCAACTTTTATAACACTTGCCTTAACATGACAGTCTCGTTCTTGTTGCAAAGGGTAGGCTCCATCGCCATCATCACCCCCAAAACACACACTTAGACTCCAGTTCTAGATTTTAAGAAAAATAAGAATTACAAGGACAGCCATCTATTTGTGAAAAATGTTGACAAATTTTTCTCCAGGGAGGTCAAACAATTTACATTCATATTAGCAATATACGAGAATGTCTGTTTCTCTGGATCCCCACCAACATATATCCAGCTTTTTATTCATGTTAATCTGGGAGTCAAATAAAATGTATCTTACTATATTTTAGGTTGCATTTAACTTATATTTCAGTGAAAATACCAAGAGACAATATAGAGAAGTGGTGGTGTCTATGGTCAAGCTGCCTGAGTTTGAAGCCTCATCACACCACCAGCTGAATGTATTTGAGAAAACTTAACCTCTCCATGCTTCAGTTTCCTCACCTATAAAATGGAGATAAGAAGAGGGCCTACTTCAACAAAAGGTTGTTGTGGGAATGTAAAGCACCAACCCAGGCACATATGACGTGCTTAATAAATACTACCTACTATGAGTGAAATTCGTCATCTTTTAAATTTGTTTAAGGGCCATCTAATTTCCTTTTCTGTTAACTCATTTAAATTTACTCATTTTCTTCTTGGGCTATTGGCATCTTAATATGTTTCAAAAATTAGCCGTTTGTATACGCTATGAATTGCAAATACATTTTCCTAGCTTGTAATTAATTTGACTTTGTTGGGGTGGGTTTATTTTATGTCCTCTGGTTTTTAATTATAGTTTGAAAGTCCTACTACACTCTGAGATTATAACAAGAAATACCCTGTATTTTTCATCAGATGCATGATGATACTTGGCATTCTATACTCTTTGTCTCTTCTTTTTCTTTTCTATATCCTCACCTCTGCTTGCTGCATCATGGGTCATTTTTTTTTTTTCAAAGAGCACTTCCATTAATTCTCTTTATTCCTTCTTTGGAGTTTGGTTTGCTCTAGTTTTTCTAGTTCCTTAAGATGCATTGTTACGTTATTTATTTAAAATATTTCTACTTTTTTGATGTAGTTGTTTATTGCCCTCTTAATACTTAACTTCCCTCTTAATACTGCTTTTGGTGTATCCCATAGGTTTTGATATAGTGTGTTTATATTATCATTGGTTTCAATCAATTTTTAAATTTTCTGCTTAATTTCTTCATTGGCTCATTGGGCATTCAGGAGCATCTTGTTTAATTTCCAAGTGTTTGTGCAGTTTTGAAAGTTCCTCTTGTTATTGATTTCTGGTTTTATTCCGTTGTGCTGAGAAAAGAAACTTGATATGATTTCAATTCTTTTAAATTTGTTGAGACTTGTTTTATGACCTAACATATGGTCGATCCTGGAGAACGTTCCATGTGCTAAAGAAAAAATGTGTATTCTTCAGCTGTTGGGTAAAATATTCTGTAAATGTCTGTTAGGTTCGTTTGGTCTAAAGTGCAGTTTAAATCCAATGTTTCATTACGGATTTTCTGTGTAGACGATCTGTTCAGTGCTGAGAGTGGAGAATTGAAGTCCCCAACTCTTACTGTACTAGATTCTATCTCTTCCTTTTAGATCTAATATTATTTGTTTCATATATTTAGGTGTCCCGGTGTTGCATGCATATATACTTATAATTGTTATATCATCTTGCTGAATTCATCCCTTTATCGTTATTAATGATTTTGTTTCTTTTTACAGTTTTGGACAGTTTTAGAGTCTGTTTTATCTACTGTCTTGCTCACTTTTGCTTTCTGTTTGCAGAGAATATCTTTTTCCATCATTTTACTCTCAATCTTTATGTGTCTTAACAGATGAAGTATTATGTCGTAGGAGCATATACTAGATGGTTTTCAAAAATCCATTCAGCCAGTCTGTTTTTTCTAAGTGGGGAGTTTAAGCCATTTATATATTTAAGGTTATAACTGATTGGTAAGACCTGCTGTCATTTTGTTAATTGTTTTCTAGTTGTTTCGTATATCTGTTGTCCCTTTCTCCCTCTCTTATTGTTTAATCATTGCAGTTTGGTAGTTTTCTGTAGTAATAAGGCTTATTTCTTCTCTGTTTTTCATTTGTGTGTCTATTAGTGATTTTATACTTTCGCATGTCTTCGTAATGATGATTATCATTTTTCACTTCCAGATATAGGAGTCCCTTGAGTATGTCTCATAAGATCAGTCTGGTGGTAATGAATTTCCTTTGTTTTTGCTTGTCTGGGAAAGACTTTATTTCTTTTTCCTTTTTTTTCTTTTTTTGAGATGAGGTCTCGCTATGTTGTTTAGGCTGATCTGAACTCCTAGGCTCAATCAATCTTCCCAACTCATCCTCCTGAGTAGTTGAGACTGCAGGCATATGTCACCAAATCTGGCTCTCCCTTATTTCTGAAGAATAGCTTTACTGGGTATAGTATTCTTGGCTGCCTTTTTTTTCTTCTTTCAGTACTTTGAATATGTCATTCCATTCTCTCCTGGCCTGTAAGATTTCTGAGGATAAATCTGCTGTTAGTCTAATGGGGATTCTTTATACGTGACTTGATGTTTTCTTTTGTTATTTTTAAAATTCTTTCTTTGTGGGTGCTTGAAGTCCTCCTACTTTCAATTTTCCCACAGAGTCTCATGAACTTATTGTGGCATCTGGGTCTTGAGGTGCAGGTTCACTGTTTATGGCAGGGTTGGATGTAATTTGCCTGCAGAGCCAGGATCTGTGACTCTGAGGAAACCCCTAGAAGCTTGGACCCAGAGAGTTTGGTTTTAGCTGTGAGTCTACCCCTGTGTGGAGGGTATATCCAACTCCAGGGAAGAAAAGGAGCTCTGGAGTTTAGGGTACAGAGAGCAAGGTATATCTGCAATTTGGGAACCTGGTCCAATGGAGCTCAGTGGAAACTTGGGTCCCTGGGGATGAGACAACATGTAGTGGTGACTCCGGGATGGCGGACTCAGTAGTATCCCAGACTCTGTGAGGCTAGGTGCAGCAGCAAGTTTTCATAGTGGTCAAACACATCTGTCGTTTGGGCCCTGGGGGTCAGGGGAGCAGCACAGTGACGATTGCATTCCCTGGAGAGAGGGCTTTCTTGGCAGCTCAGACTCCAGGAGACTAGTCTAATGCCAGGAAAGCAAGGTATTAGAGTAGGTTAGCCTGTAGGGTAGAGTGTCTCAGCTCAGTCACTGCCATGTTTCCCTGGAACATGGGGTACTACGTCAGCTCAGCCCTGAGCTGCTCAGGTTCCAGGGCACCAATTCCCCAGGGGTTTGTGTGCCACTTCAGCTCAGGCTCAGGCATAGAGGGTGGCTGTTCTGGGCTGCCAGGCACTATTTCCCTGAGACGTGGGGCTCTGCCAAGGCACTGTTTCCTCAAGAGGCAGCACATAGTTTCAGTTCAGGACCTTAGGGGCAGGGCACAGCCATAACCGAGAGAAGTAGATGGGGCTATTCTGCTAAAGCACTGTTTTCTTAGGAGGAAGTGTGCAGCTTCAGCTCCAGCTGAAGGGGGAGAGAGGAGGTGTAGGTGGTGCTGTTCAGCCCCATGGGCAAAGGTGTAACAGTTCCTTGAAGCTTGGCTTTGGGATGTTAGGCCACTGGGCAGGGATGGATCAAAGGTGGTTTAGCCTCAGGGATGGACAAGAGCCATGGCTACTCTCCCTTGGAGCAAGACACTCCAGCAGTAGTTCCAGTTCCGAAATGGGGTAAGACAGTAGCTATGCAGGCCACAGGGGATGGGGCCTAGTGGCAGCTCCTTCTCTGGGGGGAACACAGATTTGCAGACTCCAGGCAGCTCCCTCAGCTGGACTTAGTGCATGTGAGGACTTCAGGGGGACCCCAGTGATGAGAAGTGTAGGTGTCCAAAGAGTTGATGGCAGTTACTGGGATCCTCTTGTCTACCTTTGCACCATAAAAAGAGGTTCCTCCTGGTTTCTAGCTGATTCTGGTTGGGAGGTGGGGTGGTGAAGACCAGGTGTTTCCTTTTGCTCTCTGTGTGGTCAACCTCAGTTTCCGTGTTCACTGGGGTTTCTATTACTCCTTTGCCATACTCAGCCACTCTTCTTTAGTTGTTTTTATTAAAACATGATTGTTTGTGTGTTATTTGGCTATCTTTGTTGGAAAAATGAGCGCTAGAAGCTTTTAGTTGGCCATCCTGCTGACATCATTCTCCTCCAATTCTCTCTTGATCAGTCTACAAACCCATCTATTTAATTCTAAATTTGATTAGCTATATTTTTCATTTCTAAAATTTAGATTTGTTTCTTTTTCGATTTACTGACTCCTTTCCTACAATGTCCTCCTCTTGCTTTGTGAAGTTACCTTTCTCTTTCTCTTTGAGCTTATCTGACTTAAAGACTCTCCTTTTTTATTTTCTACTAACTGCAGCTGTTTGTATGTGCACTCTACCACTCCCTCTCTAATCAGTTTGTTTCCTTATGTGACTTGCAATATTTTTAAATCATGAGCTCCTCTTGAAAGAGAGTTGTTTTCCATGGAAGACCCTCAGGTCCTGGTACCTGGGAACAATCTTGTGGGGCAGTTTCAAATTCCTTTGCTGCGATTCTGTGAATTTCACTGGTTCCAGAGGAATTTTACAATGTATCTTGACTCTAGATTTCTATACTTGTGTGGTGTGCAATTTAGAGATCATGTATGCTGAACCAGCTTGAGGGGTTAATTTCCTTGCATTAATTTTTTCTATCTTCTCATGAGCCTATCAAGCTGCTTTGTGGTATCTCTGAGCTGTGAAACAGAGGAATTTCATAGTTTCCTTCATAAACCAGTAACTTCCAACTGTATATGGCTGGTTCATTTCCAGCTCTTTAACATGCAGAGGCCCTGGGTCTCATCAACCATCTCTCTGTTGCCATTAAAATCTCATCACCCTGACATCGAGTACCCTGAATGTACTCAACTTTGGCTCCATGCTCCCTTAAGTTTTGTGATCCTTCTTTATTTCTGGCACCTGAGAATGTTGCCTTCTTTCTTTACACAAGGCTCATATTTTAGGTAAAATTTTATTCTTAATTACTTTATCTGTTTTTGTGAAAAGGGAATTATACATGTCAATGCAAATCACTCTATTGTACACAAATTCCAGATATACCTTTACAAAATGCAAAACTTATCATATTGTTCTCCTACTTAATATTCTCAATGTTGTTTCATTGGCCTTAAGATAAAGTCCAAAGTCCCTTACCTAGGAAATAGTAGAGCAAAGCAGCTTAGAGCATGGCTTCAAGAGTTAGGATGATCTCAGTTTGTATCCATGTATGATTTCTCAACTATGTGACTTTGGACTAGTTAATGTCTTAGCCAGTTTTGTCATCTGTAAAACAGAGATAATTCTAGCACCTACTTCATACAGTCACTGTAAACTCTAAATGAGACAAGGTTGTGATCAGTCTGCAAGAGTGGAATGAACTTCCACTCCAAATTTGGTTCAGATTGATGATGCCAAACATGCACCAAAGGGTACGAAATGGTCCATGACTCATATAATAAGGCTTTCTGGGGAGAGCAGAGCAGGTCCAAGCAGGCCCAAAAATGGCTTGAGAAAGCAGGAAAAAGATACGTGGCTTGGCTTTATTGTGGTTTGGTATGAGGGTTCAGACTTGTAATTAAAGACAACACACATAAAACACACAGCATGGTGCCCACCATCATAGGCAATAAATGTTGGTTATCACAATAATATTGTTATCATGATTTAGAAGAATTTTCATGACCTTTGTAATGTCATTTTTCCCTATTACCCTCCTCATTCTACCCTCCAGCCATACTTCAGTTTTCTTGGATTCTTCAAGATAACATGGTCTCAGTGTCTATCATCTTGGTTTCTTTATCTGCAAGAACTTCCATTCCACCCTTTTACTTAGCTAGTTCTCAATCTCTCTTTAGGTTTTAACTTAAGTAGAATTTCTTTCAAGAGGTCTTTCCTGACTCCTCAACAAGTTTACACTCCCACCTCTGCTCTTACACACGCACACACACACACATTGTAATTCGTTTATTTGTACTTTTTCCAACTGTTTTGAAGGCTTTATGGCGACTGAATCTCTCAGACCTGGCACAGTGTCCAGCACATAGTAGATGCTCAATAAACATTTGTTGAATGATGCAGTATCTCATTTAATCCTCTTAATGCTGTAAGTCAGGTATTATTCACTTTGCCAATGGAAAAATATAAGCTCAGAGAAGTTGAATAATAACTGAGTGCCACACAGATATTAAATAATATATCAAAAAATAAGCCCAGATTTTCTAACCCTTCCCTTCATTAAACAGCATGTTTTCCATCTCTCTTTGTTGTTGTTGTTGTTGTTGTTTTTCTGGTTTGTTTATTTGTTTGTTTGTTTTGAGACAGGGTCTTATTCTGTCACCCACACTGGAGTGCAGTGGCATGATCACAACTCTCTGCAGCCGCAGCCTCCCAGGCATAAGCTATCCTCCCACCTTAGCCTCCTGAGTAGCTGGGACTATAGATGCATGTCACCTTGCCCAGCCAATTTTTTAAATTTTTTGTAGAGATGGGGTCTGTCTTCTGTCTCTTACTGCATCCATTATAATTAAGGTAGACGAAGTAGAAATAAAGTGGATTCCCACCTAAATAGTGGGAATTGAGAGAAACAGGAAGGCTTCTTATCAACTTGCTCCCTCATCAAGAACTGATACCAACATTTTAGCTTAGAAGTTTATCCATTAGTTTACATTAACCTACATGAATGCCCCTTGGTAAGGAGAATACAAAGATTACTCCCAGTTATCAAAGTTTCCAAATTTTATTTATTCATCTCTTCAGATTGACTCCCCAAACCCTGAAAACTCTTGCTCCAACCCACCTGTTCAGCTGTCCCCAACCAGTCTATCCCTTGTCCTGCATTGCTCACTGCCCCTTCACACTTCTGTGCATTTGTCCTTACCCTTCACTCTGCCTAGTGGTTTATTTTTATTTTTATTTTTTTGATGGAGTCTCACTCTGTCACACCAGGCTGGCATGATCTCAGCTCACTGCAACCTCCGCCTCCCAGGTTAAGCTATTCTCGTGTCTCAGCCTCCCAAGTAACTGGGACTACAGGCACAAGCCACCACACCTGGCTAATATTTTTGTATTTTTAGTAGAGACGGGGTTTCGCCATGTAGGCCAGCCTGGTCTCCACCTCCTGACCTCAGGTGATCTGCCCGCCTCAGCCTCCCAAAGTGCTGGGATTACAGGTGTGAGCCACTGTGCCTGGCTCTGCCTGGTATTTTTTTTCTGCTTTCTTCATCTAGAAAAACAACTCGTGATTCAAGAAGACAGCCTCTATTTAACCTCTATTAAATCTCCACAAAAATAATGCATACCCAGGAACCTGAGACCTCTACAAAACAAGGCAATGATGCTCAGCATCATGGTTACTGCCCAGTTAGGGCTGCTCCTTTCAAAACCATGGATGGATTCCACCATTTACTTTGTAGCCTGAATTTAACAATCAAAAAACCCCAAAACTCTCTGTCCCAGGCTCTGAATCTCTTATACAGCCAGTTTCCTTTCCTCTGTGTCACCTAGAAGAATATCTTAACCATTCGCAGAGAAAGCAGCAATGAATGGACATACCAAGGCAATAATAAAAATGGACTTGTAACCAACACAATTTTATTCCTGGAGAATCATCCTCACCGTGTGTCACAGCTGGATAACTTGTGCTTAGGAAGGGGTTCTTCCCTGGAAAAAGGAGGAAGATGCAAATCCTATGAGCAACTGGGATCCCATCTTTGTGTTGGTCACCAGTCTTTCACTCTCAGGTTTTTACCTGTGATGATCAAAAGGGAAAAGCTCCTGCACTTCCCCGTATACACCACATGAGGGCGACAGAGTCAAACCAGACCAAGCAGCAGCAGGAAAAGGGCAGTGATGAAGGTGAACCCTGCTTGAGGCTGGCAGTTCTGTAGTCTCATTCACATTGCTCTGTTCTTTCCTTATCTTCCAGGACTTGGGCAACGTGTCCTCCACACTGAGTCTGGGCTAGAAATACCTCTCTCTAGGTTGGGATTTTCCCATAAAATAATGAGGTATTGTCTGTTTGTTCCTATAAGGTTTTCTAGGAGAAAAGCAGAAAAGGCCTAACTTCCCTCTAAGATTGTCTGGAGTAATAGATCTAGATATGTGTATGCTCTCCAGTCTCCTTTCCGACTCTAACAAAGGCTCTGGCAGTATGGCACAGTGGTCAGGAGCCCAGGTCAGGAGCCGGATACCCTGGGTTCAAATTCCAGCTCTATCACCTACTGGCTGGGTGACCTTGGGAGAGTTACTTAACCCATCTATGCCTCAGTTTCTTCTGCGAAGTGGCTGTGATCGTAGTACTTACCTCATAAGGGAGCTCTGAGGTCTAAAGGCACTCAGCTCAATAGTTGGTAAGGACACAAAATTTGTCTGCATGATTATGACTTTCTCCCCCCCAAAAAGTAATTCAAATATCAGAATCCTATCAATGGTCCCCTGGTGGAGAACTGCTGGTCCAGGACAGGCATCCTGAGGATTTTTTTATTCCTCTTCTCTTATTCCTTCTCTTCCTTCTGACCCAGAAAAACGCCATAGCATGGAGGTTAAGAAACTGGACATTGAAGACAAACACACATTATCTGAAGTAAAATACTTGTTCCATTCTCGGTGTGACCTGGAAAAGCAATTTAATCTTTAGTGCCTCAATTTCCTTATCTGTGAAATGGGGAGATTATGATAACAATTATGCCTCATAGGTATATTGTGACTATTACATGAGATAGTGCATGGAAAGCTCTGATAATAGTGCTTGGCATATTGTAATTGCTCATTAAATGTTAGCTATTATTGCTATTCATCCTACATTCCACAAGCATTTACTATGCACCAACCAAGCACAAAGAACTCTTAGACACCGGTCACTATTAAAACAATCCCTATTCTTAAGGAGGTTAAGAGCTTCCAAGTTAAGATTTGCCAAGCCTTGATTCACCTTGTGGAAGCCACGGTTACTATGACCTTGTTTGGAAAGACAGGCACTCAGACAGGTCCATCTCAGATGATCCTTTCCTTGCAGAATCTGTTTCAGAAAGGCCACTCCGCCTTGGACCTCTTCCTTTGTGGGATCCAGGAATCCTATGGTTTCCTCAGGCAGTTCTGGCCTCTAACTCTAATTACCTCTCTGTACCCAGGCTCTCTGACTCTACTGACCTACTGTTTTGTGTCAGGAGAAATAGTAGAAACAGGATACGAGAGTAGTTTCGAGGTGTTATAGCTCAAATGCTAGATCTTCTGCTTCTATCTAGTAAGCTGTTTAACCTCTCTGAGCCTGTTTCCTCATCAGTAAAATGGAGTAGAACATTACCTACCTCATAAGGCCGCTGTAAGCATTAAAGGAGTAAGCATATGACAGTAGGTTAGAGTATTGCCTGGCAGGAAGAAAGCACACAGAAGAATTTGCTATTATGGATATATTTTTTCAATTGACAAGTAAAAATTATATGTATCTGTTATGCGCAATGTATCTTGATATATGAATACATTGTGTAATGGCTAAATCAAGCCATTTAACATGTCCATTGTCTCACATACTTATGTTTATGTGATGAGAACATTTCAAATCTACTGTCTCAGCAATTTTTAAGTATACAATATATTATTATTAATTTCAGTCACTGTGATGTACAATAGACCTCTTAAACTTGTTCCTTCTAACTAAAGTTTTGTGTTTGTTTACCAAAATCTCCTGTAATAATAGTTATGGTTATTAACTTCAAAGCGAGTCAACATAGCATGGACTCTACCTGACCTACCTGCAGAAGTCCTCCCACAAGTGTGGCTAATGATCCTGTTCTTTCAATTCACCAGTACTCTTCTCTGACACAGTTTGACAAGGCCTAGTCCTAGGGGACAGCAGAAGAGAAATATCGAGGACCAAGGGGCTGGAGGAAGGTAGAAAGAAGTGGCCACATAAACTCCATTAGCAGAAACATTCAGCTCTTTCCAGCCCCGTGGGACCTCAGGAGCTAGATGGAACCATTTCTTTAGGGAAAGCTGGCAGTTGTTTACACAACCGCAAGCTGAGCGTCCAGGTGACCAGTCCAGCGTTTTCTCCCCACCACCTCCCTGCACACTTCTCTTTTTCCTCTTTGCAGAAAGTCAGTGGGAACAAGACCCTTTCCTAGAGGATTTCAAGAGCCCAGCTCAGATTTGGGGCTTATGTCTCTGATGCTTACGTCTCTGATGCTCTTGGAACCAGGCCAAGAAGACGTGGTCATTTCTACCTCTTACCACCAGAGGGCAGCGCTTCACCACAGAGACCCTTGAGCCGCCAAACACCTCACCGTGTGCGTGGAGAATCCTCCCCAAGGCCTGGACGCAGTTCTTCCTATTCCGTTTCCCCGAGGTTTGGCCTAGGATCTTGGACAGCACTTTATAATTACAGACATTCTGCCTGCTTAGGCCTCTCACCCCAGTCTGTGCCCCCGCAGGTGTTCAGACATTTCTGTTGCCTGATGAGGAGAAAATGGGCTGAGGGAAGGGGGCGGAGGAACAGCGCCATCGGCCGGGCAGGACCCAGGCTGGATTCACTCCCGTCGCCCCTGCGAATTGGGCGTGAGCATTTGATACAAAGGACGGGGAAGGAAAGCGACCCAAGGTGAGGGGCTGCTCCTCTCTGCAGCGCTAGAGCTTCACGTTTTAGACCTCCTCAAAGCCTGCGCTCAAGCTGAGGGCCCGCTTCACGGAGGATTTCGTTGTAGAATTTGGGACAGTCCTTCATTCGCTGGCATAAAGTGGCATAATTCCTAAAATCGCATCCCCACGTGCCCAGTCCTCCTCATGTAGTGTAGCTTTTAAGTCATGTTGATCATGGGAACAAAGATCAGAGTGGAGTTTGGGATGGAAGGTCAAGGAGTCTTTGTATTCCAGGGCCTCTGAAGGGGTTTCCTAGGTGGGGTTATCTATGGCGGTGCAGAGAAGGCCCAGAGTGGTCCCCGCACAGCTGACATCACTTTCTGGCCTCATCACTGTTACTACAGACCTTGTAAGACAACACCATTACCCCTGGCAGGTGCAGGGTGAAGAGTGTCGGGCTAGGACACAGGAGCCTAGGTTCTAGCTCCAGAGCTGCCCTTGCCTGGCAGCGCTATTCTGGGGACCTTACAAAGCCTGTCTGGGCTTTGGTTTCTCAGATTTGAAAGTAATGGCTCCTGTCAAACGGCAGCCCCTAATGGGAAGGGTTTTTTTGTTTGTTTGTTTGTTTTTAAACAAAACCTGGAATTTGTACCATTTCTAAATGCTAGCTGCTCAAGCCTTAGGAAGGTATATGAATGAAGAGTGGGGAACAGAGATTGGCTGAATGGAAGCTATCTGCCAAGGTCATGGAAAGAGTGTGAAATGTCAGATTAGTCTGATTCTGCTCTCCGCTCTCAGACACACACACACTTCCCATTCACAGAGTTTAATTAGTTTCTGCTGGCACAGAAATGTAGCACATCTGGAATGTTGTAGACTGCTCTGCGTTTAGTATATTATTAACCTGCTATGCAATCACTCTTGTGATCACCTTCAGCAAGGTAGGAAATCTCTGGCAGGCACTCTCAAGGGCAGTGACTTCAACACATTCATGCCTACCCCACCCTCAACACATTTTTGGGTCATTTGTTTCCCCACACGGCCATGGGCAAATCTCTTACCCTCTGTGGCCATCATGTGTAAAGAATTTTTTTTTTTTTTTAGACAGAGTCTTGCTCTGTCACCCAGGCTGGAGTGCAGTGGTGTGATCTTAGCTCACTGCAACCTCTGCCTCCTGGGCTCAAGCAATTCTCCTGCCTCAGCCTCCCAAGTAGCTGGGACTACAGGCACCCGCCACCACTCCCAGCTAATTTTTGTATTTTTAGTAGAGATGGGGTTTCACCATTTTGGCCAGGCTGGTCTTGAGCTCCTGACCTTGTGATCTGCCCCCCTCGGCCTCCCAAAGTGCTGGGATTACAGGCGTGAGCCACCATGACCAGCCTGTTTAAAGCATTTTTAAATTGGGAACCGGAATAAAGTTCTGTTCTTCTCCCTTGAGATCAGGGAGCACTTCTCCCTTGCTTCTTCTCTTGCTACTCTCTCCCTTCTCCTTTTTCCTTCCTTCCACATCCCCAGAAGCATGATTCTATACTCCAGCCATTCTGAACTTCTTGTTTTCCCTAGCATAGCCAGTCTTTCTTGCCCTCAGTACATACAGTACCCTCTGCTTTGAATTCCTTTTCTTAAAACCTGTATTTTCCAACTAACTCCTACTCATCTTTCAGGACTCAGCTCTGACATCACCTTCTCGAGGAGGCTTCCCTTCCCTCTCTCAACCTTACTTCCCAGTTTGGATATTTCTTCTCAGTGCACCCAAAGCACCTGTACTTCTCCATCATAGACTGTGATTGTCTAACCAAGTTCTCTCTCTCTTTGGACCATTGGCCTTTATTCATTTGTGCACCTCCAATGCCAAGCACAGGGCTCTGGTCTCCATCACACTGTCTTTCCTGCTGGGTTCATGTTTTAGTATCGAATTACATGCTCCTCACCCAAATCCTGCTCTTGATGTCAAGTAGAAAGTCATGGCTGTGCTCTTAGATACTCCAGCTTCTGTGGCAAGACTGTGCTCCTGAGAAGCAAGGTTTTTAGTCTCCATCCCAAAAGCTGGAGGTATTTGTAAATCAGTTCTGTGAGCACCAGAAATTTCCCAAGAAGAGGAAAACCACATCCATGTTATAGGACTAGATAGTGTGCAGGGAGATTTCCTGTGCCCTTTAACACGCCAGACTAGCCTCAGATAAGATTATCTTTATTGATAGATTAGGAAATTGAGGCCCCAGGAGGGACTGACTCAGGGTTTCAGAGACAAGAAGTAGCAAAACTGTGACTAGAAATCAGGCAGCTTCGGTTCCTGGCCTTCAAGCCAGGGAGAATATTGCTTCCTCACTTTTCCCCCCACCTCCTGCCTACCTCTTCAGATGACAGTATGCACATTGTGCCTACTGAAGCCCCAGGAGGAGTCACAAAGCAGACAGCTCTGCAAGGGCCTGCCCTCTGTGGACTCGGGGAAGAACACTGTGTACTCTTCCCCTCTCCATCTCAGCAATGCATCAATCCCAGACTTGGAAAAATCAGTGTTGGCGAGGACAGGAGAAAGATATGCTCAGATACATTTGTCATTTGAGGTGCCTTCAGACATACTCACCCAGTAGCAGCCCTTTTAGCCTCTGTTCCCCATCAGAGCCACGTACCCAAACCAGAGCAACTGCTATGAGTAGGGCTGAATGTGGACATTGGAATGGCAGAATGCCAGGGTCAGAGGGATCTTAGAGGATCCTATCCAACTCCCCACTGCACAATTGAGGAGTCTGAGGCCAGGAGGTGAGTAACTGCTCAAGATTACGCAGCTGGGTGGTGACAGGGCCAGAACATGAATTCAGGTCATGGGATGCCATTCCCATCCCCTCAACTCTGGCTCACAGTATGCAGGTATAACTCAGTGCCAGAAGGACTCCTTTCTTTCCCCTACACCATCGTGCCCAGCGCACCTCTATCAGAGTTCAGTGCTTTCAGGGAAGAAGTGAAGAATAGTGGTTTAGAACACACACTTAGGGTCAGGTGGATCTGAAAGTGTGAACTGTTCTTACAAAAAAATTACTTGTCTGTTTGCAGTTTATCTGTGAAAAATCACACCATGTGCCAAGGACTGTTTTAATTACATGCATTAACATCTAAAATCATTAAAACTCATGCCACTGGTGCTATTGCCTATAGTAACTTTAGGCACAGAGAGGTTCAGAAACTCGCCCAAGGTCATACACTCAGGAAGGGGCAGCAGCGGGCAGTGAACCCAGGTGGTGCAACTCTAGAGCCCGTGCTTTAACTACTGTGCTGTTGTGTGGCACACCAAGATCCCTGCACTCCTACTCACCCAATCTGGCAAACACAAGTGCCTGCTTGCAGATGACAACACAGATCATCATGCCTACTCAGCTGCTTGCCAGACAGTTGGTCAGGGTCTCCCATTGCTGGTCAGTGGGTAGAGAGAAAAGGAAAGCCATGAGTCAATTTGGCTTCTCTAAGGCGCCACAGACTGTGTTGCTGTGTTCCTCCATAAATGTAAATTTACAACACATCCTTTTATCACAGTCTGGTTTGCTTTAGGCTGCCTTATTTCTGAAGCTGAAGGACACAGTGGTATTTGGACACATCCAGGAAAGGCCTGGCAAATGGTGACTGCTTTTGACCCCAAAGAATCCCACAGTAATTTGGCTCCACAGTGAAAAGTGACCCAGGCTGGGTACTCTCAAACATCCCTCCACCCAGCATATTAATTATTCATAATGTCCTTAAATACTCTTCTGTGATGAAATGTTAAGTGACACATTAAATATTCATCATGATGCATCTAACACAGGGCCAAGGGTAGAATTAAGCAGAACAAATGTGATTTCTGATTATATCTCTTTAATTCTAGGCACTGAACACCCCCAGGCAGCTAGGACTCCCATCCTATTCTGAAAGGAAGCCAAGAAAGTAGATTCCACAACATCCCTTTATGTGCTGCCAAACTGTCTTTAAAATCTTGGCAAGAAGTCCTTTCCTTTCCTTTTCTTTATTTTTTTAACTTTTAAAAATTAAAGTATAATTTATATGCATATATATATGCACCCACATAACCAACACCTAGATCAAGATATAGAACATTTCTAGCAGCCCAGAAGTTTCCCTCATGCTTCTTCTCAGTCAATACCCACCTCCCTGTGCACACACGTGTGCGCACACACACACATCACTATTTGACAGGAAGTTGCTTTTAAATCTAACTTAATCCTTATTTGTGATTGCTGTTCACTTCCTATCATTTTAACTTTGAAGGCAAAGGCCAGGTAGGCCATTGATTTGAAGCTTACTAAAGTGGAAGGATGGAGTATAGGGATGGAGTATAGGAGGCTTTTGGAGGAGTCCAGGCAGAGACGATGATGGCTTGGTCTGGAACCACTGGGGTGAAGCTGGAAAGAAGGAGAGACTTGTTGGGGATGTATTTGAGAGGTAGAGGTAATAGGATTTGAAATGTGACATGAAGGAAAGGAAGGAATCCGGCATGACCTGTAGGTTTTCACTTGAATGTCTTGATGTAGGGGTTACCATTTGTTGGGAAAGGCAAGACGGTGGAGGGGCAGGTTTGAGGGCAGGGTGAGATCAAGAGTTATGTTCGGACTTGTGGACTTGAAATAACTGTTAGGCATCCAAGTGTAGAGTCCAAGTCATCCAGAGATCAAGGAGCTAGCAGGCCTGGAGAGAGATGTATATTTGGGAATCATCTGCCTATCGATGGGTTTTAATGCCTGGAAATGGCATGGAATCACCCAGGACATACAGAGCAAAGAACAAGATCCAAGACAGTCCTGTGCAGACCCACTGCTGAAGCAGTCTGCCTCAATCCTCAAGCCAAAGGGGTGGTTCCACAATCAAACTAGAGGCAGGTGCCTAGGGTAAGAATTGAAGCCATGCTTTCAACATTTTAAAAGTCTTGTTTTGTTAATAAAAACAATCAGGCAGACATGTGGATATTTTACTCTAGCTGGAGTTAGCTACCTGTATAATTTTTAAATATCTGTACATGTGTCTCCATTTTTCTTCTATTTTCTTTCAAATATTTTGGTGTTTACAACCAGGCCCACTTTCTCATCTCGACATGGATTATGGCAGGTGCTTGAGAAGTTTCTGGAGGAGATGTCCAACACAGAAATGAGTTTCATTTTTATATAATTAGTAGAAACATAAGATACAGAAAATTGTGCTGTTCACAGAATTTGATTGGAAGGGCTATGTGATCGAGGGCAATTTACTTAACTCTCTAAGCCATCGTGGCCCAATAGAGCTTTCTGAAAATGTTCTAGATCTGCACTGTCCAACGTGGCAGCCAGTAGTCATGAGTCTATTGATAACTTGAAATGTGACTGTTACTCAGAAACTAACTTTGTATTTTTTTTTTTTCCTGAGATGAAGTCTTGCTCTGTCACTGAGGCTGGAGTGCAATGGCGCAATCTCGGCTCACTGCAACCTCCGCCTCCCAGGTTCAAGCAATTCTCCTGCCTCAGCCTCCCTAGTAGCTGGGATTACAGGCACCCGCCACAGTTTCTGGCTAATTTTTGTATTTTTTAGTAGAGACATAGTTTCACCATGTTGGTCAGGCTGGTCTGGAACTCCTGACCTCAGGTGATCCACCCACCTCTGCCTCCCAAAGTGCTGAGATTACAGGCATGAGCCACCACGCCTGGCCACTTTTTAATTTTAATTAAATCAAATTTAAATAGCCGCATGTGGCCAGTAGCTGTTGTATTGAATAGAGCAATTCTAGGTCTTTATGCTCAACTATAAAATAAAGTGTTCATGCTAGAATCAATCTCTAAGCTTCCTGACATAGTTCCCAGTGCAGTGGCACATATTAGGCACTCAATAAATATTTGTTGAATAGATGTTTGTAGAATGAAAGTTAGCCAAATGAATAAAGATGTGAACAAATGATTAATGTGTCATCATGGACTATCATAAATAGAATTAATTTAGGATAACTTCTTGGAAAACCAAGAGTTTTGGAGGCTGAAAAGAAACTCTGGCACTGGCTGCAAGTGGGTGGGAACTCTTGGCAGTCATTCATGTGGGAACAGAACCAGGTAGAATCCAGATCACACTTGCCTTTCCACTTCCTCTATACTTGGAAAAGCAGCTTCCTCTTTGGGAGTATTTTCATAACCCAAGTCTCCCAGTGGGAAGGACTCTCAGTGCTGGAACTACAGGATGGGAAGAATGTCAGGAAAGAGGGAACAATTGTTAGGAAGCCACAGTGATGGCTGCCAACACTTGCATTCCTATGTGCAGGAAAGACTTCCTTCAGACACAGCTCAAAATAGCCACTGCCCCCAAATTTGCTGGTTAAAATAAGTCGGTAAGTCACAACCACCCATCTTGGCTTTGACTCTCTCTTCATTTCTGTCCTGAGGAGTCTCTCCCTTGTCAACATGGATTATGGCAGATGCCTGAAAAGTTTCCAGAGGGGCTGGCCAACACAGGAGGCAGGGTCCCTGTAGCTAGAAGACCCAGCTGAAAAATTTGCCTTCGACGGAAACATGAACATGATAGGCGGGTGAGAGTAGGGGCATCGTGTATTGGTCTCTGTCTCCTCCATGAAGGAGCACTGCATCTCCACCACACACAGTTCTGCTCAGAACCAAAGCTGGCAAGCTTAGCTAGGCTTTCTCTTTGTCTCTCTCTCTCTCTCTCTTTCTCTCTCTCTCTCTCCTCTCTCCTCTCTCTCCTATCTCTCCTCTCTCTCCTCTCTCTCCTATCTCTCCTCTCTCCTCTCTTTCTCCCTTTCCTCTCTCTCTCTCCTCTCTCCTCTCTTCTCTCTCACCTCTCTCTCTTCTCTCTCTCCTCTCTCTCTCTTCTCTCTCCTCTCTTCTCTCTCACCTCTCTCTCTTCTCTCTCTCCTCTCTCTCTCTTCTCTCTCACCTCTCTCTCTTCTCTCTCTCCTCTCTCTCTCTTCTCTCTCTCTCTTCCTCTAATCTATGAACTTTTGTTTTTTTTGGTGGGAGGGGGTGATTCTTTATTGTGGTAAAATGTACATAGCAAAATTTACCATTTTAATAATTCTTGAGGGTACAATTCCATGGCATTACCTACATTTACAATGTTTTACAAGCATCACCACTATCCATCTCCAGAACTTTTTCATGGTTCCAGACTGAAACTGTGTACACATGAAACACTAACTCACCATTGCCCACTCCCCCAGCCCCTGGTAACCACCATTCTATTTTCTGTCTCTGTAAATTTCATTACTCTAGGTACTTCATATAAATGGAATCATAAAACACTTATCTTTTTATGATTGGCTTATTTCACTTAGCATAATATCTCTAAGCGTCATCCATGTTATAGCATATGTCAGAATTTTCTTCATTTTAAGGCTGAATAATATATTCTATTGTATGTTATGCCACATGTTGCTCATCCACATTTGGGTTGCTTCCACTTTTTAGCTATTGTGAATAATGCTGCCGTGAACATGGGTGTACAAGTATCTGTTTGAGCTCCTGCTTTTAATTCTTTGGGGTATAGGCATAGAAGTGAAATTGCTGGATCATATGGTAATTCTATGTTTAACCATTTGAGGAAATGCTTTTATTTTTAAAGCCATTCCTAAATTCGTTTTTTATCCTTTAGTTCTTGAATTTTATTTCTAATTCTCAACTCCTATCTGTATGTATGCTTTCAGCATTTCATATCCTAGGTCTTACCTTTTCATCTAAAAGCTCAATTTCTTATTTCTTTTTACTTTTTAAAACAACTAATGAGTACTAGGCTTAATACCTGGGTGATGAAATAATCTGCACGACAAACCCCCATGACACAAGCTTACCTCTGTAACAAACATGCACTTGTACCCCTGAACTTAAAATAGAAGTTAAAAAAAAAACTGTAGCTGCTAGTCTTTTATTTTAAAACTCATCTATGTTACCTAATCTCACATGTGTTTCTTTAATCTATAAGCTTTTTGCTTCATTTTTAAACCATCTCCAACGAGTCCTTTTTATTTCAGTAGTTTATTTTTTTAACCTAAACATTGATATAGTTGACTTCTTGTATCTGTGATGTGTCTTCCACGAATCTGTCATATTTCTGAGAGTTATAAATGTTTCTCTTCTGGAGTGCTTTATAAGGGGCATTGGGAAGGTTATACTGAATGGGGGAGGAGGAAGACAGTGTGATGGGGGTTTGTCGTGGATCAGGTTCCCTGGGAAACAGACTCTGAGACAGATTTGCATTCAGAAGGTTTTTGGGGGAGGGCATTCAGAACACCTGCAAGGAAGTGAGAGAAGCAGGACAGGGTGGAGGGAGAAGTCAACTGGGATGCAGTTGAAACAAAAGCCTTAGTCCCCCAGGGAGCTCTGAAACTGGGATGGCCTTTCAGAGATACATATCCCAAATTGAGGCTGGGGGCTGGGCCTTTATTCATTAGAAACTTGCATGTACCAGGCAGCTTAATCTTGGGTAAGGAAGTTCCTTCCCTGGAGGGTAATGCTGGGGGAGGACTCTGTGTACACTGTCACTAGGTGAAGCTCCTAGGGTGGGGCTGGGTGAGCTTAGGGAGCACCGCAGAATCCACCACAGGTTCTCAAAAGAAAACATACTGTATTCCAGGGAGGTAGGGCCCCATACTCCAACTCAGTGAGGGCCAGTCAGTCTGGGGGAGTGTATTAAAATTATCTGGGCAGAAAATTTGATAGGCCTCTCCCTGCCAAGCGTGCATAGTTTGAAGAGGTAAATCTGATCTTTCTACCCCAGCACCCCTTCCCAAAGTGGAGAACCACTAGCCTAGGCCAAACTGACAATACCTCAACTTCTTATAAATGGCTTCTACAAGGGTTGAGTCTATTTACAGGCCTGGCCCCACTCCTTTGGCCCAAGGTACAGTATGTCCACCCAGTTCCTGGAAATGGGATCTCTTCAGAGTAGCCACATGAGGAAATATGGCCAACTGAAGTCCTGCCAAAAAAAAAAAAGTGCTCTTTCCCTATGACAAGTCCTATGTAGGAGTGGATCCAGGTTTTGAGAAGCCTAAAGATTTAGAAGACCCTTTAATAAAAATAATATAAAATTATGAATATAAAATTGGCAGGCATTGCCCAGGGCCTTGGAAGGAGCCTGTGCAAGACAGGACCCTCACAGTCTCAGGGATGGACACTTGGCTGGGAGGGAGAATTTGACCCGGAGCTTACATTCACCATCTGTTAAACTACCCTCTCATTTCAGAGAGTCTAAGGAATTCTTCCTTGGCTAAGTCACCAGTAAGTCTTGCCTCAAGGCAGGTGACCTCACCTGGACACTGTAAAGATACCTCATTTCCAGAAACTGGTTGGACATACCCTACTTAGACCAAAAGAATGAGGCCAGGCAGGTCTGGGACATGATTTCTAACTGGGTGCACGGGATAAGTTATATAATGATAAAATTAGTAATAATAATAATAGGTAACAATTATTAAACATTTAGCATGCACCAGCCTGGGTTCTGAGTACTTTATATGAATGACCACATGTAATCCTCATAAGCACACACGTCAGTATAATGATAATTTTATTGCCATTTTACAGATGAGGGAATTAGGGTACAGATAATTTAAATAACCTGCCTGGAGTGTCACAACAAGGAAGCAGGGCAGGCAAGAGGCAAACACAGGCTCTGACTCCAGAGTGTTTGCCCTGTGAATCCCCATGTTATGCAGCTCTACCTGAAGGCCAGGGCAATGTTTGTCCTCACTTGAAACAGGGCTGACTGAGGCTCTACAGGAGGGATGTTGTCATTAGATTTTCTGAGGGTTTTAAGGTTCGTTGCTGAAGGATTTTAAATGCTCAAGTCAAGAAAAGCAACTGAAACCACTCAAGGGCTACTTAAAAAGGCAGAATCTGTACTGTTAGTGTATGAACTCCAATTGGATCTAGAATATAATCTAAAGCATACTTAAAAATAAAGAGTTGAAAAGGTCAGCCCATTGTTCTTCTCAAACTAATGTGCCTGTGGACACCCTTCACTTTAGAACTTTCTTTTATCACAGGTTTAGACCATTTATTTTTTGGCTGTCAAGAAAAAAAAAATGTATTAACAGTGGATGAGCCCCCCTCATCTCAGCTGGCTTCTGCTCACAGCATGGGGAACTGTTCTTCTGGCCTTGACTGATTTTCCTGACAGCATGAAGACTCTGTTTTACCCTTCACACTACCCTGTCTGCTCAGACACACAATTTGATGATAATTGGTATTTATTTTCCAGGTTCAAATAACATCGCTGGAGATCTAAACACTAGGATTGGCAGGAATTCCATGAGCTCTTGTTTCAAGCTTTTAGGGAATGAGTGGATTCCCATAGACAATTCTTTCACAGATAGATTGATTAACCTAAATGGAAAAAAAGATATTGCCAGCCTTACTTTCCTCAGAATACAGCGGTAATAAACAGCAGTACATGGAATAAATCTCAGGAGAACTTGACTTGCGTTTCTACCTAAATTGTCTACTTTATATTCTGGTTAGCCACTTTTGCCATGGTCTGAGCAAAAAATATACATTTTCTCCATTACTTATCTTTGCATAGCTTCTCTGGAGCCCATCTGGCCTTATGATTATGCTGAGGAAGTTAAGGGACTGATAACAAATGTGCCAGTTTTTCTTTTTTTAGCTCTATTTGAGCTGTTACTATCAAAGATCCTTTTAAACCTTGAATGCCTCAAAGGACAGGTTTGTCCTCTTATCTCCTCTGAATGAATTGCCATTACCTTAAAATGATTTTATTCACACGCTGCTCTAGCAAATACAGGATTTACTCTCCTGGTGCCTTGCTTGACAGAGAAGAAACATGTAAAGCAGAAACAAGAAGAGGCCATGCAGGAATTTTCAAATGCATTTATCATAGACTTCTGATTGCCCCCCCACCAAAAAAAAAAACCTCTGAAAGCCATAGGAGAGAATCAAGTGTGCCTGTGTATACTCTATGGATAGGAATTGGTGATGAGAAAAGTTATATAATCTTGATATTGACCCCGATTGTTGATGCTTATGCAGAACACACCTTTGACTGACCAAAGAATTGAGAAGTTAGAATGTAATTTTGATGATTCTATTAGCATAATCCAAGTCAGGCAAGATAAACAGGGATGTGTTTAGAACTTTATTAAAAATTGTAAATGACTTGACAACCCTGGTGTAACGCACACATTCCCATTACAAAAATGAGCATGCAAAGCATTCTCTTATGTTTAAATGGTGAAAAGATGCTCAACATCAATAATCATTACAAAAATGCAAATCAAAGCCTCAATGAGATACCACATCACAACCATTGGGATAGTTACTACCAAAATTAAAACAAAACAGAAAATAACAAGCGTCGATGAGGATGGGAAGAAGTTGGAACGCTTGTTCTCTGTTGGTGGGAATGTAAAATGGTGAGTCTTCTATGGAAAACAGTATGACAGTTCCTCAAAATATAAAAAATAGAAATACCTATGATCCAGCAATTCCACTTCTGTGTATATATATATATAGAAGAATCAAAATCAGAGACCCAAACAGAAATGCGTACATTCAGGTTCACAGCAATGTTATACACAGTTGTCAAAAGGTGGAAGCAATCCAAGTGTCCATTGATGGATGAATGAATAAACAAAATGTAGTATACAGCTACAATAGAATATTATTCAGCTTTAAAAAGGAAGAAAATCCTGACATATGCTACAACATGGATGAACGTTGAAGGCATGCTAAGTGAAGTAAGACAGTCACAAAAAGACAAAAGCTGCATGATTCCACTTATATGAGGTACTTCAACTTATATGAGGTATTTATGGTCAAGTTCACGGAGACAAAAAGTAGAAAAATAGTTGCCGGGGGTAGGAGAAATGGGAATTGAGAGTTATTGCTGAATGGGCACAGAGTTTCAGTTTTGCAAGATGGAAAGTTCTGGAGAGGGTGATGATTGCACAACAATGTGAATGTACTTAATACTCCTAAACTATACACTTAAAGATGCTTAAGATTGTAAATTTTGTGTTACATGTATTTTACCACAATTAACAATTTTTAAATGGCATTACTGTCCTGAATTAGAAATAGCCTTAAAAGATTATTGTTCTCCTTATCTAATTATAGATATAATTATAGACTTACAAAAGAGACGTAGCTCACCTGTTCTGTAACAAAAGTCACTGGTTTTGACAGAAATCCTCTAACATTTGACTGCATCTGATTAACCATATGTGGCAAGTTAATTCTTCCATTGCTGATGCATATATGCAACAATCAGTTAACCTTGAAGGACGCACCAAAAAAGGGTTAATTGCTCAAGGTTAAGTGTTATGTGAATGTCCTACTGAGAATTGTTAGGGCTGAGGTTAGAGTTTTACCTGCTTTGTTTTTCTCCTGCTAAATTTATTGTGGCCATGCTCAATGGCATTGAGTCTTTGATCACCAATCAGTGGTTCAATTGGAACCCTAACTGCGTCTTGTTAGGAGTGTGGGGGTGCTGTGGCTATCCCCACAAATGTTCCCTTGGCTCATTTTCTACCTAATGTAGAGCAGCCTTCTTTTGACATACACATCTGGGAAGGCTACTCACTTTCACGACGAGATGCCACTGCTGCCTCCAGCATGGTTTACTGTCTAACTGGTCCAGAAGACATTTCTCAGAGAAGGTGATATTTAAGCTGAACCTTGAAGAAAGGGCAGAAGTTTGCCAAGAAAACCAAAGGAAAAGGGCACTTCAGGCAAAAGGAAGAAATTGACAGAAGACATTGAATGTTGAAAGTGCTTCAAATATTTAAAAAGACCAAGTGATCCACTGTGGTTGAACAAAAAAAGAGAGGTCAGTTTGGCCAGTACAGATTCAGTCTGTATAAAAGTTCTTGAGGAGTACACCATCCCTAAGAGCTTCACTCTGCTTCATTCCTTCACTGGCCCCTACGTACCTCCCTTAGTCTGAGAGAGAGATTGTGTATATGGACTTCTGAGGGCTGGAAGGCTTTTAGAGAGAAATGTCTTGGTCTTTAGGTGATATATAAAGAAAGCGATCCTTACTCCATCCAGGACTGTCCACAGACATGGGCAGAAGTGAACATAGAAAGCCTGCTGTTCTATTTTTAGTCCAGATGGAACCCCAAAGGTCACCTAGTCCACCAACTCCTTACTCAAGCATTAAGCTCCCTGGGGTCTGG
Organism: Homo sapiens; assembly: GCF_000001405.40. Lineage (NCBI taxonomy): Eukaryota > Metazoa > Chordata > Mammalia > Primates > Hominidae > Homo > Homo sapiens. The sequence continues at coordinate 110,767,567 of NC_000001.11, read as the reverse complement.
GTGAAATAGAACTGAGAGGGCTGGGCTCAAGCAAGTGGGTAGGTGCAGGTGTGGTATGACATGTTTGATCCTGAAATGCTCTCTTTCCCAAAAAACTCTCTCCTCAGCCTTACAGAGCATATGCCACTCTTTTTGGCATATGAGAAGCTCATTGTAGCAGGCACTCCCGGAATGTGATAAGAATAGTGGAGGTGAAGTTAGGCGTCATAAAGAACTCTGAAAGCCAAGGTAAGAAGTCTGGATACTCTCTATGCTAAAATTTGGTGGAACTCACTGCAGGTTTTTGAGGAGGGGAGAAACTTCCACCTCTCAAATGGATGCTGAGGATCTTAAAGACATGGTAGAGATGCCAGTGTTCAGGGACCTCCTTTAATATTTGGACTGTCTCTAATATTAGCAAGTTGTTTAACCCCTTTGGGCCTCATTTTTCTCATCTGTACAAAAGTTAACATAAGTAAAGTGCTAAGAACAGTACCTGGCATATAGTACGCTCTGTAAAATTGTCGTTGTTGTCATTACTGTTAAACCGAGGCTGGGAGATATCAGAACAAAGGCAACTCAACAGCCCTCATGGTTTTATGGGGACTTGTCACTGTAGGGAGACCTCTTGCTTTAGCGAGAAGAGGACAGGGATTTTGGTGACGTTGGAACAGCACTCTACTCCAGATTTTTTCTCCTCTCAGAGACTCTTCAGTTTTTTTCTTGGGCTCAGGCTCTAGGCTAGATGCCTCTAGGCTTAAGATCCAATGTGTGTTGTCTGAAAGTCAGGCCTGGGCTGAGTTGAGACAGCATCACTTTAATGTCTCTGTTATGTGTCCACTCACTGGAGAAGGGAAGCTCATCTTGTAGTTTGAGTCCTGCGGCAGGAAAGAGATTATTTCACCCATCCAGCAAGAGGCTGACAGTCCCCTACAGATATTTCTCAAGGAAAAAGAATTTCCATGGGATTCTCCAACAGCCTCCAGAATCTCAACTGCACCTCTCTGTTTCAAGGAACTGAAGCCTAATCTCAGCCAAATTAAAAAGAGAAAACATCTTTCCCAGGATCTTGGAAAGAAGTTATATAATTTTGATAATAAAATGAATTTTCATTAACATAACCCTTTCCCTAAACAATATTTAGTTTGAGGAAAGTATAGTCAAGACGCAAAACTGGGTGCTGAAAAGGATGTCTTACTGCAGCAACTTGGTCACTCTTTCATCTCATAAAAGCAGCAATAAAAGGGTATTGTGAAGTTGATATCATTACACCATTGTTTAGATGAGGAAACAACAGTTCAGTGATGGAGCTGAGATCCAGTGCCTGAATAATTTCCTACTTACCAGCATGTGGCGCTGTTGCCATTACCTCCTGCTGGAAGATCTCTTTTTTACTTCTATGATACTAACTTTCTCCGTTTTTTGTTTTTGTTTTTTTTTCTCTCTCAAATTAACTGATTATTCTCAGCTCTCTGCATTGTCTTGTTTCCAACTGCCTATCCCTCAGAGGCTGCCGAATCCCAAGGGGTCTATCTCAGATGTCTAAAATTCGTCTTCTCCCTTTTCTACTTTAGATTTTTTAAAAATCAAACACATAATTTTAAAAGACAAATAGTGCTATAATGTTTACAA